>NC_000015.10:29943540-30246570 GCF_000001405.40 Homo sapiens | reverse complement strand
TTGTGTGTAGAAACCTGGAATATTTATCCCAGGAGTCATAAATAATAAAGGTTTTCCACTATGTGATATCACAGCCTGTGAATAAGTAATCCCTGTGTTCTTAATATCACCAAATGTCAGAGCTACGAGTCCCAAACAGGATGATTAAAACAAGTTATAAGAAATAAAGATAGAGAGAGGAGCCAAGATGGCCGAATAGGAACAGCTCCGGTCTACAGCTCCCAGCGTGAGCAACGCAGAAGACAGGTGATTTCTGCATTTCCATCTGAGGTACCAGGTTCATCTCACTAGGGAGTGCCAGACAGTGGGCGCAGGTCAGTGGGTGCGTGCACCGTGCGCCAGCCGAAGCAGGGCGAGGCACTGCCTCACTCGGGAAGCGCAAGGGGTCAGGGAGTTCCCTTTCCTAGTCAAAGAAAGGGGTGACGGACAGCACCTGGAAAATCAGGCCACTCCCACCCGAATACTGCGCTTTTCCTACGGGCTTAAAAAACGGCGCACCAGGAGATTATATCCTGCACCTGGCTCGGAGGGTCCTACGACCACGGAGTCTCGCTGATTGCTAGCACAGCAGTCTGAGATCAAACTGCAAGGCGGCAGCGAGGCTGGGGGAGGGGCGCCTGCCATTGCCAAGGCTTGATTAGGTAAACAAAGCAGCTGGGAAGCTCGAACTGGGTGGAGCCCACCACAGCTCAAGGAGGCCTGCCTGCCTGCCTCTGTAGGCTACACCTCTGGGGGCAGGGCACAGACAAACAAAAAGACAGCAGTAACCTCTGCAGACTTAAATGTCCCTGTCTGACAGCTTTGAAGAGAGCAGTCGTTCTCCCAGCACGCAGCTGGAGATCTAAGAACGGGCAGACTGCCTCCTCAAGTGCGTCCCTGACCCCTGACCCCCGAGCAGCCTAACTGGGAGGCACCCCCCAGCAGGGGCACACTGACACCTCACACTGCAGGGTACTCCAACAGACCTGCAGCTGAGGGTCCTGTTTGTTAGAAGGAAAACTAACAAACAGAAAGGACATCCACACCAAAAACCCATCTGTACATCGCTATTGTCAAAGACCAAAAGTAGATAAAACCACAAAGATGGGGAAAAAACAGAACAGAAAAACTGGAAACTCTAAAAAGCAGAGCGCCTCTCCTCCTCCAAAGGAACGCAGTTCCTCACCAGCAATGGAACAAAGCTGGACGGAGAATGACTTTGACGAGCTGAGAGAAGAAGGCTTCAGACGATCAAATTACTCTGAGCTACAGGAGGACATTCAAACCAAAGGCAAAGAAGTTGAAAACTTTGAAAAAAATTTAGAAGAATGTATAACTAGAATAACCAATACAGAGAAGTGCTTAAAGGAGCTGATGGAGCTGAAAACCAAGGCTCGAGAACTACGTGAAGAATGCAGAAGCCTCAGGAGCCGACGCGATCAACTGGAAGAAAGGGTATCAGCAATGGAAGATGAAATGAATGAAATGAAGTGAGAAGGGAAGTTTAGAGAAAAAAGAATAAAAAGAAATGAGCAAAGCCTCCAAGAAATATGGGACTATGTGAAAAGACCAAATCTACGTCTGATTGGTGTACCTGAAAGTGATGGGGAGAATGGAACCAAGTTGGAAAACACTCTGCAGGATATTATCCAGGAGAACTTCCCCAATCTAGCAAGGCAGGCCAACGTTCAGATTCAGGAAATACAGAGAACGCCACAAAGATATTCCTCGAGAAGAGCAACTCCAAGACACATAATTCTCAGATTCACCAAAGTTGAAATGAAGGAAAAAATGTTAAGGGCAGCCAGAGAGAAAGGTCGGGTTACCCTCAAAGGGAAGCCCATCAGACTAACAGCGGATCTCTCGGCAGAAACCCTACAAGCCAGAAGAGAGTGGGGGCCAATATTCAACATTCTTAAAGAAAAGAATTTTCAACCCAGAATTTCATATCCAGCCAAACTAAGCTTCATAAGTGAAGGAGAAATAAAATACTTTACAGACAAGCAAATGCTGAGAGATTTTGTCACCACCAGGCCTGCCCTAAAAGAGCTCCTGAAGGAAGCGCTAAATATGGAAAGGAACAACCGGTACCAGCCGCTGCAAAATCATGCCAAAATGTAAAGACCATCGAGACTAGGAAGAAACTGCATCAACTAACGAGCAAAATAACCAGCTAACATCATAATGACAGGATCAAATTCACACATAACAATATTAACTTTAAATGTAAATGGACTAAATGCTCCAATTAAAAGACGCAGACTGGCAAATTGGATAAAGAGTCAAGATCCATCAGTGTGCTGTATTCAGCAAACCCATCTCACGTGCAGAGACACACATAGGCTCAAAATAAAAGGATGGAGGAAAATCTACCAAGCAAATGGAAAACAAAAAAAGGCAGGGGTTGCAATCCTAGTCTCTGATAAAACAGACTTTAAACCAACAAAGATCAAAAGAGACAAAGAAGGCCATTACATAATGGTAAAGGGATCAATTCAACAAGAAGAGCTAACTATCCTAAATATATATGCACCCAACACAGGAGCACCCAGATTCATAAAGCAAGTCCTGAGTGACCTACAAAGAGACTTAGACTCCCACACATTAATAATGGGAGACTTTAACACCCCACTGTCAACATTAGACAGATCAACGAGACAGAAAGTCAACAAGGATACCCAGGAATTCAACTCAGCTCTGCACCAAGCAGACCTAATAGACATCTACAGAACTCTCCACCCCAAATCAACAGAATATACATTTTTTTCAGCACCACACCACACCTATTCCAAAATTGACCACATACTTGGAAGTAAAGCTCTCCTCAGCAAATGTAAAAGAACAGAAATTATAACAAACTGTCTCTCAGACCACAGTGCAATCAAACTAGAACTCAGGATTAAGAATCTCACTCAAAACCGCTCAACTACATGGAAACTGAACAACCTGCTCCTGAATGACTACTGGGTACATAACGAAATGAAGGCAGAAATAAAGATGTTCTTTGAAACCAACGAGAACAAAGACACAACATACCAGAATCTCTGCGACGCATTCAAAGCAGTGTGTACAGGGAAATTTATAGCACTAAATGCCCACAAGAGAAAGCAGGAAAGATCCAAAATTGACACCCTAACATCGCAATTAAAAGAACTAGAAAAGCAAGAGCAAACACATTCAAAAGCTAGCAGAAGGCAAGAAATAACTAAAATCAGAGCAGAACTGAAGGAAATAGAGACATAAAAAACCCTTCAAAGAATTAATGAATCCAGGAGCTAGTTTTTTGAAAAGATCAACAAAATTGATAGACCGCTAGCAAGACTAATAAAGAAAAAAAGAGAGAAGAATCAAATAGATGCAATAAAAAATGATAAAGGGGATCTCACCACCGATCCCACAGAAATACAAACTACCATCAGAGAATACTACAAACACCTCTACGCAAATAAACTAGAAAATCTAGAAGAAATGGATACATTCCTCGACACATACACTCTCCCAAGACTAAACCAGGAAGAAGTTGAATCTCTGAATAGACAATAACAGGAGCTGAAATTGTGGCAATAATCAATAGCTTACCAACCAAAAAGAGTCCAGAACGAGATGGATTCACAGGCGAATTCTACCAGAAGTACAAGGAGGAACTGGTACCATTCCTTCTGAAACTATTCCAATCAATAGAAAAAGAGGGAATCCTCCCTAACTCATTTTATGAGGCCAGCGTCATTCTGATACCAAAGCCAGGCAGAGACACAACCAAAAAAGAGAATTTTAGACCAATATCCTTGATGAACATTGATGCAAAAATCCTCAATAAAATACTGGCAGACCGAATCCAGCAGCACATCAAAAAGCTTATCCACCATGATCAAGTGGGCTTCATCCCTGGGATGCAAGGCTGGTTCAATATACGCAAATCAATAAATGTAATCCAGCATATAAACAGAGCCAAAGACAAAAACCACATGATTATCTCAATAGATGCAGAAAAGGCCTTTGACAAAATTCAACAACCCTTCATGCTAAAAACTCTCAATAAATTAGGTATTGATGGGACGTATATTTCAAAATAATAAGAGCTATCTATGACAAACCCACAGCCAATATCATACTGAATGGGCAAAAACTGGAAGCATTCCCTTTGAAAACTGGCACAAGACAGGGATGCCCTCTCTCACCACTCCTATTCAACATAGTGTTGGAAGTTCTGGCCAGGGCAATTAGGCAGGAGAAAGAAAGAAAGGGTATTCAATTAGGAAAAGAGGAAGTCAAATTGTCCCTGTTTGCAGATGACATGATTGTATATCTAGAAAACCCCACTGTCTCAGCCCAAAATCTCCTTAAGCTGATAAGCAACTTCAGCAAAGTCTCAGGATACAAAATCAATGTACAAAAATCACAAGCATTCTTATACAGCAACAACAGACAAACAGAGAGCCAAATCATGAGTGAACTCCCATTCACAATTGCTTCAAAGAGAATAAAATACCTAGGAATCCACCTTACAAGGGATGTGAAGGACCTCTTCAAGGAGAACTACAAACCACTGCTCAAGGAAATAAAAGAGGATACAAACAAATGGAAGAACATTCCATGCTTATGGGTAGGAAGAATCAATATCGTGAAAATGGCCATACTACCCAAGGTAATTTACAGATTCAATGCCATCCCCATCAGGCTATCAATGACTTTCTTCACAGAATTGGAAAAAACTACTTTAAAGTTCATATGGAACCAAAAAAGAGCCTGCATCACCAAGTCAATCCTAAGCCAAAAGAACAAAGCTGGAGGCGTCACGCTACCTGACTTCAAACTATACTACAAGGCTACAGTAACCAAAACAGCATGGTACTGGTACCAAAACAGAGATATAGATCAATGGAACAGAACAGAGCCCTCAGAAATAACGCCGCATATCTAAAACTATCTGATCTTTGACAAACCTGAGAAAAACAAGCAATGGGGAAAGGATTCCCTATTTAATGAATGGTGCTGGGAAAACTGGCTAGCCATATGTAGAAAGCTGAAACTGGATCCCTTCCTTACACCTTATACAAAAATCAATTCAAGATGGATTAAAGACTTAAATGTTAGACCTAAAACCATAAAAGCCCTAGAAGAAAACCTAGGCATTACCATTCAGGACATAGGCATGGGCAAGGACTTCATGTCTAAAACACCAAAAGCAATGGCAACAAAAGCCAAAATTGACAAATGGGATCTAATTAAACTAAAGAGCTTCTGCACAGCAAAACAAACTACCATTAGAGTGAACAGGCAACCTACAAAATGAGAGAAAATTTTCGCAAGCTACTCATCTGACAAAGGGCTAATATCCAGAATCTACAATGAACTCAAACAAATTTACAAGAAAAAAACAAACAACCCCATCAAAAAGTGGGCAAAGGACATGAACAGACAGTTCTCAAAAGAAGACATTTATGCAGCCAAAAAACACATGAAAAAATGCTCATCATCACTGGCCATCAGAGAAATGCAAATCAAAACCACAATGAGATACCATCTCACACCAGTTAAAATGGCAATCATTAAAAAGTCAGGAAACAACAGGTGCTGGAGAGGATGTGGAGAAATAGGAACACTTTTACACTGTTGGTGGGACTGTAAACCAGTTCAACCATTGTGGAAGTCAGTGTGGCGATTCCTCAGAGATCTAGAACTAGAAATACCATTTGACCCAGCCATCCCATTACTGGGTATATACCCAAAGGACTATAAATCATGCTGCTATAAAGACACATGCACACGTATGTTTATTGCGGCATTATTCACAATAGCAAAGACTTGGAACCAAGCCAAATGTCCAACAATGATAGACTGGATTAAGAAAATGTGGCACATATACACCATGGAATACTATGCAGCCATAAAAAATGATGAGTTCATGTCCTTTGCAGGGACATGGATGAAACTGGAAATCATCATTCTCAGTAAACTATCGCAAGAACAAAAAACCAAACACCGCATATTCTCACTTACAGGTGGGAATTGAACAATGAGATCACATGGACACAGGAAGGGGAACATCACACTCTGGGGACTGTTGTGGGGTGGGAGGAGGGGGGAGGGATAGCATTGGGAGATATACCTAATGCTAGATGATAAGTTAGTGGGTGCAGCGCACCAGCATGGCACATGTATACATATGTAAATAACCTGCACAATGTGCACATGTACCCTAAAACTTAAAGTATAATAATAAAAGAAAAAAAAAAAGAAATAAAGATAAACAGGCCAGGCGCAGTGGCTGATGCCTGTAATCCCGGCACTTTGGGAGGCCAAGGCAGGAGGATCACAAGGTCAGGAGATCAAGACCATCCTGGCTAACACGGTGAAACCCCGTCTCTGCTAAAACTACAAAAAATTAACCAGTCGTGGTGGCGGGCGCCTGTAGTCCCAGCTACTCGGGATGCTGAGGCAGGAGAATGGCGTGAACCCAGGAGGCAGAGCTTGCAGTGAGCCGAGATTGCGCCACTGCACTCCAGCCTGGGGGACAGAGCTAGACTCCATCTCAAAAAAAAAAAAAAAAAAAAAGAAAAGAAAGAAAGAAACAACAAAGATGTTTTCAGAATGAGATAAGCTGCCTCTTAGAATAGTCTTCTTTACTAGGTTCATTCTGGAGAAAATCTTTAAATTTTAGGGTAATCTATGGGGTGATTCATGAGGTCCTTTCTGACTACAGGGTTGTGTGCCCCGTGGTGATGATTTCTGGAGCCAAATTATCGTCTGAATACTAATCCACATGTCTGAGCTCACCTCTGCCATGACAGCCACTCCCTTTGCCACAATTCCAAAATGTTTTTGTTTGCAAACTCAATCTGGTGAAGTATTGAAATGTTTGAACAAATTCTGTGTTTCTCGATATGAGGCAACTTGTGGAATGTGTAAGTGACTTGAGGTTTCCAGAAATATTTAGGTTCCATTTCTCTCTATGTGTACAGATGCTTCCCTATTCTGGTAACAGTGGATTAATTTTGTGGGAAATAGCTAGGTTGTGGCTGAACAAAAAGCAAAGTGTTTCTAATCATCAGTGTGTTTTTTTCTTCCCATGAGAAAATATACTTACTATAAACTTAGGAGGAAGTCAAGCCACCTCACTTCCTTTCTGTTTTTTTTTTTTTTTCAGGTTTAAAATACTCCATTTTTGCTATTCACTTTTACTTGAGCAAAAATAGTTAAAGAAAGACCCTGGAGATACCTAAAAAAGGTACACTATTTAGGTTCAGTTCCATGAAAGCAAGGCCTAGAAAGCAATAGTGTCTTTGTGATCACACAGAATTTGGGAACAAGGCTGAGAGAATTTTCCTTTAAGTGATATTTCATAGGACTTATAAAACATAAATAAATAGTTATAGAATAATAACTACAGAAAACACTCTATGATACCAGCTGACAAGCTGCATGAGAAACCTTATCTATCTCCTGCATAAATCCCTATTACAAACAGACCCATGGCCAGGAGGAAATCAATATAATTAAACCTCACAGTGGGGAGAACTTCCTCTGCCAAACTTCAAGATCAAAGAAGGCTTTGCGGAAGAGATGGCATTGGATCTGGTTCTGAAAGATAGGAAGAATTTGAAGTATAAAGTGGACTATTATTCAGCCATAAAAAGAAAATCCTGCCATTTGCAACAACACAGATGAACCTGGAGGACATGTTACATAAAATAAGCATAGAAAGACACAGACAGACAAATACTGCATGATCTCACTTATGTGTGGAATCTAAAAGTGTCAAACTGGGCAGGGCATGGTGGCTCACACCTGTAATCCCAGCACTTTGGGAGGCCGAGGCAGGTGGATCACCTGAGGTCAGGAGTTCAAGAGGAGCCTGACCAACATGGTGAAACCCCATCCCTACTAAAATTACAAAATTAGCTGGGTGTGGTGGCACATGCCATGCCTGTAATCCCAGCTACTCGGGAGGTTGAGGCAGGAGAATCACTTGAACCCGGGAGGCAGAGGTTACAGTGAGCTCAGACTGTGACATTGCACTCTAGCCTGGGCGACAAGAGCAAAAATCTGTCTCAAAAATAAATAAATAAATAAAAGTGTCAAACTCATAGAAGCAGAGAGTTAAATGGTGATGCCAGGGGTGGGGGAGAGGGGAAACTGGGTGAGAGGCTGGACAAAGAATACAAGCTTTCAGTTACAAGACGAATCAGTTCTGGGGTTCTCATATACAGCATGGGTGGTGATGGATGTGTTAATTAATTTGATTTTGGTAATCACTACACAATGCATACATATGTCAAATCATCATGTTGCACACCAAAAATATTCAATCTTTGTCAATTAAATATTTTAAAATTTAAAAAATACATTTTTAAAATAAAATATAATAATGAACTGTCATCATGGTTAAGTAACCTACCCAGATTCAAACGAGACATAAAACTAGATATTCTCAAGTATGCAGAAAGAGCCACTAACACTATGCAAGTCAATAAATGCAATACACCACATAAACAGGATTAAAAACAAAAATTACATGATTATCTCGATAGACGCAGAAAAAGCATTTGACATTAAGCATCCCTTAATGATTAAAGCCCTCAGCAAAATCAGCATAGAAGGGACACAAGGTAACAAAAGCCATCTACAACAAACCCACAGCCAACATAATACTGAAGGGGGATGAGCTGAAAGCATTCCTCCTGAGAACTGGAACAAGACAAGGATGCCCACTTTCACCACTTCTATTCACCACAGTACTGAAAGTCCTAGCCAAAGTAATCAGACAAGAGAAGGAAATAAAGGGCATCCAAATGGCTAAAGAGGAAGTCAAACTGTTGTTGTTTGCTGATGATATGATTATATACCTAGAAAACCCCAAAGACTTCTCCAAAAAGCTCCTAGAACTGATAAATGAATTGAGCAAAGTTTTAGGATACAAATTTATTGTACACAAATCGGTAGCTCTACTATACACCAACAGCAACCAACCTGAGAATCAAATCAAGAACTCATCCCCTTTTACAATAGCTGAAAACAAAACAAAAAAAAAAACTTAGGAATATACCTAACCAAGGAGGTAAAAGACCTCTACAAGAAAAGCTACAAAACACTGCTGAAAGAAATCACAGATGACACAAACAAATGAAAACACATCCCACGCTCGTGGATGGGTAGAATCAATGTTGTGAAAATGACCGTATTGCCAAAAGCAATCTACAAATTCAATGCAATTCCCATCAAAACATACCATCGTTCTTCACAGAACTAGAAAAAACAATCCTAAAATTCATATGGAACCAAAAAAGAGCCCACGTAGCCAAAGAAAGACTAAGCAAAAAGAACAAATCTGGAGGTATCAACTGATATACCCTAAGGCCATAGTCACCAAAACAGCATGGTACTGGTATAAAAACAGGCATATAGACCAATGGAACAGAATAGAGAACCCAGAAATAAAGCCAAATACTTACAGCCAACTGATCTTCAACAAAGCAAACAAAAACATAAAGTGGGGAAAGGACACCCTATTCAACAAATGGGGCTGGGATAATTGGCAAGCCACCTTAGGAAAATATTACCAATATAAAAATCCACGGCAATATACTAAATTGTATTTTATAACTGATTAAAACAGGAATTGGGTAGTAAGAATTGGCAGTATTTATTAGTACTCTCCAGTTGAGAGACATGTTGGGGATAGAGAGTAGTCTGGCCTTGTCCTATATACCTATATGGATCTGGGGTAGTCTTCCAGATTCATATGACTTGTGTGAAATATCCCTTAAGAGTATCCAATTCCTCCTGGGCCAGGCCGTGTTGCATCCAGGTCACTTGTACCTCCCCTCTTTCTCTCCGAGGCTGCTTGTCCTCTCCCTGCATGCTCCAGGCCTCCTCGGACTTTCAGGGAAGCTCTAGTTGGGAAAGAGAGCTATTAATTAACCACCCACTTGCTCAGCAATTCAGTGTTATGCTAGTTTGCTTTCCTGTGGGGACAACCTCAAAATCTCGGGGGCTTATACCAACAGCTATATTCCACTTGGGTTAGATGAGGGCTGCATGTTGTCTATTGGTCTGATCCATGGGTTGCTTTTGCTCCAAGGTCCAGGCTAAAGGAGATGCCCTCTCTTGGGGAATGTCATGCCCCTGCTAGAGGTAGTCTCTGCTTGGACTGGGCACACTGCTACTTCGCTGCTCATTTCATCAACCCCAGCCAGCCACTGTGGGGCAAGCCAGTGTTCCTTGCTTGTCAGAGACGCTGTACTTTGCATACAATGGTGAAGAGAGTGAACAGCAGGGTGTAATTAAACAGTCAACCACAACCTGAAGCCACTTTCCCTGCTAAGTGGACCTCAACTCAATGGTCTCATTCTGAAAGATGTGGCCTAAATTCTTGCTTGGAATGGTAATTCCTCTCTAATAGACTCTGCTGTTCTCTTGCCAGTCAAGAGGACTGAAGGGGATTGAAGCTCTGAACCTAGGCTCAGTGGCTACTGCCCCTCCTCCACAGCCGCTGGCTTCCAGCAGACATTCCTGATGCTGATGTGCTCCTTGGAGTGCTGAGCTTTGGGGGAAATCCTGTTGCATGGTGCCAGACCCTCCTTCCCCATCTCATAACTCCATCACAGAGTTGGTCTACCATGGATGAACTTATCCTAGGTTCAAGATATTCTGCCCAGGTGACTAGGCTTCTCCAGTGACAGATGGACCACTGCTCTTACCCCCTCATACCTGCTCCATCTGAGCTACTGGCCAGCTGGCCTCACCTGCCAAAGGCAACTGGGCCATGACGGCTGAGTAATAAAAAGCAATGCTGTGCTTTGCTTCCAGACTCACCAAGAACCCTCTGGCTACTAATTTTGTGTAGCAGATTTGCATTTTGATCCACATCCTTAGGTGCTTATGAAATAAAACTTGGATGCCTTTTGATAATCATGTTCTGGGTGTGTACCCAAAAGTGGAGTTGCTAACTCATAGGGTATGATTTTGTTCAAAACTGACATACTGTCAATAGTTTTCCAAATTAATGGTAATAATTTATACCTACACCAGTAATATAATGTGTTTCTGTCAATCCTTAAATTTTAGCCATCATGAAGTTAAGTAATGTGATGCCTCTGGTTTTATTTTTCTTAGAATGACTTTGGCTCTTTTTGGGTTCCATATGAATATTAGAACAGTTTTTCTAATTCTGTGAAAAATTGCACTGGTAATTTGATAGAAATAATGCTGAATCTATAGTATGGACATTTTAACAATATTGATTCTTTCAACACACCAGCATGGAATGTTTTTCCATTGGTCTGTGTCATCTATGATTTCTTTGAGTAGTGTTTTGTAGTTCTCCTTGTAGAGATTTTTCACCTCCTTGGTTAGATGTATTCCTAAGTATTTTAATTTGTTGGGGGGTGGTGCTATTTTGAATGGGATTTCACTCTTGATTTGGCTCTCAGCTTAAAAACTATTGGTATATAGAAATGCTACTGATTTGTGTATGCTGATTTTGTATCCTGAAGCTTTACTGAAGTCATTTACCAGGTCTAGGAGTTTTTTGGTAAAGTCTTTAAACTATTCCACAAGGCTACAGTAACCAAAACAGCATGGTACTGGTACAAAAAGAGACACATAGACCAATGAGACAGTATAGAGAACCCAGAAATAAGGTCACACGCTTACAACCAACTGATCTTTGACAAAGTCAACAGAAACAAGTAATGGGGAAAAGACTCCATATTCAACAAATGGTGCAGGGAAAACTGCCTAATAATATGCAGAAGAATGAAACTGGACACTTAGCCCATATACAAAAATTAACTCAGGGGGATTAAAGACTTAATTGTAAGACCTGAAACTGTAAAAATGCTAGAATAAAACATAGAAAATACCTTTCTTTAGCATGGCCTTGGCAAAGAATTTTTGGCCAAGTCCCCAAAAGCAACTGTTACAGAAACAAAAATTGGTGAGTAGGATTTAATTAAACTAAAGAGATTTTGCACAACAACAAAAAAACATCAACACAGTAAACAGACAACCTACAGAATGAGAGAAAATATTTGCAAACTGTACATCCAACAAAGCAGCATCTATAAGCAACTTAAACAAATCAACAAGCAAAAAACAAATAACCCCATTAAAAAGTGGGCAAAGGACGTGAACAGATACTTCTCAAAAGAAGACATATAAGTGGCCAGCAAACAGATGAAAAAAAAAGTTCAACATCATTAATCACTAGAGAAATGCAAATCAAAACCACAATGAGATATCATCTCACATCAGTCAGAATGGCCAATATTAAAAGTCAAAAAATAACAGATGCTGGTGAGGTTGTAAAGAAAGGGGAAATTTTATACATTGTTGGTGGGAATGTAAATTACTCCAGCTACTATGGAGAGCAGTTTGGAGATTTCTCAAAGAACTAAGATTTGAGGTACCATTTGATCCAGCAATTTTATTACTGGGTGTATGCCCAAAGGAAAATAAGCCATTTTACTGAAAAGACACATGAGCTTATATGTTCATTGCAGTGCTATTCATAATAGCAACGACATGGAATCCAGGTGCCCGTCAACTCTGGATCGGATAAAGAAAATGTGGTACCTATACACCACGGAATACTATGCAGCCATAGAAAAGAATAAAATAATATCCCTTGCAGCAACATGGATGCAGTCGGAGGCCACCATCCTAAGTGAATTAATGCATCAACAGAAAACCAAAAGTCACGTGTTCTCTTATAAGTGGGAGCTATATTGTGGGTATATGTGAGCATAAAGATGGGAACAATAGACACTGGGGACTCCAAAAGAGGAAAAAGAGGGGAGAAGGGCTAAAAACTTCCTATCGTGCAGTATGTTCACTACATGGATGACGGGATCAATAGAAGCCCAAACCTCAGCATCATGCAATATACCCCTGTAACAAACCTGTATATGTACCCCCTGAATCTAAAGTAAAAATGTAAGCAAATAAAATAAAAAATGTAGGCCTCTTGATGAGTATACAGTGTTATCTCTTGGTTGGTTTACTTTGCAGTTTCCTGATGATTAACGATGTTGAACCACTTTTAATGTGAGCATTGATCATTTGAATACTCTTTTATTATGAAGTGCCTATCCAAACGTTTTCCCAATGTTTTAATTGAGTCTTTTTCTTACTGGCTTTTAGAAGCACTTTATATCATCTAGGCATAGGACCTTCGCTGCCATACTTAAAATATTCTCTCCTACTCTGTGATTTATGTTTTCATTATTTAAACATTGTATTTCATTGAAGATATATTCAATATTTTAGTGTAGTCTAACTTATCAATCTTTTTTATGTTTAAAGTTTCCTATATAGTGTTTTAAAAAATCTGTTCCTACACCAAGATCATTAATATAATCTGTTAGAATATATTCTAAAATTTTTATTGCTCACTTATTGCATTTAGATTTAAACTCCACAAGGAAGTTATAGTGTGTGTCTATGAGATGTGAAATAAGGCTCAAATTTCTTTTTTGAACATGAATACTCAATTAAGCCAACACTGTCATTAAAATGACTGTTCTTCCTTCACCATTCTGCAGTGTTACCTTTGTCTCCATCGAGTATGCATGCGGCTGGTTTTGTTCTTTTGTCATGTTCTGTTGGTATGTGTGTTTATATTTATGTCCCTACCATACTGTCTTGCTAATATATCTTTATAATAACTTTTAATATTTAATATTGACTTCTTTACGAAATAAGCTAAGCACAGAAAGACAAATAATGAACCAGGTGCAGTGGCTCACACCTGCAATCCAACATTTTGGGAGGCCAAGGAGGAAGGATCATTTGAGCCCAGTAGTTTGAGACCAGCTTGGGCAACATAGGGAGACCCTGTCTCTACAAAAAAAAAAAAAAAATTTAAAAAATTAGTCAGGCATGGTGATATAGCCTGTGGTCCCAGCTACTTGGAGGGTGCTGAGGCAGAAAGATCGCTTGAACCCAGGAGTTCAAGGCTGCAGTGAGCTATGATCACGCTACTGCACTCCAGCCTGAATGACAGAGTGAGACCTTGTCTGAAAGAAGGAAGGAAGGAAGGAAGGAGGAAGACAGAAAGAAAGAAAGAAAGAAAGAAAGAAAGAAAGAAAGAAAGGAAAGAAAGAGGGAGAAAGGAAGGAAGAAAGGAAGGAAGGAGAGATGAAAGAGAAAGGAAGGAAGGAAGAAAGGAAGGAAAGAGAGATGAAAGAAAGAGAAAGAAAGAAAGAAAAGAAAAGAGAGAAAGAGAGGAAGGAAGGAAGAAGGGAGGGAGGAAGGAAGATATCACGTGATCTCACATACGTATGAAATCTAAAAACCTTCTAAGAGTAGAGCTCAGAATGGTGGTTCCACGGGCTAGGGAGAAGAGGAAATGGGGAGATAATGGTCAGAGGACACAAATTTTCAGCCAGACAGGAGGAATGACTGAAAGAGCTCTATTGTACAACATGGTGACTGTACTTAACAACAATGTATTGTATACTTAAAAATCACTAAGGGAGTAAATATTAAAAGTTCTCATCACAAGACAATAATAAGTATGTGAGGTGGCGCATATATTAATTAGCTCCATTTAAACATTCTACATTGTACACATATATCAAAACATCATTTTGTATACCTTTAACATACAATTTTTTTGTCAATTAAAATTAAATATAGGCCAGGCATGGTAGCTCACGCCTGTAATCCCAGCACTTTGGGAGGCCAAGGCAGGTGGATCACCTGAGGCTGGGAGTTCAAGACCAGCCTGACCAATATGGAGAAACCTCGTCTCTACTAAAAATTAGCCAGGCGTGGTGGCACATACCTGTAATCCCAGCTACTCGGGAGGCTGAAGGAGGAGAATCACTTGAAGCAGGAGGCAGAGGTTGTGGTGAGCTAAGATTGCACCATTGCCCAGCCTGGGCAACAAGAGTGAAACTCCGTCTCAAAAAAAAAAAAAAAAAAAAAAAGTAAATATAGTTCATGTCCTTTGCAGGGACATGGATGAAGCTAGAAGCCATCATTCTCAGCAAACTAACACAGGAACAGAAAACCAAACACTGCATGTTCTCACTCATAAGTGGGAGTTAAACAATGAGAACACATGGACACAGGGAGGGGAACATCACACACTGGGGCCTGTAGGGAAGTGGGGGGCAAGGGGAGGGAGAGCATTAGGACAAATACCTAATGTATGCGGCGCTTAAAACCTAGATGACAGGTTGATAGGCACAGCAAACCACCATGACACTTCTATACCTATGTAACAAACCTGCACATTCTGCACGTGTATCCCAGAACTTGAAGTAAAATTTAAAAATATATATGTATAAATTAACCAATTTTAAAAATAAATACATACATACATAGAAAAAATATGACTTGTTTAATCATGGCCACTTAATTTGCCATGTAAGTCTTAAAATAAGAGTTTTGTGACTTCTTTCTTTTATGTAATAAACTTTTTACTTTTGGAATAATTTTAGATCTACAGAAAAGCTGCAAAAAAAGTAAAGAGAGTTATCTTATCCAGCTTTCCTTAAAGTTAACATGTTACACAACCATGCTACGTTTGCCAAAACTAAGAAACCAATATTAAATTCTGAATTTTCATTAACAGTAATGTATTTGCATTCCACTAAGTTTTTACACCAACGTTCTTTTTCTGTTCCCAGTATCCAGTTCAGGATACTATCTGGCACTTAATCATTACGTTTCCTTGGGTTCCTCTGGCCTGTGGCCAACTCTTAGCCTCTCCTTGTTACTGTGTATCGACAGTTTGAAGATTACTGGTCAGGTCCTTAGAATGCTCTTTAATTTGTGTTTGTCTGATTATTTTTTTCCTGATTAGGCTGGAATTATGAGCTTTTGGAAAAAATTCTGCAGAGGTTAAGCTTCCTTCTCATCACTTCATATCAAGGGGATGTGATATCAACATGCCTCATTACTGGTGATGTTCACCTTGATCATGTGGTCAAGGAGGCGTTTGCTAGGTTTCTCTACCACACAGATACTCTTTCCCGGCTTTCAATACTCTAGTCTTGCATGTGAATCACTAAGTCCAGGCCAGGCACAAGGTGGCCTGGGAGGTAGACACTAAGGTCCAATTCCTGGAAGAGACAGTATCTATTCATATTATCTGGAATTCTTCTACAAAGAGTTGTCCTTCTTCTTTCTTTTGTATTTACTTGTTCATTTAATCATTTATTTATATCAGTGTAACCTCATGTATATTGATTTTATACTTTGGGTTGTAAGCCAATACCATGTTATTTATTTTATATCAGGGTCACTTTTATATCTCTCTGATATGCCCCATCCTTTTTGCTTTTTTGAGCATTTTCATTATTCTGGCACTTGAAAATGATACACGCTTTTCTGGCTATCTCTTGCCTCAGTGCACAGACTAGCACCTCCAGTATCATGTTGAATAACAATGGTAAGAGCAGACATCCTGTTGTTTTAATTTCTAATCTCTGAGAATGCTCTTACAACATTTTTTCATTCAATATAAAAACACCTTTCTCACATTTAGAAAGTGTATTCCTATTTCTAATATAGTGATAGTTTCTTTTTTAACAATCATAACTAGACAGTTCAATTTTTTAAAATGTTTTTTTTCATGGAGAATTATGTTGATTGATTTTCATATGTTAAACTAATCTTGTATCCCTGGCCCCCAACATGACCATGATGTATTTTCCTTTATGTATATGTCACTAGACTCAGTTTGCTAATGTTTTTATTTGGATTTATTTTGTAGTTTTATGTTTTGAGACACAGTCTCACTTTGTTGCCAAGGCTGGAGTGCAGTGGTGCACAATCTTGGCTCACTGCAACCTCTGCCTCCCAGGTTGAAGGGGTCCTCCTGCCTCACCCTCCCAAGTAGCTGGGATTACAGGCACCCGCCACCACGCCTGGCTAATTTTTTTGTATTTTTAGTAGACATGGGGTTTCACCATGTTGGCCAGGCTGGTCTCGAACTCCTGGACTCAAGTGATCCGCCTGCCTTGGCCTCCCAAAGTGCTGGGATTACCGGCATGAGCCACTGCGCCTGGCTTGGATTTATTTTTAAGTCATATTCAAGAGAGAAATTGTCTTTCAAGAGTTTAGAGTAACTTATTAAGAATTCAAGAGCAATTTTATTTTTTCCGATACTCTTATTTTGGTTTTGGTTGTGACCAAGATTATCTTTCCCTCATTGGAAAGTATTTTCTCTTCTTCTATTCTCTAGAATGATTTGTGTAATATGACTTCTTATTTCTTCCTCAAATGTTTGGTGGTAAAAATCATCAGTAAATCCTTTGGGACTTGGCATTTCTTGATGACAAATTGTTTAATTACAGATTCAATTTTATAATTATAGGGTTGTGAAGACTTTATATTTTTGAATGCACTTTAATAAATCATATGCTTGGAGGAAGTTGTCTGTTTTTCAGCAATTTTTGTATAAAGATTTTCATAGTATAAAGATAATTTTGTATAAAGATTTTCATAGATTTACTAGTTATTTTTTAATACCTGTATGATCTGTGGCCATATCTCTGTTTCAGTCCTAAAATTTGTTATTTGTGTCTTAATTACCTTAGAATTCATTATAAATTATTTTCATATAATTTATATTTATAATAATTATTTTTATACTTATATTTATGTTAAATATATAAATTATGTAAACTATAAGTAACTGTATAAATCATCATGTATGATTTCGTGTGTGTGTGTGTGTAATGAGTGAGACAGAGAGTGAGAATAATATAATCAACCACCATTAACCTATCACCCAGCTTCAAAAATTATCAACTCAGGGCCAAGTGTTTTATTAAAAACCCCATAAATTCTCTAATATGAACAGAGATGTAAAATTATGTTAAATACATTACAGAGATCTTTTCAAATGTTTATTGGGCATTCAGTTCATTCAATCAAGAATTGTCTTTTTCTTTTTTTTTTTTTTTAATTTTGAGACAGTCTTGCTTTGTCGCCCAGGCTGGAGCGTAGTGGCAAGATCACAGTTTACTGCAACCTCCGCCTCCCAGGTTCAAGCGATTCTTGTGCATTAGCCTCCCAAGTAGCAGGGACTATAGGTGTGTGCCACCACACCTGGCTAAATTTTGTATTTTTACTAGAGGCGGGGTTTCACCATGTTGGCCAGGCTGATCTCGAACTCCTGACCTCAACTGATCCACCTGTCTCAGCCTCCCAAAGTGCTGGGATTACAGGTGTGAGCCACCGCGCCCGGCTGAAAATTGTCTTTTTCTATTGGGTCATTTTTCTATTCTATACTGATTTTTACATAACCCATTGGGTTCAAAATTATTCTTTTTATGAACAGCCAATCTAAAATAGCATCTCCCATCTCTCACGAAGCTCTATTCTCCCACCTGCTTTAGTTCTCTCCTTGGTACTTTCTGAAATCTGAGGTTTATCAACATATGTAATGACGTATTTATTAGTGTCTGCCTCTCCTATGAGGGGAGGATATTAGTTTTGTTTTCTACAGTTACCCTGGTGACTAGAACAGGGCCTGGCACATAGACATTCAATAAGGATTTGTTTGAATGGATTAATTAACTTGATTGATGTATAATCTGAATATACTAAGCCCCTGTCAGCTATATCACATGGTTAGAGATACATGATACCTAATCCTTGCTGGCTTATGGTGTCTTTTTGCATACAGGTATGTTTAACTTTAATGTTGTCAAATTATTATAATACCTATTTTCTTATGATTGTCTACATTAGTAAATCTGTCCCCATCCTGAGAACAAGAACATGATCCTCATTCTTCCAAAGACATGCTTAATTTCGCTGCTCACTATTAGGTTTTAATCTATCTGAAACATTTTTATAAACGGTGTCTGATAAAAATCTACATTTTTCCTGAATAAACAGTGTTTGGATCACTTTATCCCATAATTTACCTCTTACTTGCTGATCTGCAATGCATTTCTTTGCACTTAAGGTTTGATTCTCTTTTGCCTATTGGCTATGTCTATGTACTGCCACGTTCTTTAATTTTCACAGATTCCTAGTAGGTTTGATAGTTTTAGTTGGTGAGTGCCCACCCACTTTGGTTCCAGTGCACGATTTGCTAGAAAGACTCACAGGACACAGACAGCTGTTAGACTCACAGCTATTGTTAATTACAGTGAAAGGATATAGATTAGAAGCAGCAAGGAAAAAGGTGCACACAGCAGAGTCCAGCACTAAGGAGGAGGCATGGGCTTCCAGTTGTGCTCCACATGACTGACCTCAACCACTCAGTCTCCAGTCAGCTGTCTGCCACCCCCAGAGGTCAAAGTGACACAATGTGACCCAAGGCCCAGGCATACATAAACAGGTGTTCACTATAAAGCATGTTGATAGCATGTGGTGTGACCCAAAGCTTCAGGTTTACAAAGTCACTCAAATCACACAGAATATTACAAAGGCTCAGAGGTTATCTCCAGGAGCCTGTCAGGGACTGTCCTGAAGCCCTTCGGAATATGCAGGGTTTGGGCAGCCCAGGCCTGCTGAGTTAACACTTTACTGCACAGTTCTTCTTTTCCAAAATTTTTTTTTTCTTGGCCCTATACACTTTCATATAAATTTTATATTTAACTTTTTTCAATGAAATACCCTGCTGGTATTTATATTTGAATTGCATTTAATTATTAAATATCTTCATAATATTTAGGCCTCTGATACAAAAACTTTGCCTATCTACTCATTCATTTTTAGTTTATTTTCTGTGTTGAAAGACAATGCTACATTTACTTCTGCATAAATGTTTTGCATATCTATGTTAGATTTAATTTTAGGTATATTGCTTTCTGTGAGTAAAGTATATACTTTATTTTTTTAAATTCAGGATATTTGCATCTCTCTCCATAAACGAGCTTGGACTATAATGCTTTATTCTCACATATTTTTATATATTTATTTCTGTTTCTTTTTCTATTCTCTAGTACAGATGATATAAGACTAGAAGTATCTGTACCTTGAATAGAATTTATTAGCAACACATCTTTGGTACTTTGTCAAAGTTAATTTTCAAGAGTTGATGTAATTCATTTAATTCATGTAGGACCATTAAAGTTTTCTATCTCCTGTAATTACTTCAGCTGGTATAAATTTTTCTAGGAAACAGGCAACTGTAATTTGCCATACTGTAGGTTGTCTAGTGGACCTGTAACTTCTGCCTGGCTCTCCCTGGCTCTTACATCTCTTCATTTCTGGAAGAAGTCAGCCACCACCCTGAGAGGACACTCAAGCAGCCCTGGGGCAGGAGGTTGTGTGGGAAGGAATGGACTTCTCAGAACCTACTTCCCAGAAATGTGAGTTAGCTGCCTTGGAAGTAGGTTCTCCAGTTCAAGTCTTTTTTTTTTTTTTTTTTTTTGCCGATGCTGTCGTTCATTGCGCGGAATGGGGGTGTGGGGGTTAATTGGGCGTAGGGGCCACGGTGGGGGCACTGCTGCCTCAGCTGGTCAGTACATTCATCACGGTGGCGGGACCCCAGCCTCGCCCCCGCGCCCGGCGCAACCAGGCCCGCCCCTCGGTGCCAGTGCTGGAGGGAGCTGGGGTGCTGCTCCCCAAGGTCACCGCGGGACGCGCGTGGACCGGGGCCGGGTCGGTTATTGCATGAGCGCGATGGGGGCAGCGGGAAGCCGGTGGGCCAAGTATTGCACTTAAAAAACGATCCTCATCGGACGGCGGGCCACCTAGAGGGCGGGGGGCGGGCGGGGCTCCACAGCCGGCTCCTCTCAGCCACTGGGCCGCCCCGTCCCTGTTTTACAGCTAGGGGAACTGAGGCACTGAGGTGAAGGGAGCCCCCTCGCACGCGAGGCCGCCGCCGGGGGCAGGGGCGATGGGAGTGGGCGCAGGGCGATAAGGGGGGACGGCCGGGGACGCGGAGGGGGCTGCCCCGCCGGCCCTGCCCGTCAGTCCAACTACGGCTACCTATGTCTTGTCTGTGGTTTCTGGGCGGGCTGGCGGCCGGGGCAGCGCAATGGCATGGCTTTGGTCTGGATGACGGCCCCGCCTCCGGCCCTCCTGGGCCCGCAGGGCGGTTGGCGAGGGTCACAAGTTGGACGAGAGGCGCGAGCGCGCGGAGTCCTGGGGGTCCAGGCCGCTGGCGGCGCCGGGTGAGGCGGAGTCCCTGCGATCCGGGCTGGGCGCGGCGGCCCGGGCAGCGGGCGTGGGTCCCAGAAGCGGTGTGGAGCTGCTGGCCGGGCGTGTGGAGGCCGCTGGGACGGGCGTTCCGTGGGGCAGCGAGGGCTGCGAGGCGGACAGTGGGCGCAACGCGCGGCTCAGGCGGCGCGAGGGCAGGGCGGTCCCAGCAAGGGGGGCGGCGGGCAAGCTGCCGTAGGGCGAGGTCCGCGGTGCCCGGGGGCTGGCGGGCGCGCCCAGGGGGCTGGCGGGGGGCGGGGGCCCGGGTGAGGCGGCGGCAGGTGCGGGCCCCGGGGGCGGGCGGCGCACGAGGCGCGGCGAGCCGAGCGCCAGCGGCCCCACGAGCGGCCGCGCCACCTGCGGGCAGAAGCTCATGACCACGGCCTGCTGCAGCGTGGCGATGGCCGAGGTGACCTGCGGCGGCGGCGGCGGCGGGAAGAGGCCCAGGCGCTGACCCAGCTCGGCCTGCTGCACCATCTCGCCGTCGTACTTGACGATCTCCTGGATGATGGCGTTCTACTGGTTGTTGAATACGCCCGAGTTAAGGTCATGCTGCACCTTGTGCAGGAGGATGGAATTCTTCTTGCCGATGCGGTCCAGGCGGTCGATGGCCACCGTCTCGAAGGCGCGCCGCATCATGGGGTACTCCTCCAGCACCTCGTTGAAGTTGTCCACGCTCAGCGAAAGGAGGCGGCAATAGGTGTTGGCCCGCACGCTCGCCATGCGGTGGCCCCGGGTGAGCAGGCAGATCTCTCCGAAGTAGGAGCCATCGAACAGCTTCATCTCCTTGTTGCCCTTAGCGAGCACGCTGACCACGCCGTGCTGAATGAAGTACATCTTCCCGATGGTGCCTTCGCGGATGAGGTAGTCACCCGGCTGGAAGACCTCGAACTTGAGCTTGGTCAGCATGGCCGTGACGAAGTTGGGGTCAGCATTGGCGAACAGCGGCATGGAGGTCACCAGCTTCCGGCAGTTGAAGTTGACAATCTCCTCCCGCAGGGGCCCGTTGAGCTCGCCCAGGATGCTGTCCTCGTCGAACATCTTGCCCTGGTAACGGTGCTCGTAGTAGTCGTGGATCTTCTGGCGGAAGTCGGCCGGCAGCTTGTGGAAGGACATGTACTGCTCCACCTGCTTGTACTTCTGGTATTGGCGCCGCGAGGAGTCCAGCGACTGGATGAGGGCAGTGGCGTGGCCGATGAACATGGCGTAGCAGGTGTCACTCACAATCATGCTGAGCATGGTCAGCCAGATGTCCGTCATGCTCTCGGGCGCCTGCCGGCCATACCCAATGCACAGCATGTGGCTCATGGCCTTGAAGAGTGCGAAGGAATACAGTTCGCTCCACCAGTGGTTCACCATGCCATTGATGGACACCCAGCAGTTGCACGGGAAGTCCTGCAGCATGGCCACCAGGAACTGCAGGCAGCCATCCCAGTGGCAGAGCAGCAGCATCATACTGATGAGGTTGCAGAACCGCATCACCGCGCTGGCCAGGTCATAGGTCATGTGGAAGATCTCCTCCCACTGGTGGATGTAGCGGATCAGGCGCGAGAGGCGCAGCAGCCGCAGGAGGCTGAGGATCTTGGTGAAGCGCACGATCCGCAGGGCGCACGCCGTCTTGTAGACCTCGGAGTCGATGCCCTTCTCCACGATGAGGAAGATGTAGTCCACGGGGATGGAGGACACGAAGTCCACCATGAACCACGTGCGCACGTACTTCTTGATCTTCTCTTGGTCCAGGATGATCTCCGTGTTGTCCTCGATCACAATGCCGGTGCGGAAGTTCAACACCAGGTCCATGAGGCAGAAGGTGTCCGAGACCACGTTGAACACGATCCACAGGGCAGTGGTCTCGTCCTTGAAGAAGGTGATGCCCACTGGGATGATGATGAGGTTTCCCACCATGAACAGCAGCATGGTGAAGTCCCAGTAGAACCTGAAGTCGCTGTACGGGTGGATGATCCAGGACCCCGCTGACTGGACGCGCTCCTGCTCGCGCTCCACGGCCTTCTGGCTGCCGAACATCCGCAGCGAGAACTTGTTGACGCCCAGCTGCAGGAGCGCGCCGAAGTGGCGCTGCATGAAGCTGGCCCGGCTGCGGCGCGGCTCCGCCGCCGGGCCGCCACCTCGCTGCCGGCCTCCTCCGCCGGCCCCGGCCCCGGCCCCGGCGCGGGCCCCGAGGCCGCCCCGGGGCACAAGAACTACACCTTGGGCCCCCGCGCCGGGCCCTCGGGCCCCGCGGGGCTGCACTGCGGCTAGCCGCGCCCGCACTCGGCCGTTCCGGCTGCCCTTGGCCGTGCTCGCCGTGCCCGGGATGCCGGGGCTGCCGCACTAGCTGTCGCGGCTGCGGCGCTGGCCCCGCGGGCCGCCCTCCTCCGCCGCCTCCGGGGGCAACGCCTCGGCCCGGGGCGGCTGCTGTTGGGGGGGCGCGGCGGCGGCGGGGCTCTCCCCGGGCCGCCCGCCGCCCCCGCGCGCGTCCATGGCGAGGCGGCGCCCGGCAGTGCGGAGCGGAGCCGCCGACCAGTTCAAGTCTTTACATGGCCGTTACCCCAGACATCTGCCTGAAGCCTCCTGAGAGCTCCCAAACCAGAAATATATATTTGAGCTGCTCCTAAGTACATGACCCACCCACAAATGAGAGATCATCAAAGATTATTGTTTTTGAAATCACTAAGTAGGGGGGCGACCTGTTATGCAACAATATATTACTAATACAAATGTTTTCTTATGATTACAAATAAAAATTGTTATTTGACTGACTTATGAGGATTTTAAAATATTAACATACAATCTTTTTTGTTATTTTTTATTTTGATTTCTAATTGCATTGCCTTACGACTGAAGAACAATTGGATAACGTCTGCATATCTTTATTGAAAATTTTCTTGTATTTATGGCACATAGCCCATTTTTATAAATGTTCCATGAGTGAATGAGAATATGTACTTTCTAATTATTTGTTGCAGTTAAATATTGACACACTTGACAAATATGTGATCACTTTACTTACCAATTTCTTCATGAAGTTCTGACTGTGCATAGTTGATATTATGTTCTTAGGTTTAGACAAAAACTGTTGTCTATTTCTGAGGAGTTGAATACTTGACCCTCATGTACTGAATGTATTTATTCCTAATGATACATTTTACTGTATGGTTTATTTTTCTGGATGGTAATAATACCATGGTGGCTTTCTTCTGATTAGAAAATGTCTGCTATATATTTTCCTTCCTTTTATATTAATATGTCTATTTCCCTATACTATACACATGTTTACTCTCAACATTTTTCTGTTATAAAATATTTCAATACGAATATCTATGTCTTTTTATTGGCATGTATTCATCTCGTCTCCATCCCATTTGTGGAGGAGAGATTCCCACACTGGGGTTATGGAAATGACTGGACACATGACACCCAACACTAGACAGTTGAGTTCACACCAGCTTATTAGTCACAGGCACACACAGCCCAGGGGAGGATGGAACCACATGATGTGGGGCCACATGAGGGCTGCGCTTGGAAACAGAGTGAACAAGCAGGAGCTGAGGGAGTCAGGCTTTGTAGTAACAAGAGGGTGGAGTGACACTTGCTTCCGGGCTCTGCCACCCATGATAAGGAAGGTTGTCTAGTGGACCTGCCACTGGAGCAGGGTGGGTAGGGGTATTATAGTTAGGCTATTCAAGGTCCTCCAGATTCTACGTATAAAGTGGCAGATAATGTTAATTTTGTGCCTTAGAAGAAACATCTTTTGATCGTTTATATTTATTATTTTACCAATACATTTAGATGTATTCCATTCTTTTTATTATATGCTATGTATTATGTTCATTTTTCTGTTTTTGCTTTTTAGTATCTTGCTGGAGAGCTATACATTTTATTTCCCTATTTTTGAAGATTCCCTTTCATATTTTAATACATATAGTTAACTATACAGTTTTAATTCCACCAGTTAACCAGGATAATTCAAAGACCTTAGGATTCATGAATTCTAATCAGCTCCCTTTCAAGTTCCATTATTTAAAATCTGGTATTTTAGCTTCACCTGGTTTTTTAAATCTGAAATTAATTATGCTGTAGTTACGAGAACTGCCATCATTTTCTATCTTTATCCTGCTAGATGGGTCAACTGGAATCCTAGGTGGAGGGCCTGCCCTTCACAGCTGCCTTGTGTTTGCTTCTGCTAGAACCCTGTGGTGACACAGTGATGGCCACCCTGATATCCCTTCAGGAGTAAAGGGCTTATTGCCCCGAGACTGACAGTGCTGCCAGCAGAAGCCCTGGACAGACAGTCCTTTCAGGAGTAAGGACTTACTGCCTGCCCCATCTGACAGTGCAGTCAGGTGCCAGCCCTTCCGACATGGCCCCACCACCCAAGGTCATGGCCCCCTCCCAGAGCATCCCGAGACTGATTCACTTGGAGCACTAAGGGCCTCGCCTCTCGCCCTACTCCAGATAATTCTTAAGAGCCACGTAATCTTTAGAACTCCCTGCAAGGCTGGCTGAGTCTTGCCCTCTTCCTCGGCCCAGTCCCAGTCCTGCTTTCTACTCCTCACTTCCAGGTGGAGATTCCAAGAGCATTCCCTCATCCCTCTCCTGCATGTCAGTCTCTGTCTCAGAGCTTGCTTCCCACAACAATGTCACAGTGGTATTACCATCCAGGAAACAATTCCTATCAGTGTCTTACTTTGTCCACTCCCAAGCCACAAGGAGAGCATGAATTCACACGTGAATACACTGGAGGCATCAGCCTTTGCCTATAAATTCTTAGGGGAGACTTTACCACCTAGAACCTGCGATCAGTCAAACAGGCTCTCTGTTGTTTCTCTGAACCCACAGGAGGTTGAATGTTTTTCTAGTCTCTGGCTTACTGGGAGGGAGGGGCAGTGTCAGCATATAGGACAGGCTTACTGTGGATCTAGGTCTAATTTCTACCTGATGCAGCCCAGAGCACCACCTCCTACTATAAAACAAAGATGTCAGTGAGGTCCACTCATGTGCTTTACAGTTCTGGTTTGCAGATTCGTCTTAAAATGTGGTCTTGGGACTTTGTTGGAATTTCAGCTCTCCATTTGAAACTGTTTGCTACAGTATCCAGTACTTCTGAATGTTCTGCACTAGGGAGATACTCAATTATCTGCTCTGCCCTATTGCTGGGAATGAACATCTTCTCATTATAAATGATGTAAGCATTGTTTATGCATTTTTTATGAGCTTGATTTGTGAGATTCGTCCTTTCAGAGACCTATTCTTGTAGGAACTGGTATAATGAGGTTTCTAAATCTAAAATGCATAGAATCTCAGGCTCTGCTGCTGTGGAAACTCCTCCAGGTACAGACACAATTGTACAGACAGTGCAGCGCAGCTAATATCCTCATCTCAAAGAGATCCGTTTAGTTGAACGCATTATCTACCAAAGAAATCAGGCCCTTGCGTTCATTTGATAAAGGAAGTCCCACTGGATTGCATATTTCCATCTTTTTCTTCTAAACTCTATGACTCCAGAACCGGGCTCAGGGCCTGGAAATCATAAGGGCTTAACATAGTTATTTTGATGAATTTTTTAAGAAGTGATTTTCCTCATTCTGTACTTTCTTCCAAAGAGTGAAAAAGAAATCGATTTTGCTGAGTTTTTGGAATAAATCAAATATGTTAGATATGGTTTTTCTACCTTATAGAGGAGTAACAGTACCATGGTTTCTGAAAACTTGAAACAGCACAGAAGTGGCTGCTCTCAGCCTAGACAGGAGTTCTCCTGAATATTATCTGTGAGTAATGACCTTCAAGTTCATATGAATAGCACTTTTCAAATGGGCCCTAAAACATTCTTCTTTAACTTTAAAAAGACTTGGAAGTAATATTTCTCTGAATTACTGCACTGCACAATGAATGTCTTTCTTTGCCAGTGAAGGGTGTCTCTGGACTAAATAATTTTGTTTTGCACCAAAAATAAATGTATTCTACTAAGGAATTATATTGGAGTACATGTAAATGCCTAGCTTAAAAAGAAATGGCTCACATTAAGGTAAAAGCTCATAGTTTAAAAATTAGACTTCCACCTTCTTGTAAGGAGTAATGCCGCATCCTTTCCAACTGTCCTTTGATGAAGAAGATTAGCAGATGAATGGATACAACTCTTCCAGCTGAAAGAATCCTTAGAGGTCATTAAAGGGAACTCCCTACCTAATATGAGTATTGACATTACAATAGATAACAAAGAATGGGCTTGGGAGGAATCAGACATGGATTGTTTGAAACCAGAGCCATCCCTTCTTGCCTTTCTCTGTGCTCGGCTCAAGATTACCATCAGTAATTTCCTCTTTCCTTTCTTCCATCAAGACAAACCTGATCTGTCCTGTGCTACACTTTCTCAGTTCTTATCAGGTGACAGAGTGCTTCATGCTAAGTTGCTAATAGTTTTTCGGTTTTTTTTTTTTTTTTAGATGGAGTTTCACTCATCTCCCAGGCTGGAGTGCAACAGCACAACCTTGATTCACCGCAACCTCCACCTCCTGGGTTCAAATGATTATCCTGCCTCAGCCTCCCGAGTAGCTGGGATTACAGGTGCACACTACCATGACCAGCTAATTTTTATATTTTTTAGTACAGCCAGGGTTTCGCCATGTTGGCCAGGCTGGTTTTGAACTCCTGACCTCAGGTGATTCACCTGCTTCAGCCTCCCAGAGTGCTGGGATTACAGGCGTGAGCCACTGTGCCCAGCCAGTTGTTAATAGTTAATAATACCTTGATCTCATACCACTTTCCTGCAGAATGTTCAAGTGAAACATTAACTTTATTTCTAATTTAAAATAGAGATCTTTGGGGCTTATGTAGGCTATTATATAGGGCTGAATCAGATAATTTGGTTTGATGCTCTTTTTAATGCTCCCAAAGTCAGAATGCCTGTACTCTACCTGTGAGGCTAGTCCTGACGTGGCCTCCAGATGGACTACTCCAGAAAGGTTTTCCTTCATATCATTTGCCAGTTATCTGAATCCCTCTGTCTTGGGATGAAGATTGAGCACACACTCAATGCATTAAACACAAATGACCTAAGTGAGCATTTAAAAGCTGATCTTGGCAACTTTGGTAATGCTGGGAGTAATGTCAATTATTTTTAAATTATAAAATTATAAAATTACTCTGAATGTACCACACTGACTTGCTTTTCACTACAACATTCTAGAAAGCAGCGTGGATCAAGGCTTTTTCTTTTGCAGAATCTATCAAATTTCAGGAGGGAGAGACATGAAGGACCCGAGCACAGACTGGGGTAGACGGTGTCTCTGATGGGTCCTGGTGATTCCTGCCTCCTGGTAGGCAAGCCCTCCCCTGAGTTTCAGCTGGACTTAGTGACTCACTTCTAACATACAGAACACAGCAGATGTCACTTCTGAGATTAAGTTACAAAAAGGCAGTGTCTTTTGCCTTGAGCACTCTCTCTTGCTCTCTGCTCAGTCTGAGGGAAACCAGCTGCTATGCTGTGAGCTTCCTAATGGAGAGACCCACAGAGTCAAGAACTGAGGTGGCCTCAGCTAATAACCAGCAAGGAGCTGAGCCCTCTGTCCAATAACCTGAAAGGGGCTGAATCCTGCCAACTCTACAAGAGTTAAGTTTGAGTGGCTCCTTGCTCAATTAAACCTTTAGACAAGATTACAGTCTGAGCTGACAGCTGGATGGTGACCTTGTGAGAGATTCAGAGCTGAAGATGCATCCAAGCCATATCCAGTTTCCTGGCACACAGAAACTGTGAACTAATGGTGGTTTTAAGCCTGTATGTTTGGGGATGATTTGTTGTGCAACAATTGATACCTAATACACAAGGTAAAACATATAGAACTATTCTGATTTAATCTTTTCTTCTGGAACTAACAGCAAGAGGAAACCAGTTCTGGTTAATAAAAAAGTTAAGAACTGATGTGGCCAGTTAGCAATTTTTTTGTATTTCTTTAAAATATTGCATGTCTTAAGTATTGTATGTGCTTATCTCAATATAAGGCAAAATACGTTTACAATTGTGTTTTAGAATTCAGGCTTCACAGCCAACACCCAGGCACCATGGTCAATGATTGCTTTGGACTCTAAATGAAAAACGATTGAATGTTAAGCTTGCAAATGCAGCATTATAAGATATCAATTGTGGCAGGCATCAGAATTCTCCTGTCTCTAACTTAAAATTGGGGGCTCAGCATAGCTCCTCCCCCATTTTTTATACTCTTAATCAGATACAGTCATCAATACTTTTCTAAACAATTATTTGAATTTGCTCTGCTTAGCAATACCTATTACTAGACCCTCATCACTTGAACTCAAGTAAAAAAAAAAAAAGGGAGAGAAAGATATCTTATGAGCACCTGTCAAGTACGAGGTCCTACACCTGATATTTATAGAGGCAAAGATGGAGTGGTCTAGTGTCTATGCTCAGATAAGCGGCTGCAAATTAGGGATAAGTAAACACTACACAATGCATCTAATATGAGGCAGAAGATGTCCAATGCCACAGAGACATACCAAAAAAGTGACATGAGGTTTCAAACCAGAGAGACTTCAGAGCTAATCGAGAAGATCAGAGAGGATATGTGAAGGGTCTCATGCCCAGCAGCTTGGTGCCTTGTCAGCTCCACGCAGGGATGGATTACTCTGCAGTCACATGAGAAAGTGGCCCAGCTTCTCAGGGAGCATCTCTTCTGAGGCCATGTCTTCTTTTCTGTTGACACCCATCACAGTGAGTTGGTCTCAGGTCCATCTTTGACCTGCCTGCCCGAACTCCTCATTGGATATGAGGTTCTGTTTCCCCAGTACTCTGGGACCTGGTCCCATTTCATTCCCCACATACAGTGTTGTGCTTGGTCATGGAGGGAACAGGTAGGCCACACTTCCCAAGCCAGCCCCATCTGGTTTCCCAGTCCTGAGTTCTCTGCTTACTTTGGAAGGCAGCTCAGACAGAGTTGACATTTGTGATGAGGAATGGGGTAGATGGCAGTGTAGAGGGAGATGCTCAACCACCTTGGAGTGAAAAACACCAGGCACACAGCTTAAAGCTGGAGGTATGTAAATACTGTACCCTCTTCTTTGTGTTCAATCTAGGAAGCTTCCAGGATCAAATATCATGGTTTACAGAACTGTCCTTGCAATTGAAGGTTTTATGTAATGGATAGTGTTTGTTTCTAGGAGAAGGTCTAAAGGAATTTGCCTCTATGGCTGGTTTTATCCTCTGTAATTTAGGGGACACAAAAGGGGTACTTAAAAATGCATGCTTTCAGTAGATTTTATTTAAAATAATCTACATAACTTTGGTATGCTGGGAGGCAAACAGGGGGTCTAACTGCACTTTATAAAGTATGGGATGGCAAAAGATGAAAAAAATACCAGCAGTTTTCCTCTTGGACTCTAATTGAATTCACTCTTTTGCAATATAGGTCATTATAGTAACAGCAGGGGCTGTGGAATTATGAGAGTGGAGAAGATATTATAATTTTGAGATCCTTAAATTCATGGTGAATAGAGTTTTCTTTCAGTCATATTTGGTGAGGAATATATTTGACACCCAAGAGAAATTTGGAATATCATTAAGTCAATACATTCTGTGAAGACCAAAATTCTTTTCTCTATTATCATGGAGTCTTAGGACAAAAAAAAATTGTGAGAAGTCAGAGGATGGAATAGATTTTGGGAGCAGTGTGAATAACGGTGCTATATTGGGAAAGAGTAGATTAGGGTGAGGATTGGAATTTAAAGATCTATTGAAGGGAAAAAAAGACATCACAGGGTTATCAGTTTAATAGAACTGATCCAAATATCAGAAAAAAAAATGATCAGACATGGTGCCCAGTATAGAATGAGTGAAAAGAGGATGATGAAGATAAGTTATTAGGAGGCTACTGTAATAGCTCAGGCCAAAAGAATGAACATGTATTACTGTGCCTGCCTTAGTCCAAAGATGAGCAATGATCTCTAAGACCATTTAGTGTGCTAAATTGAGAAGCCAGTAGGAGACAATTTTGAACCATTACTAAGTTATTTGAGCTTTCGATGAGAAAAGCATGCAATTCCCTTACTCAGGTTATGTTGGGATTTGAAATGTAGACTGAAGTATTTCTAGCTTCCCCATAATCAATTTCAATTTTGCCAAGCTTTGAGGCGATGGGAATTCAATGAGGGTCATTAATCCTGCTGAGAATAAAGCAGACACAGTCCACAGAGTTTCAGGCTGCTTTTCTGATTGTGTGTAGACTCAGCCATTGTACATAGGCCATGGTCCAGCCAGCTGCACAGGAGCTCCGTGGAGGCCCAAAGGCAAAGTGAGAAAGTAGGTATCAAAAAAATTGGGATCATGTCTTTGTTCCAGCCACTGGGTCCTCAGCCCCGTGGGGCACGGTTGTCCTTCTCCTCTGACCAAAGCACATGTGCACTGCCAGCCTCTGGTTCAGGGACCTTCTGCCCTGGTGAGCTCTCACTCTCTGGGCTACTGAGAAGCTGTCTGCAACCATCATGTACCTGTTTTTAGTTGTGACTGCTTTGCTGGATGAAATGTTCGGGCATTGATATAACCTCAGCGAACAGTAAGGCATAATTTGTTCATACCATGTCCTCCTTATTAGAACCATCAGAGAACTGTGAGATCTCAGAGTTAGATATCTATGCTTCTTTGGGTCTTAAAAACCCTTTGAATTATATGAACAGTGATATTTCCTACTTACACTAACTGCTAGGAAGTTCTGGATCTGTGTGTTCTCAGTTCTAACAAAGTGTCCAGAACCTGAGTGGATACTTTATTTTTTTCTGTACTCATTTGCCTTTTTCTGGCTTTATTTTCCTGTCCTTTTTTTTTGCCCTTTTCCCATTTCTCTGCTTTAATTTTTTTTCTGAATTTCAAGTCCTCGTTGAAAATAAAACTGGTGATACAAAATTATGTTTACAGAAAAAAGCAGCCCTTCAGCTTATTATACTTTTATTTTGATGAGCACCAAAATATCTTTTTCTTCAAATCAATACATGAGGCTTTTTTACTTAACAAGTTATTTCCTAATTTGAGACATCCGTTCTCACATATGATCATCTTTTGCAAGTTAAGTCACCTACACTTATTTATCAGCTTTGAGAAATCTCCTCCAACCACAGTATTTCCACGATGAAATGCACATTTTCATGAAACACACATCTTTTATAAATGTGCTGTGATCTGCAGCCATAAAATGGCCATCCACAGTTATTGCTTTGCTACTGAGCCCGTCTGCACCAGCACCTCCCCTGACCATCTGTTGCCCAAACCCATGCATCCTGCGAAGGCATTTGTTCACATTGCTTCCTGTCAGCCTCCAGCCTTCTCTCCTTCTGTCTAGTCACAACCTTGTCATGAGTTCTAGTGCCAGGACAACTGTAGAACTATGATCTGATTCCAGGGCCCAAAACGTCATGGTAAGCTTGAGACCCCTGATTGCCACTCTTATGGAAGCCCCATTGGCCACGCTGGCATCTTGTATTTGTGGACCACAGGGTATAGAGATTAAACCATCTCATTAGCACCCTCTTGTGAATAGAAAAGAGAACCCCAGAGACTGGAGGGAGAATCCAGCCCAGACTGAGGGATGGGCAATCCTCAACCAGCCTCCCCGCAGCTGGGATTCGAAATGTAGACTGAAGTATTTCTAGCTTCCCCATCATCAATTTCAATTTTGCCAAGCTTCGAGGCAAAAATGGACACTTTTGTCTGTCCAGACACAGACACTTCTCCATAAGCATCTTTGGCAAAAGGAACTTCAGGATCAATTTTCTTCACATATGCATGGAATTGGTTTGAAAAGAGCCACACCTGTTTACCCGCAATGCAGCTAAAAAAGAGCCACATGCAAAGAAAGAGTGGGATATAGTGAAAATACCATGGGATCTGGTATCAGTGACCCTGGAGCCTACCACGGCAGAGTCTGAGCTGGGGGTGTTGGTTTCACCATTTGAAAATATGGCTAATAAGGTGTTCCTTATTTTTTAAAAATGCAAGGGATAATGTATATAAAAGAATGATGAAATGTTTGGTTTCATATTTTATGGTGCTTATTTACATACTTATTATTCCAAACAAGAGGTTATGCTTTAAAATCTGGAGAGGTATTTCCGACCTGGTTTCTCCAAACTTATTACTTTTATGGAGAGGAGAAAATAGGAACCTATCTTATCTATTAAGATTGTAAATTAAATCAGTACTTGATACCCTCAGTAGCAGATTTAATTGCCCATATAAAAAGAGAAGGTAAGTTTTGACAATAAATGTAAATGTAAACAAGGTCATCCTGAAACATCACAGCATTCTGGCACAGTTATTACCTATATTGATTATTTTGTTTCTGTGATAGTTAATTTTATGTGTCAGATTGGCTAGGCCAACCTACTCAGCTATTTGGTCAAATACCAGTCTCGAAATTGCTACGAAGGTATTTTTTAGATGAGCTAAACCTCTAAGTCAGTAGACTTTCAGTAGGGCAGATTGCTTTCCATGTGTGTGGGGGCCTCATCTAGTCAGTAAAGGCCTTCAGAGAAAACAGACTGGAATTCCCTGGGAAAGAGGGAATTCTGCCTCCAGACCGTCTTCAGAGTCTAGATGCAACTCTTTCCGGGGTGCCCAGGCTTCTGGCCTGCCCTGCAGATTTTGGACTTGCCAGACTTTATGATTAAAGGAACAAATTATTATATAAATTATGAATATAATTCTTTATATGAATCTCTCTTTATCTCTGTCTCCTGCTCTTCTCTCTCTCTATAAATAATATATATATGCAGTTATCCATATACATATATATACACATATATACATTCTGTGAACATATATAAACACACACACACATGCACACATCTTATTGGGTCTGTTTCTCTGTAGAACCCTGACTAATACAGTTTCCCTCCTTTTCCCCAAGAACAGGAGAAACTGAACTGTGAGTGGAACAAGCCACAGGGAGACAAGAAATGCTGTCCCCTCACCTCTCTGCTCAGCGTCTTCCCAATGGTAGTAAAAATGTTTCCCTGCTCTGCAGATGAGCTGCTCAAGCTCCCTGGTGGGTGCAGGGGAGCTCCACTGCCTGTGTGTGACTGTCTCTCTCTCCTCTGTCTTTCTTTCCCTTCCCCACCCACTTCCTGAGTGGGAGGCTGGCTCATCTTGGGGCGGGTGGACCAGGGAGATGCCCTGTGGCAATGGCCTGTGAAAAGGCAGGGGTCACACGCACATGGTGCTCTGAGCTCTGGGAGGAAAAGCACTTCCAGCAGGGGAGAGCAAGTCCAGGCCCCACTCCAGAGCTGGCCATGTCCTCTGGCTATGTTTCATAGCCCTAAGTAGTGTTCAGATTTCATTTAGATGAAAACAAACTTTTGACCTAATTGATATTTATTTAGATATTCATTTCATTTATCCACTTGATCCTTTGGATTTGGAGCCTAGCAGAGTGTCCTTTCTCTCCAAATCACCATCATCACTAACTGAGGCAGAAGCAACATGCCAGCCAAGTTGGTGGCCTCCCCACAACAATGGCTTCCTGGTGCTGCAGGTGGAAGGGAGCTGGAAGTACCAGCATTCATTCCAAATTCACACACTATCGAAAGCCCACCGGAAAATGACTTGCTCATAAATTACCCTGAATTTGTGTTTTAGATAAGATGTGAGTAAATTATAGCTATTATCTATTTTCACTGTTTCTAGTGTAAGTGAATGATAAATCCTCCTCCTCCCTTTCCTCTTCCTTCTTCTTTTCTTCCCCCCCTTTCTTTTTTCTGTTTTTGGAGACAGAGTCTCACTCTGTTGCCCAGGCTGGAGTGCAGTGGCACCATCTCAGCTCACTGCAACCTCTGCCTCCTGGGTTCAAGTGATGCTGTGCCTCAGCCTCCAGAGTAGCTGGGATTACAGGCGTGTGCCACCACGTCCAGCTAATTTTTGCATTTTTAGTAGAGACAAGGTTTCACCATGTTGGCCAGGCTGGTCTCAAACTCCTGACCTCAAGAGATCCATCCACCTTGGCCTCCCAAAATGCTGAGATTACAGGCGTGAGCCACCATTCCCGGCCTCTTCCAATGTTATAAAACATGGTATCACTCATTTAAGCTTCTAGAGCTAGTTGTCTACACACCTTCATTCATTTACTCAGCAAATAATAATTGAGGGTCTGCCACTTTATCAGATACTATTAGACCCCATAGTTTTCATCACAGGCCAAAAAACCAAGTTTCCTTGGTTTCCAACATTCTAACTGATCATGGCAGTGGCGGATACAGAAGAACCAAAAACCCCAAAATGTACCACATGAGATCATAAGTACTCTAAAAAAAAGAGGAGAAGAGAGAACAGGTAAAATAAGGTCATGTGGGAGGTGGGTGTGAAATGGTGATGAGTGTGGGCCTCCCTGAGAAAGTGACATTTAAGTCAAGACTTGCAGGAGGTAAGGGCTGTGCCCTGAGGATCCCTGGTGAAGAGCAGTCAAGGAAGAAGGAGCAGCACTCACAAAGGTCCTGAGGCTGGAGAGGAGGTGCTATAATCCACACAACTGTAAGAAGCAGGTGTGGGCCTACGCAGAGGATGGAGGGAGCTAACAGAAAGTGAAGATGAGACTGTAGCTTCAGTCTGAGGGAACATAACGAGCCACTGCTTTGATCACTGGAAAGATCTTTGCCACGACTTCAATACTCTACTCTAGGAACCAAATTTTGAGCCTACTTTGGCATTTGTAGGAAGAATGTGTATCTTTTCCTTTATTGCAACTAAGGCAGAGAATTCTCTAACTCTAGGAGAAGAGCTCATGTCCCCTGGCATTTTCCTGACCCCAAGCTGAGATGCTTGGCATGAGTTAAGAATGGAAAGAGCTGTTTCACTAAATTTGTACCAAACATTGGGTGTTGTTTTGGATCCGTGGAACAGTGGGTGACACCAGCAGGAAAAGAAGAATGTTTTTCCCACTGGAGGTTGGGACCCCAGATGAAGCAGCAGCTTTAATCGGCTTTGAATCAGCTTTGAGTAACCAGTGAGCAAATCCATGTGTCTCTGACCAGGGAGCTGTTCATGCTGCCTGGACCTCCTATATGTCTGAGTGAAAGAAGACAAAACAAAAGAAAACAAAACAAAGAAACAGAGAGAGAAGAGGAAGATAAAGTGTGAGTTCTAATGAGCTTTATTTTTCTAGGAACATGTCTTTTTCATATACATTTTCAAATGCAAGATACAAAATTGTATATAACATCGTCTTACCATTATGTAATGTTTTAGAAGACTATACTGAATTCCATGTATTATTTCTGTCATTGGTTGTGTCCTTGCCCCTTTTTCCTCAGTCAAGCTCACTGGTATTTATCAATTTCATGAGTAATAAGATTGGTATTATTCTTTCTTATATATTTAGCAAAATTTACTGGTGAAGCCTCTAGGTCTGGAGATATTGCAGAAGTAATATTTTTAATTTAAAAATGTATTTTCTAGGCCTGGCATGGTGGCTCACACCTGTAATCCGAGCACTTTCGGAGGCCAAGGAGGGTGGATCACCTGAGGTCAGGGGTTCAAGACCAGCCTGGCCAACATGATGAAACCCCGTCTCTACTAAAAATACAAAAACAAATTTGTCAGGGATGGTGGTGCATGCCTGTAATCCTAGCTACTTGGGAGGCTGAGAGGGGAGGACTGGCTGAACCTGGAAGGTGGAGGTTGCAGTGAGCCGAGATCGCGCCACTGCACACTCCAGCCTGGGCCACAAAGCGAGACTCCATCTAAAAAAAAAAAATGTATTTTCTTATTAGCCATTGGATTATTAATGTCTAATATGTCTTAGGTCAGTGTTGGTATGTTACATTCAAATTTTGAAAGGAACCACTTTTGGCCTTATTGAACCTCTCTATTACATGTTGTTTATGTTAATTAATTAATTAATTAATTAATTAATTTTTGAGACACAGTCTCGCTCTGTTGCCAGGCTGGAGTGTGGTGGGCAATCTCAGCTCAATGCAACCTCTGCCTCCTGGGTTCAAGTGATTCTCCTGCCTCAGCCTCCTGAGTAGTTGGGACTACAAGCAGATGCCACCCTTTTTTTTTTTTTTTTTTTTTCTGAGATGGAGTCTCACTCTGTCACCCAGGCTGGAGTGTAGTGGCGCCATCTCAGCTCACTGCAACCTCTGCCTCCCAGGTTCAAGCAATTCTCTGCCTCAGCCTCCTGAGTTGCTGGGATTACAGGTGCCTACCACCACACCCAGCTAATTTTTTGTATTTTTAGTAGAAATGGGGTTTCACCATCTTGGCCAGGCTGGTCTTGGAACTCCTGACCTCATGATCCACCCGCCTCGGCTTCCCAAAGTGCTGGGACTACAGGCGCGAGCCACCACATCCAGCCCAGTGCCCAGCTAATTTTTGTATTTTTAGTAGAGACAGGGTTTCACCATGTAGGCCAGGATGGTCTCAATCTCTTGACCTTGTGATCCGCCCGCCTTGGCCTCCCAAAGTGCTGGGATTACGGGCATTTATATTTTTCAGAGTACCTGTAGGAAATACATGGAACATGCAATTTAAATTATTTGAGAATAATAAAAGGACTTTTACGCAAGTATGGGCCAGGGTGGGAAAATCACAGGGATGGATAATACAGTATCCTGAGAGGTGACGCTGGGGTTATAATTACAACCTCTGGGTCCAAAAGGGCAAGGGAAGGAGCAACTGCAGAAAGCCAGCGCCAGAGGTCTGGCAGAGAGGGAGGCCTGAGAGGAGGCAGTTGGGCTGTCCACGTGGAGAGAGAGTGGGAGGAACCAATGTTACGGCCCCACACTCTTACCTTCTTCCAGGGCACCACAGAAAGCCCAAAGATGAAGTAGCCCACAGATATGGTCAGCCTCCCAAAGGGCAGATGTGAATTGAGAAAGGTCAACTGTAAGTCTGGAGGGGCAAACAGAAAGTGCTCAGCACAGGCTCCTCTTGCTCCTCTGTCTCCATACTTTTTCCAGGTAAAAACTCTGTGTCCTCAACACAGGAAAGGCAGCTTGACCATTTGAGGTAATGCTGATTCTGTCATATGCCCATGTAAAACATATACCCAGACCAGCATTCTCTAGCATACCCAGATGGATAACCTTAAAAAGTACTTCAGACACTAAAAACACTAGAACAAAGACTAAAGGATTAATGAAGATCAAAGCAGGAAGCCCAAAGTTTGACTAAAACGAGTTCCCAAAAGAGAGAACAAAGAAAATGGAGAGGTACAAATTGCCTAAAACAATGGATAAATGTATTTCAATGTTAAAGAAAGACAAGTGTCTTCAAGAAAAGGCCCACCAAGCTAAAAATATAAAAGAAGAAGATACAAATTGACCTTCATCTAAAGATAATATCATAACAAAAATATTCTAAAAATCTTTTGAAGAGAAAACAAGAAGGGAAGCTATAAGAAATTATACAAAGCTTGTCATTTGAGAGAAAAGCCACATTTTTAGTTGGAAAGTTTTAACTGTTAAAAGTCAGCTGTCTTGAAGTTAACCCAAAACTTTCATACAAGCACAATAAAATTGAAAGGTGATTTTAAAATTCATATGGAATTGAAAATATAAAAATATGCATGAAGCAATTTTGAAAGCAATCTTGCAAATCCAGGCCTTAAGAAATAAGGACTAATTAAGTCCTTATTTAAGAAAGAAGGACTTTTTCCTACCAGATAAAATAATAAAATGTCAAAACCTACTACTGAATTCATTAATTTTCCATAAATAAGTTTATGTAAAAACCACATATTACATAAAGTGTATTACTTTGAAAATACATTCTTTCAGTCTCCCATTTCATAAAATATATGTAGGATGGCAGGTATTCAAGGGTATTGTAGAAAAGATAAGAGACACTAAATATCATTACTGCTGTATCTTGATGAAGTAGGGGGTATCATGGCTAATGCATATGGCTGTGCCGGTCACACACTGCACAGCTCTAGAAGAGGTCTATGTGATTAACACTTCCTAATGTTTTTAGTAGACAGTTTGGCCTGTAAGCTGTGATGGCCCTGAATGAGGTCATCAGCTAAAAGACGGAGAGTATATCTCAGAATCTTCAACAATAGATTTTAGGTCCTATCATTAGTGGTTTAGGAGCATCCTTACATAAAATAAGACTGATGCCTCTGGCATCTTCAATTCCTTCACAAGCTCCAAGGAGGAAAATGAGGCTAATGTGCAGAATAAGGCAGAATTAAGAGAGAAAGCAGAGTGATGTTCACGCGGTGGTGGAATAAGAGCGTTCTACCATTATCGCCTAGCAGAAGCATCAAACTTGACAATTATCTATAAGAGCACTTTTGTGGGGTCCAAGAATCCAGCAGATAAAGTTTTAGCACGCCATCAGAACAAAAATCTGAGAATAGATGCACTGAAAAAGATAAGAAAAACAGTTTCACTTTACCTGCATTACCTTTCCTCCAAGGCATCATAGCTCAATGCCAAGAGAGATCATTGCAGTCCATGATTTCTCCTGGTGGGTGGGGAGAGTGCAAGCATGGTTCATGAGTGCCCAGCTCCCCCAGCTTTGTAGGATACTGAACAAGACACCCACTTTCTCATCTTATCCAAACTACAATGGTGATTGGTATGGTTTAGTGGTTGGAAGAGAACAGTGACAGGGAAGAGAGGTGGGGATCTAATTTACTGCTCTGTGATTCCATCAGGAAGTGCATCTATAAGGCACTTGGAACACATTGTGTTTGGACCCCCTGAACTGGTGCATGGGCACTCAAAATGTTTGGCACAACTCGCTCCCAAGATTGGTTCCCTAAATGCACCTGCGTGAACAGCAAATGCAAGCACTTCATGCAGGTATCTGTATCAACTATGCAGGGTTGGAGGAAGACACACAAACTTGAGCATTTCAGTGCACCACTCTAGAAAATCAAAACAGGAAGCTCTCAGCCCTGGCCTAGCTTTGCAAGATTGAAAGAAAGTGTATAATCTTAAGCATTTCCCTCCCCCAAAATGGATAAGAAGTGTGGAGTGGGTGAATCCACAGAAAAAGTCTGAGAGAGCCTCATAATCACTAACCAATCTGGTTGGTGAAGGTATTTATAGTAAGTAAAAACTGAAGGAAGTTACTCCTTCTTCAAATGGAAAGACAGCAGCAGAAGACTTCAAGAAACATGAAAAATCAAGAAAACTTGATTTTTCCCAAAGAAATTGAGATCTACAAATTGCCTGACAAAGAATTCAAAATAACTATTTTAATGAAGCTCAGTGAGCTACAAGAAAACATAGGTAGACAACTAAATAAAACAGAAAATAGGAATCAACAAAAGAATTCCAATGAATAGATAGAAATCATGAAAAGGAAACTGAACAGAAATCCTAGAGCTGAAGAACACAGTGAATGGAATTCAAAAAATGCAATAAAAACACCAACAGACTTGATCAAGCAGAAAAAAGAATCTGTGAACTTGAAGAAAAGTCATTTGAAAATATCCAGTTAGAAAAGGAAAATTTTTTTTAAAAAGAATGAAAAGGAATGAAGAAAACCGATGAGATTAGTGGAACACCATCAAGACAGCTAACATTTGCATTATGGATGTTCTAGAAGAAGAACAAAGACAGAAAGCGGAGAAAGCTTATTTAAAAAAATTATGGCTGAAAACTTCCAAAGTCTGGGGAGAAACCTGGACATTCAGGTATACAAAGCTTGCAATCTGTAATAAGGTTCAATCCAAAGAAGGCCTCACAAGTCACATTACAGGTTGAGCATCGCTAATCTAAAAACCTGAAATCTGAAATGCTTCAAAATCTGAAACTTTTTGAGAACTAAAATGACGCTTAAAGGAAATGCTCATTGGAACATTTCAGATTTCAGATTTTCAAATTAGGGATGCTCAACTGGTAAGTATAATGCAAATATTTCAAAATCTAAAACAATCTGAAATCTGAAACACTTCGATTCTATGCACTACAGATAAGGGATCCTTCACCTGCATAACGAATTGTCAAAAATTGAAGACACAGAAATTTGAAAGCAACAAGAAAAGAGGCTTGGCACATACAAGCAAACTCTGATAAGACTATTAGCAGATTTCTCAGCAGAAGCCTTACAGCCAGAAGATAGTAGAATTATATAGATATATTCAAACTGGTAAAAGAAAGAAAGATACTGCTAACCAAGAATATTTTACCTAAAAAAGTTGTTCTTCAAAAATGGAGATCTAAAGCCTTCTAAACAAACAAAAGCTGAGGAGTTCACCACTTTAGACCTGCTTTATAAGAAATGCTAGAGAGTTCTTCAAGATAAAATGAAACAAGGCTAATTAATGACATGAAAACATATGAAAGTATAAAACTGACAAATGGAAGTTTATCAGAATACTCTAATAATATTCTAATACTCTAATAAATTCAGAATATTCTAATACTGTAATGGTGTGTAAATCACTTAAAGTTTAAAAACAAAAGTATTAACAAAACTGTAAATACAATAGTCTGTGGATACATAATATTAAAAAGATATAAATTTTGACATCATAAACAAAAAATAAGGGGTGTAAAAGTATAGAGATTTTGTATGTGATCAAAGAAAATTTGTTATAAGCTTAAAATAGACTTTTATAACTAAAAGGTATTTCCTGTAAGCCTCACGGTAACCATAAACCAAAAACCTCTAGTTGATATATAGAAGAAAAAGAGAAAGGAATCAAAGCATACCACTCATTACAAAAAAATCATCAGTTCACAAAGGAAGATAGCAAGAGAGGATGAAACAAACAAAGAATCTACAAGGCAACTAGAAACCAATTAACAAAATGGCAATAGTAATTGCTTACCTATCAATAATTACTTTAAATATAAATTGCTTAAATACTCTAAAGATAGACTGCTCAATGGATTGAACACACACACACACACACACACACACACACAATATGGTACCTACAACGGATTCACTTAAGCTTTAAGAACACACTTAGAGTCAATGTAAATAAGGAAGGTTATATTCTATGCAAATGGAAACCAAAAGAGAGTAGGAATAGCTAAATTTATACAAAATAAACTTTAAGTCAAAAACTCTCGTAAGATACAAAGAAGATCATCATATAATGATAAACAGGTCAATTCATCAGGGGATATAACAATTTCAAATATATATGCACCTAACATTACAGCACTTAAATTATATAAAGCAAATATTAATAAATCTGAAGGAAGAGACAGACTGGATACAATAATAGTAGAAAACTTTAATACCTCACTTTCAACAATGGACAAATTGTTCAGATAGAAAGTCAATGAGAAAATATTGTAATTGAACTGCATTTTAGACAAAAAGAGGGCCTAACAGACATATACAATGCATTCTGTCAAAAGGCAACAGAAGACTTTTTTTCTTGTACATATAAAATTATTTCCAAATTACTTTAAGTATTAGGCCACAAAACACGTTTTAACAAATTTAAGACGATTGAAACTGCATGAAGAATATCTTCTGATTACAATGGTATGAAACTAGAAATCAATAAAAAGAAAAACTGGAAAACTCACAAATATATGCAAATTAAACAACATTCTTCTGAGCAACCAAAGGGTAAGTGGTAAATTTTCCAAGAGGGAAATTTAAAAAGATCTTGATACAAATCAAAATGGAAACACAGCATACAAAAACTTATGGGCTAGGCCGGGTGTAGTGACTCATGCCTTTAATCCCAGTACTGTGGGAGGCCAAGGTGGGCAAATCACCTGAGGTCAAGAGTTCGAGACCAGCCTGGCCAACATGGTGAAATCTTGTCTCTACTAAAAATACAAAAATTAGCTGGGCATGGTGGCATGTGCCTGTAATCCCATTTACTTGGGAGGCTGAGACAGGAGAATCACTTGAACCCAGGAGGCGAAGGTTGCAGTGAGCAGAGATCATGCCACTGCACTCCAGCCTGAGCAACAGAGTGAGACACCATCCCAAAAATAAATAAATAAATAAATAAATAAATAATAAATTATGGGCTACAGCAAAAGCAATTCTAAGAGAGAAACTTTTAGTGATAAAATCTTACGTGAAGAAAAAAGAAAGATATTAAATAAGTAAGATAACCTTATACCTCAAACACTAGAAAAAGAAGAACAAACTCCAATGTTAGAAAGAAGAAGGAAATCTTAAAGATCAGAGCTGAAAAACATGAAGTAGGGACTAGAAAAACAACAGAAAAGTAAACTGAGTTGTTTCTTAAAAGACATACAAAATTCACCTTTTGCTGGACTAAGATAAAATGTGACAGGACTCAAATAAACAAAATCATAAATCAAAGTGGAGACTTGAAAACTAATACCACAGAAATAAGAAGGACCATAAGGGTCTATGATGAACAATTATATGCCATAAAAAAGATAACCTAAAAAAGTAGGTAAATTCCTAGAAACCATATCTTACCAAGTCCAAAGCATGAAGAAATGGAGAAACTAAACATACCAGTAATGATTAAGGATATCAATTTGGTTGTTTAAAATCTCCATCAAAAAGAAGTCTATGGGCCAGGAACAGTGGTTCATGCCTGTAATCCCAGCACTTTGGGAGGCCGAAGAGAGTGGATCACTTGAGGTCAGGAGTTCAAGACCAGCCTGGCCAACATGGTGAAACCCCGACTCTACTAAAAATACAAAAATTAGCCAGGTGCGGTGGTGCACACCTGTAATCCCAGCTACTCAGGAGGCTGAGGCACAAGAATCATATGGCTTCACTACTGAATTCTATCAAGCATTTAAAGAAGAATTAATGTCAGTATATCCCAATTGCTTCAAAAAAACTGAAGATGATGGACCACTTCCAAACTCATTTTACTATGCCAGCATTACCCTGATATCAAAGCCAAACCAGAACACTACAAAAAAGAGAAAATCACAGACCAGTAACCCTGATGAAAACAGATCCAAATATCTTCCATAAAAGACTAGAAAACCAAATTCAATACCGCATTAAAATGGCCACAGTTCTACAGGCTGTACAAGAAGCATGATGCCAGCATCTGCTTCTCCTGAGGGCTTTTGTGCTGTGTCAAAACATGGTGAAGAAGGTAAAAGGTGAGGCGGGCATATGTGAAATGAGAACAAACCCAAGGGGTATCCTGGATTTGTAACAACCTACTCCAAGGGGAACTAATTTATTACCCCAAAAACCAATCCAGTCTTGCAAGATGAGAACTCACTATTGCAAGATGGCACCAAGCCATTCATGAGACCCCAAACACCTGCCATGAGGCCCTACTTCCCAATACTACCAAATTGGGAATCAAATTTCAACATAAAATTTAGTGGGGCCAAATAAACCAAATCCATATCATACCACCATGATTAAGGAGATTTATCCCTGGGATGCAAGAATGATTCAACATACAAAAATCAGTAATTGTGATATGTCACATTAACAGCATAAAAGATAAACAACATATCATCATCTCAATAAATGCACAAAAAGCATTTGACAAAATTTGACATCCTTTCCATGATGAAAAAACGCTCAGAAAGGCTCACGCCTGTAATCCCAGCACTTTGAGAGGCTGAAGCAGGAAGATCGCTTGAGCCCAGGAGTTCAAGACCAGCCTGGGCAACATAGTGAAACCCTATCTCTAGTTAAAATAAACAAACAAATAAGAACATATTTCAACTTAACAATGGCCATTTATGACAACCCGACACCAACATATTTAATGGTAAAAAGCTTTCCCCCTCATATGAAGAACAAGGCAAGGATGCTCATACTCGTCCCTTTTTTCCCACATAGTACTAGAAGTCCTAGCCAAAGTGATTAAGCAACAAGGATCAATAAAAGGCATACACATTGGAAAGGAAGGCATACAACTGTTTGTTCACCGACATCATAATCTTTCATACGGGCATACTGCATTTTATTCTGCTTCACTTTATTGTACTCTGTAGATATTGCAGTTTTCCTTTTTTTTATTATTGTTTTTTGTTTTTTTTGTTTTGTTTTTTGTTTTACAACTGAAGGTTTTTGGCACCTCTGCATTAAGCAAGTAGATCAGCACCATTTTTTTCCAACAGCATGTGCTCACTTCATGTTTCTGTGTCACATTTCGGTAATTCTCACAATATTTTGAACACTTTCCATGACTTCAACACATCAACCTTCCGTCTCAAAAGAAAAGCATCCCATGCACAAACACACCATGTCCAAGGTTGTTCTGGGCTTGTTCCCACGTTATTTTAGGAGCCTAGAATATCTGCTTTTCACCAGTCCTAATCTGACATCTCCAAAGTCCAGTCTCCTACCTTTCTAGATTTCCCTCAAAGTTGCAGTCCCTTGTTTATTATTTTGTGAGGGGAAGATGAAAGGGTTCATGATCTTTACTACAATGGCTTCCTGACCCACAGAAAAGGTTCAATGTTTTCTTGCACTTTATTCTACCTGAGCTAAACTGCATAAAAACATTAAACTCTCATTCTTTTTTTTTTTTTTTTTTTTTTTTTTTTGAGACAGAGTCTTGCTCTGTCATCCAGGCTGTAGTGCAGTGGCGTGATCTCAGCTCACTGCAAGCTCTGCCTCCTGGGTTCAGGCCATTCTCCTGCCTCAGCCTCCCAAGTAGCTGGGACTACAGGCGCCCACCACCACACCTGACTAATTTTTTGTATTTTCAGTAGAGACAGGGTTTCACCTTGTTAGCCAGGATGGTCTCGATCTCCTGACCTCATGATCCACCTGCCTCGGCCTCCCAAAGTGCTGGGATTACAGGCATGAGCCACCATGCCCAGCCTAAACTCTCATTCTAATTGGACAATTTTAAGAAGTATTTTACTCCCAGACTTATAAAACAAGCCTACAGCCAGGCACAGTGGTGCACGCATGTAATCCCAGCACTTTGGGAGGCCGAGGTGGTGGATCACTTGAGGCCAGGAGTTCAAGACCAGCCTGGGCAACAGAGCGAGACTCAAACTCTACAGAAAATTTAAAAAATTAGCTGGACGTGGGGCACCCGCCTGTAGTTCCAGCTACTCAGGAGGATTGCTTGAACCTGGGAGTTCAAGGTTGCAGTGAGCCGTGACCATGCTACTCCACTCCAGCCTGGGTGACAGGAGACCCTATCTTAAAAAAAACAAACAAAAACAAGCCCACAACACTACTTCTTTAGTTCTGAAGCACTGTAAAGTATATTTTAGATTAATAATTTCCAAACCAAGAAAATGAAAGCCTATATTAATTATAAGACCCCAAACAGAAAAAATCTTGTAAAACGATCAAGACCATAAAATTCACATACCTTCTATTTGGTCAATGCAGAGACACAGATCTTTGTTCCGGAGTTTGAATTTAAATGCAAAGCTTCAGAGCCTGAAAATGTCTAAAATTAGACCCATGACTGACAACTGGCCTAGGCTCAATGTCTTTGGAATGTGCTCTACTAAATTTGCTACCATTTGAATGTGTTCCCTCCAAAATTCAGGTGTTGCCAATGTGATGATATTAAGAGGTAGGACCTTTAGGAGGTGATTAGGCCAAGAGGGCTCCTTCCTCCTTAATGGGATTAAGGCCCTGATGAATGAGGCTTCACACATTGGACTAGCTTGCTCTCCTGCCCTTCTGCCTTCTGCCTTCTACCATGTGAGGTGGCAACAAGAAGGCCCTCAGACACCAAATGTTGGTATTTTCATCTTGGACTTCCCAGTCTCCAGAACTGTCAGAAAATAAATGTCTGTTCTTTATAAATTACCCAGTCTCTGGTATTCTGTTATAGCAGCATAAAACAGACTAAGAGAAAATTCCTTGATGATTTTTCAACAAGAGACAGTGTCACTACTTCTGGTGAGTAGTCCCTAACATGTTCTCAAATTCTCCTTTTATGCAAACATAACATTTTTTAAACTTAGTAGTTCCTTTTCCTAAAAATAACCAAATACAGGTTAAGGACTGATTAGTATTAAATATAAGTACAACTTTGGTGCTAAAAGTTAAGAGCTTTTGTTTTCCAGAAAATCAAATCCAAAGAATTCAGATAAAGCAATTTTCTCAAAGATGTATCATCAGTTAGAGGTAAAGCCAGAGGTGAGAAATTATATTCCATTCCAAATACAATGTGCTTTCAATTATTCCACATTAATAGTAGTTTACAAAGGAGATTTAGAGAATTCCTCAAATCAAAAATGACGACATTTATGAAATGTCATTCTTATATAAAATACCTACTTCAGCCATCTCCTCTTCTTCCTCTTCCTCTGAAGTCACTTCTTCTGTTGTCCCATTCTGAAACAGAGAAAGAATCTGCCAGGGCTACACAGGCTGAATACAGGGTGAGTCAATTAGAAGACCGGTGCCATAGCTTTAGGGACAAACTCTCAACCATCTGTCACTGCAGTGCCACTAGCAGAGAGCTTATTAAAATTAAATGTTTATTTTTAAATCCAACTTTGATTTGACAAACAACAGTTATCAGCTTTTAAAAACGGAACAAAGAATAAAAGAATTAGGAATAAAGAAAAGCAATCAGTCAAATACAAAGCAAAACCGAAAAAAATGTTAAAATGTAATCTAATTTAAAATAAGAAAACATTTTACTTACATGGCTATGTGTATAAGATCAATGGCTTATTTTGTTTAAAATAAATATCACAAACTATCCATTCCTTAAAATAACTACCTTTTTAACTTTGAAAAGCCTGAATCATTACATAAATTCAATTGCCTTACATTTTAAAAGATCAGATGTGTTATTTATAGACACTTGACAAAACTAAGAATTATGAAATGATTACCACCTTACTAAAAGGCAAATTTTAGTTTTAAAAACATGTTATTTACTACAAAATACCTCCCTACAAGACAGAATTTACCAACTGACACAATTTACAATGATCAAGTTTAGAAATGAATTTAATGGGGTTTTAAGAAGGGCCTTCATACACAGTTTGGGCAAAGTTCAAAAGATAAGCTTCCTGGCCTGGGCACAGTATATAAATGCTTCTTTAACCATGAAGGCCAGTACAGGTTAAAACCCAGAATATGTAGAAGATCAAAAAACTAGGATTCAGAGATCAAGTAAGACCAACAAAGGTCTCAGCAGTATCTAAGCATCTGTTCTTAGATACTCTGATGGAGTAATTCTTAAGAAAAACAAACCCATGATCACAGAGGGTATTAGAACTCTTCTGGATCAGTCAGCTGGAGAAAGCCATGTAGATAAACATACCCATGAAGAATTAACTTATATTTGCTTTAAATCTGTATCTCTTTAGACATTCTTTGTCTTCTAAAAACTAAATGGAAAAAGGAAGCAAGCAGCAGCTTCCAAAATGTAATTCAACCCTTCTTCATTTCCCTAAATTGTTATACTCCACATTAAACTATTCTGGGTATCTAAAGAATATATTCTTAGCCTAAAAGTCCCAAAGACTTTGGTTGCATCAGTGATTGAAAGAGCATTTTTGAAATGCTCATTTCAAAGCATACCCAGAGAATCTGTTTTTGGTTTTGTTTTTTTTTGAGACGGAGTCTTGCTCTGTTGCCAGGCTGGAGTGCAGTGGCACCATCTCGGCTCACTGCCACCTCCGCCTCCTGGGTGCAAGCGATTCTCCTGCCTCAGCCTCCCAAGTAGCTGGGACTACAGGCGCGTGCCACGATGCCCAGCTAATTTTTGTAGTTTTAGTAGAGACGGGGTTTCACCATGTTGACCAGGATGGTCTCGATCTCTTGACCTCATGATCCGCCCACCTCGGCCTCCCAAAGTGCTGGGGAGAATGTGTTTTTAAAAAGCTCTCTGAGGTGATTCTGACACGCATCCACATCTGTAACCATCAGCCCAGTTACTATCCTTCATTTTGCAAATGATAAAGCTGAGCCCCCACCCCTCAAAAAGGGTAATTTAATCAAAACAAAAAGTGAGTTAGGGTTGTAAAATCCTAAGATGAATTTCAAGATGTGGCCTGGTCCTCTTTCCAAAATCCCACCAAAATGACAGTATTTTACTAAACAGAATAAGTCTGACACAGCAGCAGAAAAATAACAGATACAAGGAGAATACCCTTAGTGAACCAAAACTACAGGGACATGCCGGAAGACACAAAGCAGATGGAATTAGACTGCTGGGCTTGAGAAGGCCACAAACCCAATCCAAATAATGGAGGGACCACTTTTTTCCAGAAGAATCTAACATTCTTTACCGTTCTTGTCCCAACTACAGTTGGTAAGAATCACCCTCCCATATAAGAAGCCTATCTTGATGGCCTCTTACTATGAGTGTGAAAACCAGAGGGAAAAGACAAAATGTTTTTTAATATAACTCAACACAGCAGCAAAATCTTAAAACAGACTCCATCTCTGCCTTTTAACTCAGGAGCTAGAAAGCTCTCCTGCCAGCACCTCCCCATCCTAGTGTCACAGGCGGAGCATGGGTCTGCAAACCAGGAGAGGGAGGCCACAGCAGAAAAGAATGACAATTCTGAAGACACTTGTGATGGTTAATACTCAGAGTCAACTTGATTGGATTGAAGGAATCCCAGCACTTCGGGAGGCAGAGGTGGGTCATTTGAGGTCAGGAGTTTGAGACCAGCCTGGCCAACATGGTGAAACCCCGTCTTTACTAAAGACACAGAAGTTAGCCAGGCGTGGTGGCGGGCGCCTGTAATCCCAGCTACTCCGGAGGCTGAGGCAGGAGAATAGCTTTAATCCGTGGACTGTCAAGAGACGTAGGCTGCAGTGAGCCGAGATTGCGCCACTGCATTCCAGCCTGGGCGACAGAGTGAGGCTTTGTCTAAAAAAAAAAAAAAAAAAAGTTGTTTTTTTTTGTTTTGTTTTGTTTTTGTTTTTTGAGAGAAGTCTCGCTCTTATCCCCCAGGTTTGAGTGCAATGGCTCGATCTCGGCTCACTGCAACCTCCGCCTCCCGGGTTCAAACGATTCTCCTGCCTCTGCCTCCCAAGTAGCTGGGATTAAGTAGCCTGCCACCACGCCGGGCTAATTTTTGTATTTTTTAGTAGAGATAGGGTTTCACCATGTTAGCCAGGCTGGTTTCGAACACCGAAAATCTTAAAGGCCTTTGCCTTTCCCCGCCTGGGCTCAAAAGCCGCCATTCCCCGCCCTGTCGCGGTCCCCGGAGCAGGCCGGCTGACTGAGGGCGACCATGGGTCCCGAGAGGGCTCCCGCCACCGCGGGCTCCCACCTCGGGGGGCGGCGACGGGGGCTGAGAGGGGCCAGTGGCCCCCAAGACAGCCCCATGCGAGGAGCCGGAGAGACAGACGCGCCCGCCGCCTCCTCCCACCCAAGCCTCGCGCAGTCCCGGGGCGGGCCGGGCCAGTTGCGGGAGAAAGGGGCGGGGAGCCTCGCCGGGGCAGGTTCCCCTTTGTCCCGGGACTCCGGGCACCCCCTCTCCGCCCTCTTCCTGCCCCGCGAGGCCGCCGCCGGGCGCCTCACCTCATGTTGCAGTGGAGCGTGAGCCGCAGCTGAGCCTCCTGGTTCTCGTGGAAGATAGACGCCAGCAACTTCAGTTTGGCCTTGAATCTTGACACAGACATCTTCCCCTCATCTCCGGCGGGAAGGGCGTGGAAGGGGAGCCGTCTGGAGCCGCTGTCATGGCCACGACCACCCCGCGGGGCCGCCTGGCCGAGCTCTTGTGAGCCTAAAGACCCGCCTCTTCCTGCAGCCTCCACTCTCCTGGGAGCGCGGCTGGAAAATGGCAAGGGGCACCAGGTCTTGGCGGGAGCTGTGTGGCGGCCTGGGGGGCTGCTCCCTTTGTAACCGACTCCACCGACAGGAGGCGCGGCCCCTGTCAAGCCGCAGCTTAAAAGGGCAACAGGACAACAGAACCACCGCCCCCGCTACCGCCTGGGAAAGGGCTGCCCCTACCCCGCCCCCGTCCCCGTCGCCCCTACCCCGCCCCCATCCCCGTCGCCCCTACCCCCTCGGCGCACCCTTTTCCGCGGGTGCACAAGTCCAGAGCGTGCGCGCGCTCCCGACTGCCCCCTCCTCCCTTGACCCAGCACCTTTCTGCCGGGCACAGGATCCCGGGGCTAGACTGCCTGGGCTCAAGTTCCAACTTAGCCACTTGCTGGCTGTGAAATACTTGCTTTAAGCAAGTATTTAAGCCTCAGTTTCTTTCTTTCTTTCTTTTTTTAACTTAATCCCAAATGTGATAGTCTCAGTTTGTTGATCTGAAAAACAGAAATTATTTAGTGAGAGTCTATGTGAAAACTTTAAAGTTTTTAAAGCCACTGCCTGGCTCAGGAAAGTCCTCAGCTTTAGCTGTTAAAGTTTTAAAAGCCACTTTAAAGGTTTTAAAGCCACTGCCTGGCTCAGGAAAGTCCTCAGCTTTAGCCTTTATCAGCTATGATTATTATTGTGTTGGCTACACGTGCATTGAGGCAGGAAAATGCTCAGGGATAACAACCAAGTATGCAAATTATCTCATCAGACCCAGCGACAGGCATATGTGTGCATGCTCATGTTTCAGCTCAGAGCCCTTTGTCTAGAAGGCTCTTGAACTCAAGAGGCCCAGGCACTATCAACTTGAATTTGCAGTGGAGCCATCACTTTTGTTGATCAATGAAATTGACATAACGCTCTTTTTTTTTTTTTTTTTTTTTTTTTTTTTTTTTTTAACACCAACCGTGTGCCTCGAGCTAACTGTGTCAAGAAAAGCATGCTTCAGTTGGCTGGAGTGAGCAATTTAACTTGTGGAGGAATGAGAAACGTTAGTGTTGAGAATAGAAACATAAAACCCCAGGGTAAGGTAGGAACCTACCTGAGAACCTTGGGTGAGTCATCCACCCTTTGGGGGCTCCCTGTGCCTCAGTGGAGTGAAGAATTATCCCTTCCTCGCCTTGCTGCCTCCTGGGAAAGTTGATAAGAATCAAGTGAAATTAAGACTGTCAGGCTGTCATTGTCATCCCTATCAGGGGAAGGGTCCTCTGGGGCCTGAAGGGGCTTTGGGTGAAGCACAGCTGTGTTTTCTCCAGGGACCCACCGTGTTCCCATCCTCCGCCATTGTGGCCCAGCCACTGCCTGTGCAAGTGTCACCCAATCCTTCCACAGGCCATCAGAATTCCACTTCCACCCAAGAGGGGAAAGGACACATTGGAGGCAGCACAGACATTAAACACGGTATTTTCAGAAGGAGCAGACATAACCTTACAGAAGTGCTTTATTTTCTGTAACTAGATTTTGTTTTACTGGAGGCAGCTTTGTATAAGGTTCAGGCGTCTCTTGGTCCATTTTATCAGAAGGAACCATGGGGGTCATTTCATCCATCCCTTTTCATCTAAGCAGCACTACATTCCAATCGTGAAGGCATAAGCTTTCCCTGTCAAGCAGGATGCTGCCCCAGACCCTTAGCATCAGGAAACCCCAAAGTCAAACCTGAATCCAGCCTGCTGAATGAAATTTCAGTCCCATCCTCCCTCCTTCTAGCAAAAGAAGGTTTGGGGGAGATTTCAAAACAGAAGCACTTCTCTCCCCAGGGAGAAACCGAAGAGGAGCAGCAGGTACTGCTCTTCAGCCCACACACCCATCTCAGGTGACAGGTCCCCTCCTCAGTGTGGGGCGACGTGGTGGGGGTAGGTTACCGGAGTGTAGCAGAGTGGGGGGAAACCCCTGGTGCCCTCCTGCTGAGCATCTGACCTTGAGCCCTTTACCCCAGCTCCCCCTTTCCATCTGAAGAACAGTGAGGGATCAGCAGACCTGACTAGAGGGTCTCAGGCATGGGTCCTCTCCCCCAGCCCACACATGAACACACGCACACACCCTTCCCAACACCCAGGTATGCAGATGCACACTCCCCCACAGGAGGAGCCGCCCGGAAATCCCTGAATCAGCTTTTCTGCCGTCCAGGGTCTGTGACAAGCGAGCTGCTGCCCTTCTGAAGAGAGGCTCCATGCCGGCCAGGAGCCGCGGCTGCTGCAGCACTGCAGTCCCCGGCTTCTGGAGTAAGGTCTCTGTCTTGGGGCGGGGGATGCCTGGAGGAGGGGAGGAAGGGGGATTCACTGCGGGTATTGGGAATTTCCCAGTTCCCCAGACTCTGTGGGGATGAGAAGCCCTGGAAAGCCCTGAATGACTGCCCCTCCCCCCCAACACACATGCACACAGGATTTTTGTGTGTGTGGGTTGGTGGGTGAGGAATGTCACTTCCTGGGTCAAACACCAAACTCGAGTCCTGGTCCTGAGTGTGCAGAGCAGAAGGCAAACAGAAAGCAGCTGCATGGAGGGTGAAGGAGAGGCTGAGGGGAGAGGGCGAGGGTGAGGTGGAGCTGGGAAGGTCAGGGGCAGTTAATGGCCAGACAGCAGCAGAAATTCCACCTGGCGAGCTGGGGCCCCGAGGTCTTATCGGGTGAGGTTGGGGGTTGAGGGTGAGGCCCAAGGATGAGACTGAGGCACAGGAGTGCTGCCCAGGCTCTCGGTTCTTCCTGCCCCTCCTGGTGCTCACAGTGGGTGTCAGCCTCGCTTTTCCCAAGTGGGAGAAAGCAGATCTGCGGAGGTGGGAGGTGTTGGGTCCATGGCAGAGCCCTTCTGCTGGGTTCCTATCTGAGAGCAGGCAGAGGGTCCTGTGCCAGCAGACGCTCTTCCTCCTCTGCCCCAACCCCGTACCCCTGCATCCCTCTTTCTCCCCTCTCCAGGTGGCCGGTGAAGAGCCCTGGCACCAGCCTTGACCTCACCCTCTGGGACAGACTGAGGCAGGGGACCGCGGGCTGCCGGAGCCCTCGGGGCGAGCTCCCCAGCTCCCCTTCCCCTCCAGCATCTGCCTTTTGTTCCACCTCTCTTCTCCCTCCCTTGACTCAGGAAAACCTTCATCCCTATCTCCTGAAGCAAATCGTTTCCCTCCCACCCCCGCCCGCACGCCGTTCCCTACAGCCAGGGGGTCCCCTCCCCCCCGTCCCCTCCCCCAGCCAATCCCCGGACCCGAGAGGCTGTAAACTCGGAGCTGGCGGGTGGGGTGGGGAGTGTTGCAGGAGTGCACGGAGCTGGCGGGGACTCCTCAGTAGAATCGGGGGAGTCCCGTAGGGCTCCGGGGGCTCGGAGCCGGCCCCGCCCTCCTCAAACTTCTGTAGGACCGCGCCAGTTTAAACCCCTCTGCCCCAGCCTAGTCCGTCCCGCACACACCTCCCCTTCCCCTGTCGCCCATTTCCCCCTCGGCCGGCAGTACGGACTGCAGAAGGGGGGCGTGGGCGCCAGGAGGCGGCCTCTCCCGCAGCGGGGATTGCCTGGGGCGGAGGACCTGCGTCGCGGTTTGCGGGGATCGCCTTCGGAGGGGCCGCACGCGCTGTGTGCAGGCGGATGTGAGGAGCATCTCAAGAGGCGGGTGGGGGAAGCGGGATCAGGTTGTTACTACTGCAGAGAGAGAGAGAGGAAGAGAAGAGAGAGAGGGAGAGACTCGAGAGCGAGCGAGCGCGGGAGCGAGGGCCGCAGCGGCAGGGCCGGCGGGGAAGTGGGAAGAGGGACCTGGACTTCGGGACCCCAGCCGCCCCCGCCCCCGCCCTCTCCACCAGCTCAGGCTGAACGCGCCTGGAACGTCCCAGGGTAAGAGGGAACCCCAGGCGGGGCACCCCACGAGGGCAGCCAGTAGTCCCGAGCGAAGCCGTGCCTGGACCGACAGTGGCCACCTCCAGGGCCTGAGGCGCGGGCGGACGCGGGGTCACCAAACGGTGACACTCCGACTTTTGGGGCTTGGCGCTCACCGCGGGATAAACTAAGAGTAGGACTGAGCCCGCGGTGGGAACTGTAATCCGGAAATCCATGGGCGTCGGAATTACCTGGCTAGACCCCGGGGAGGTGTCCTGAATTATCTCGGGAACCCCTCGCCCCCAACCTATTTCTCCCCGCGGAGAGCCCGGGTTCAACGCGGAGAGAAGGCGAGAGAAGCCGCGGTGCCTTAGCGCTGGGACCGGGGACCTGCGGGGAAGCAAAGGCGACTCGCCGCAGAGAAGCCGTGGGAAGGGCGCGGGGAGGTGCATGAAGTGGGCGTGCGGAGAGAAGTGGGTGCTGGGCGCGTGGGACCCCGCCGCGCCTGCTTCGCTGAGGAGGAGCTGGAAGAACATGCTCGCGCGACCCTGGGGAGCCCCTGGCGCAGAGTGGGGTGTGCCGGAGGCACTGGCGGTGCGCAGGACTGGCTGCCTTTCTGAGCGCCCCTGCCTTGCCGCAGCCGTCCAAGGTTGAGATGAGCGGCTGTATTTTCTACCCCTTCCCTCTCCCAGGAACTTTCCCACACTTTGACACGCGCCACGGCTCTGTGCATTGGAGGAAGCAGGCTCCCGGGGATCCTGGCAAGCTTGCAGAGGCCCGGGTGGGCAATGGGAGGGGGCAGCTGGGCAGTGGAAACGAGGGCCCTACTCAGTGTGCTGTGTGACCTTCGACAAGCCGCTGCACCTCTCTGAATCTCAGGATGATGGAGGCACATGGTAACCAAGACAGGAATGGGGACGAGGTGGGGGAGGGTGCGCGGGGGAACAAGCTCATGGGCACGTCTGCCCCAGCCTCTGCACCTGGGAATCGCTGCCTTTGGTCACTGGCCTCTCTTAAGTGACTTCAGTGCTCACTTCCGGGGCAGGGGGTGGCAAGGTGGAGCTGTGAACCCAGCGCCCCGGGGAGAGTCGGAAAGCTTCCATTCTGACCTGTCCTATGACCTTGGGCAACTCACTGACCCACTCTGGGCCTCAGTATCTTCATCTGGAAAATGGGGTTTGGAATTTAAGGTATCTGAGGTTTCTCCCAGTCCCAACACCCTGCAGGTGTCGCCCACTGAAAGGTTGGGGATGGGGTGCAGCTGGGTAGAATGACCTGGCCTCTGGGAAGACTGTAGCTCCCCTACTGCACCCCCCATCCCAAAGTAGCAGGGCTGTGACACCCTCAGCCTGTTCATTGGTCATCTCTCCCAACTCTCAGAATCCAGCTGATGGGGAGAAAGGCGGGCTTTCCAGCATTACACATCCTCTTTGCAGAGGGCAGATTCTTTCCTAGGGAAAGGTTCGCTGTGACAGACAGATGACCATAGGTTAAAGGGTGATGTCAAGGACCTCACAAGGTCATGCTGTCTGCTCTCTACCTCCAGACAGGGCTGCATTCATCTCAGATAAGGAAGATCTGAAGGAATTGTCTCGTTTTAGAAAGATCTCCACTACAATAGCCTAGAGCACCCCACTGTGCAATGTGACAGTCCTTGCCATAGGAAAGTCTAATCTAACTCCTTTTTGGGATGAACTCTGGTTCTGTCTTCAGTTGAGATGAGACAATAACTTCATACTGGGCATTAGGGTGTTGCGGACGAGTCCGAGTTTGAGACAAGAGAGCTGAGTTTAATTTACAGGCTCTGCCTCCAATTTTGTGACCTTGTGTGACCTTGGGCAAGGCCCTTTCTTGCTTTCCTCCCCTGTACATTGAGAAGGTAGAACTAGTTAACTTCTCAGGCCCTTGCAACCCCACAATTCTGTGGCTGCAGTTCTGGGCTGGTGTCTGAGTAGCAGGAAGTGGGCTTGGCTGGGTGATGGGAGCAGGTGGTCTCCAGGAATTCCCAATGCATTGCCCTCCCACTTCTGTCACCAGAGTCAAGACAACTTGAGACAAATACAGTATATGAATTTCAAAGCCCGGCACACCCCTGGAGGGAGTCCCCAGGAGACCTTGGCTCTACTGGTTATTAGCTGTGTGACCTTGAGCAAATTACTTTATATCTTAGAGCTTCAGTTACTAAGTAGTCAAAACAAAATGAGAATAGTGGTGGTATTTTAGGGTTTTTATGAGGATTAAACAAGAAGCATATGTAAATACTTGGTCCAGTACTGAGCTAAGTCCTTAGTGAGTGGTAGCTATTGTTAATAATAATAATACAAGCTGTGTAGCAAGCAGGTGGCAGGGCAGCTGTGAGCAGTGGCCATGGGGAGCAGGGAAAGATTGTAGATTTGCAGTGTGATCTTCCCCTACCATCTTCAAAGCTTCCCTACAAAATGGGAACATCAGCACTATCTCTCTGTCTCTCTCTCTCTCTCTCTGATCATTAGGACCATTCTGCATTAGAAACTTCATGGGAAACAGAGAGACTGCTTGACTTTCCAATAATCTCACACCTGTTTTCCTTTGGTTCTCCCTTCCCCACTCTCTGCCACACCTCTGGTTATGATAAAATGGGCCTTTTACTCCATTCCCCGAACCTTCTAGGAAGGGACCAACTGAGAAGCAGAGAGGGGTAAGGCCAGATGTCCCTGGAGTGAGTGGCTGAAGGCATGTCTACACCCAGGTGGAAGGAGTGGCAAAGGGACTGGCTCAACCTGGAGGGGGACTCCCAGGACCCCATGGCCGGGACCGAGGTTTACCCTAGACTTGCTGTGTGACCTTAGGCAAGTCGCACGCCACTGTGGACCTCAGTTTTCTTGTATGTGAAGTGAAAGCTTGGTTTAGATGACCCAAAGTCCTTCTGGCTTTGTTGATCCACGACCCTGCTGGCTCTGCTTTTGCCGAGGCTGGGTGGGGGTGGAGGGGGTGGGAGGTTTGTTGGAGTCATTCAGGCTTTGGGTGTTCACTGCCCTGTGATTCCAGTCCTGTAAGTCAGCTTGGGGAGAGGCGATGACCTCCCCTTCTCAGTAAGAGCGCTGACGGTTAAGAGCAAAGTCTTTGCAGATAGATACATCTAGGTTCCCATCTTGGCTCGCTCCTTAATATCTGTGTGAATTCAGGCAAATTACCAACCTCTCTGAGCCTCAATTGTCTCATCTGTGAAAAGGGAATATTGCCAACCTGGAATAGGAAGTCCATAGTGTGATACTGACTAATGCACAAGGAATGGGTTTTTGAGGTTCTGTGTTATCACAGAGAGGGCTCAAGTTAGAGGAAGAGCAGGGATACAGTTCACAGTCCTGCAGTTGTCACCATGCACACAATCCCCCAAAATGCCCCAATGTCCTGTGTCGTCCTCCTGCTGTGCACTGGCCGCAGGCTCCAGGAGTTTGCATGCTCTGGTCTTCATCATGGGACCTGGAGAAAGGAAGAGCTCAGCCACAAAGGCCAAAGGCCAAGCAAGCATGAGTCTGAGAGGAGTGTGGCTGACAAAAGGCTCCTGATGATGAAGGAACACGAGCCAGCGGCATGGCATCCCTCCATTCAAGGTTAGTCATGAGGAAAGGCTGTGAGATGCTGCCTTGGAGAAAAGCTGAAGGAGCGGGGGACATCGCCTTCCGCAGGGATGTGTTAGATGAGTGCCACGGCAGGACGAGGCACTGAAAGGGGCTGTGGGATCATCTCATCCAGCCCTCTGTTTTGATTATGGGGAAACTGAGGCTTAGAGAGGGGGAGCTCCTTGCCCAGGATCACACAGCATGTTAGTACCAGCGATGGAGCTTGCCAGCCCTTGTAGAACCTCAATGCAACGCTCTTTCCTTCCTCCCTGTTAAGCACCAAGCAGTTATTTTCCATTTTTTCTGAAATCAGAGCACAAGGTAAAATGCCTTGACTGCAGCAGAAAGGACATGGGTCCTGATAGGAAGGAACTTCCTGATCTAGATACTGAGATCATGGGGTCCAACCTTCCCATTTTGCAGACTAGAACATGGAAGCCCAAGAAAATTAAAGAACTAGCATAAGGTGACCCAGTATCAGACACTTGAATTCCCAGGCCTGAGCTCTCTCAGTTATGCCAGCTATGCCACGCTGCTGCTCTTGAGCCAGACAGGGCAGCAGGATAGCCAAATGTGAAAAAAATAAACCCAGATGGGCTTGGGGAAGGGAGGGAGGACAGAAAGACAAAAGACCAAAAGACAGAAATATTACTTCCAAGACCACACTTTTCTTTCTCAGCTTGTCTCAGTTGGCCCTGCTCCCGCTGTTGAGGCTGACAGCTTGCTTTGCCCTCTGACAGGAGAGAGGAGGGAGACAATAGCCAGCCCCATTGGTCTCACTTCCATTGACAAGGCTGAGTGAAAGAAAGTCAATATTTGCCCAGTAGCAAAGGACAGGGAATAAGTGTGACTTGGGATGGGGCGGGGTAGGGGCAAACAGGGTAGGGTGATGGGGCTTTTGTGATTGCCGTGTTGCTCATGGAATCACAACTTAGCAATTTAACAAAGGGTGCATTTGGAAGCAGAAGGGTTTCTAGTAGATGGTAATGTGGCTATACTGCAGCAGGAAGGGCTCATGTGAGGTGCAAGGAAGGACTTCCTACCAGGGAATTGCCCGCTGTTGGCAGTCCTGAGCTGACTCGTGTGCCCCTAGTCCATGGTTTTTGGTTTTGGTTTTCAGGTTTTTTGAGTGAAAAGGAAGGCTGCAGTGTGTAGGGCCTCGGGTGTGAGCACTTGACTTCTAAAGGAGCTTTTGGATTTTCCGCATTAAATAACCCTTTGTACCTCAGAGTGCATCCAGCCCCATTAGCAGGCACCATCCTCCTGGAAACCCTGATCCCTAATAAACTTCCCTTATTGTTTGGAGCTGACACCTCCCCAGCTTCCAGCTCCCTGGAGAAATGGAACTCTTAAAGCTTTTGCAGAAAGGCCTCCGAGCAGATGGCCCATTGAGCGGATCTCTCAGGCAGAGGCTGCAGAAGCTGCAAGAAAGGCTGTGTATATACCCAAAGGATTATAAATCATGCTGCTATAAAGACACATGCACACGTATGTTTATAGCGGCAATATTCACAATAGCAAAGACTTGGAACCAACCCAAATGTCCAACAACGATAGACTGGATGAAGAAAATGTGGCACATATACACCATGGAATACTATGCAGCCATAAAAAGTGATTAGTTCATGTCCTTTGTAGGGACATGGATGAAATTGGAAACCATCATTCTCAGCAAACTATCTCAAGGACAAAAAAACAAACACTGCATGTTCTCACTCATAGGTGGGAATTGAACAATGAGAACACATGGACACAGGAAGGGGAACATCACACACCGGGGACTGTTGTGGGGTGGGGGGAGGGGGAGGGATAGCATTAGGAGATATACCTAATGCTAAATGATGAGTTAATGGGTGCAGCACACCAACATGGCACATGTATACATATGTAACAAACCTGCACATTGTGCACATGTACCCTAAAACTTAAAGTATAATAATAAAATTAAAAAAAAAAAAAAGAAAGTCTCAGTTCCTTATCTGGGCCCCCAAGCCTAGGGAAAGATGTGGAAGAAGTCCTTGGCAGGTCAAGGGAGGCTGTGAATTTTTTTTCTGCCTTTGCTTTGTTACCTTTCCATTTTTCTTCTCCGCATGTTGCTCCTCTTTTCTCTGTGTCCTGAGATTGGGGAGGGGCTGGGGGGGGAAGGAGGGGCAAAGCCCACAGCCTTTCCCCAGCTGGAATGGAATGCTTGAACCCTGTAGCAGCTGCCGTCTGCTTCAATGGCTTTTGTGATTGCTGTGTTGCTCATGGAATCACATCTTAGCAATTTAACAAAGGGTGCATTTGGAAGCAGAAGGGTTTCTAGTAGAAGGTAATGTGGCTATACTGCAGCAGGAAGGGCTCATGTGAGGTACAAGGAAGGACTTCCTACCTGGGAATTGCCCGCTGTTGGCAAATATGCTAGGTGGAAAACCGTGGGAGTTGATCCACCGGACTCACTTACTCTCTTGGGAATGAGCCAGGTTTGTTACCTGCCCCTGAAGGGGCCACAGTGACATTCCTGGAGGTCAGTGCTGCCACCCAAGACTAAACCTAGTCCCACAGCCACCAAATTAATCATCAGGGCCGGCAGTCCTTGGAGACCAGAAAGCCAGAGTAGCTTCCTAAGCCCTTCGTTTGGCCCCGGGCACTGAGGGAGGGGCAGAGGGTGAAAGGGGGAAGGAAGGCCCTTGGCCTGGCCTCAGCCCAGCCAGCCCTGCAGCCAGGAGAGATACTGCAGCACCTACCAGCAGCCGGCAGGAGAGTGTCTCAAAGCTGCTGCTCACAGTGGGGCAGACGGAGCCTGCCAGCTCCAAGCCTGCCTTCAACCTGCTCCCCACTGCTCGGCTGGGCTGGGACTTGAGGGCAGCTGGCTGCTCAGAGACAAATTGCAGCCTGTCCCCCATCCCCGCCCCCAGCACATGGCACCTGGGTGAGAGCACAGCCCAGCTTCTGGACTTATGTGGACTTCCTGCACACACACTTCGTCCTGAGCCTAGTCGTGTGCCCCTAGTCCATGGTTTTGGTTTTGGTTTTCAGGTTTTTTAAGACAGGGTCTCACTCTGTCACCCAGGCTGAAGTGCAGTGGTGTGATCACGGCTCACTGCAGCCTCAACCTCCCGAGGCTCAGGTGATCCTCCCACCTCAGCATCCCACATAGCGGGGACTACAGGTATGCACCACCGTGCCTGGATAATTTTTGTTTTGCAAGGTTTTTCTTTGTTTTTGTTTTTGTTTTGTTGTTGTTGTTGTTTTGGTAGAGACAGGGTTTCACCATGTTGCCCAGGCTGGGCTCGAACTCCTGGGCTCAAGCAATCCTCCTACCTCAGCCTTCAAAAAGTGCTGGGATTACAGGCGTGAACCACCATGCCCAGCCCCTAGTCCATGTTTTAGTGAGACTTGGAATATGCGAAGCCTTGTACTTGTATGTGCTTGGCACTGTGGTGCAGTGGTTAAACCTCAGATGCTAGGGCTAGGTTGCCTGTATTCAAATGCCAGCTCCTCCAGTTTTTTATCTGTGGGACTTTGGCTAAGTTACTTAAACACTTGTTACCTCAGTTTCCTCATCTGTAAAATGGAAATGAAATAGCTTGCCATCAGGTTGGCATGAGGATTTGATGTATGACTATTTACATATAGCTCTAAGAATAGGCAGTGCCTGACACACGGTGCTATAAAGATTTTGCCATAAAGTGCTATAAAGAGTGTTATTATGGTGTTTCTGAAAACTGACTGACGTTTTGTAGGTAAAGAAACATAGCAGCAGAGCTGGGAGTGGGGCGAGGCAGGGGTATGATTGGCTTTGATGAGAAGAATCTAGAATCCAGTGAACCCACTATTAAGTTACTGCACATGGCCCCAGGCAAGCGGTTTTTCCCTATCTCTTGGACCTCAGTGGTCCCCATTAAAAAATGTGGAGAGGGATGCCTGCCTTCCTCACTTCTCCCAAGATGTCCTGGGATCGAATGAGGCAGATGATGGTCTGAAATAGCCAGTGAGCCTAGCGGATGCACAGGTTGGCCTCTCCCTGTCCCTGCTCTGGAGCACATGCTGGCTTGCTGGCTGAGGTCCTGGCATGTTGGGCTTTCTACCAAGGGCACCAAACCCAGTGTACTGCTCTCCCAGTGAGGCCACTTGGACTCTGGGTGGCTCTGGGCTGAATCTGGCCCTCCTCATTTTCTGTTCTTCCTTATTTCACCTGGAAAAAGGATGGTGGTTTTGTATCTCCTAATGCTCCTTAGCAAGGGAGAAGGAGTGTTTCTGAATGCAGTGTATAGTTGTACAAGCAGAGAAGGGGGCAGGAGAACCTCTCCTTCAAGCTGGGACACCCTGGCCATGAGCTCCAGACAAACTGAGGTGATGCCTTTCCTGGGTTGTCAAAAGTGGGAGCTCCTTCCCCCTACCACTTGCAGCCAGACTATCCACTGTGCAGGGAGGCAGGCAGGGGGCTGATCAGAAGCAGCACATTGAGTCAATATCACATTCAGCATCTTTCCTGCCAGGTAAGACAAGGACCCTGGTTGTTAGTGCCCTTGTCGCTTCCTTCTCTTTCCTCCTTCCTGGCTGGGAGGGAGAGCCAACCTGACCTGCTCACAGTATTGGAGTGATGGTTAGGTTAGGGCCTCTTGGTTTGGCCCCAATATCTTCTGCCAAGAACCATGGGGGTGACCAGGTTGTATATACCCAAGCAAGCAACCAAGTGATGCCCACTGCCCTACAGACTTCCCACCTGATCATCTGGGGTGAGTTGTGTGTAAGGAGAGGGAAGGCCACTTTATAAATAGCCTTAGAAATGTCTGCTTCTGGAGCTGTCCTCAGAGCTTCTTCCTGAATATCATTTTACCAAGAGCCCCAGAGATGAGGTTTCTTGGCCAAGGTCACCCCCAAAATCAACCGTGAGCTCATGTCTTGAAGTCCACTATATTTCATCTGCCCCATTCCCCAGGCTTCCCTAAAGAAGATATCCAGCATTGCCTAGAAATGTAGCTTTCCCTTCTGGTGCCTGTCTCCTGTGACCCTGCTCCTGACCTCATATCCCCCTGAATATCATCCCTTGTAAGTTGTATGGGTTTGGATTAGAGAGCGGGGAGAACTTCCTGAGTGGCCTCATTGGGACAGGGAATGGAGGCTTTCCCCAAGATACATAAGGGCAGGCCTGCTCTCCATGAGTCTGAACTGGATCAGGTCTTAGGAGCTTCAGGAGTTCGACAACACAAAGTCCAAAATCAGGTCCTGCGGCCTCCTAGGCATGGGACTTTGGGCAAGTTGCTGACTGGCTCTGAGCCTTATCATTAAATTGGAATGGATATGATTTACTATCTTATAGAAGTTTATAAATATATATTTACTTTTTGAAAACAGCTTTATTGAGCTATAATTCACATACTATACAATTCACCCATTTAAGGGCACGATTCAATAGCTTTTAATATATTCACAGAATTGCACAACCATCACCACGATCTAATTTCAGAACATTTTTTCACCCCTAAAAAGGAACTCCATACATATTAACAGTCACCCTCGATTCTTCCATTCCTCCCAGCCTTAGCCAACTAATCATCTACTTTCTGTCTCTATGAAATTGCACCTTCTGGATATTTTATTTAGATGGAATTATATAACACATGGTCTTTGGTGCCTGGCTTCCTTCACTCACATAATGCTTTCAAGGTTTAGCCACATTGAAGCATGTATCGGTACTTTATTTCTTTTTATTGCCAAATAACATTCCATTGTGTGGATATACTGCATTTTATTTCTCCATTCATCAGTTGATGGACATTTGGTTGATTCCACTTTTCAGCTACTCTGAATAATGCCGCTATCAACATTTGTGGAAGGGTTTTCGTAAGGATACGTGTTTTCATTTCTCTTGGGTATATGCCTAGGATTGTCAAATGGTATACTTTTTTTTTTTTTTTTTTTTGAGATGGAGTTTCACTCTTGTTGCCCAGGCTGGAGTGCAATGGCACAATCTCGGCTCACTGCAACCTCCGCCTCCTGGGTTCAAGTGATTCTCCTGCCTCAGCCTCCCAAGTAGCTGGGGTTACAGGCATGCACCACCACACCCAGCTAATTTTGTATTTTTAGTAGAGACGGGGTTTCTCCGTGTTGGTCAGTCTGGTCTCGAACTCCTGACATCAGGTGATCCACCCGCCTGGGCCTCCCAAAGTGCTGGAATTACAGGTGTGACCCACCACACTCAGCCAGTATACTTATTTTTAAATGGTATATTTATATTACTAGGCTCTGTTCTAAGTATTTCATATGGATAGTCTCCTTTAATTATCATAATACTCTACAAGGTAGGTACTATTATGAATCCCCTTCTTATAAAGTGAAGAAATGGAGGCATCATTTGAGGGACATCAAGGGATTTGTCCAAGGAGACTCAGCTAAGAGAGCCAGGATTTGGACCCTGGCCTCTGGCCCTTCGCTCTTCCACCAACTTGCTCCCACATGTGAGATTTAAGTGAGAGAACGTCTGAAAGTGCTCCCAGCCTGACTGTAGTAGGTGCCCAAGAAACGTTCGTTGGATGCTGGGAAAGGACCAGACACCTTGCATTTCGCTGTCTGACTCACCATGTGGCTTTAGGGAATTTGTGTCCGTTTGAGCCTCAGTTAAATTTCCCCAATACATAAAGCTTCAATATGGCATTTCATAAAGACAGGACTGAGATGGGAGGTGCAATATCATGGAAAGAGCCCTGGATTCTAGATCTGGCTCTCTCACTGGCTTGGAAGGGGTAGTAATTTCCTTTCTCTGTCTCTGGGTTTCCCCACCATTCAATTAGAGGCTGGAACAATTGATCCTAAGTTTCCTTCCAGCTCCCCCATCCTATATAAGTTCTATATTCTTCCTCAGCAACTGGAGTCCCCTGTGGAGCTAAACTGGGATGAGTGCCCAGGGCCTCAGGTCACTGCTGTGCTCAGCAACACTTCTCCCACCCAGTGTGTTAAAGGCCAGGTAGGGGCTGAGTGGGATGAAGATGGGGAGGGGGAGGACCCACCCTAGGCCTCCCTTCCATTATGGAGCCCTTGGTGTGGGCTGGGGACCTTCTCTTCTCTCAGCCAGAAAAGAGCCACCTCACCTACACATCCCCTCAGTCTTCCCTGGCTCCCCTTCTCTTGAGTCCTGCTCCTCTGGAGTCCTGCTCCCTCTGGAGTCACTGCAGCCCTCATTCCAATGAACTACCCAGCCACCTTTGGAGGCTTGGACTAGCTCCTGGTTTGGGATCACTTATGGGAAAGCGCTGGGCACCCACTGGGTGCCCAGCATATTTTGGTGACTTAAATAGGGATCAGTATTTGAGCTAGTGGCTTCCCCTAGGTCATGATTACCCAGTTCACTTATCCCCATCCTTTGTCAGCAAGAGCATTCACTGCATTCTGCAAACCTAACCTGGCAGCACCCAGCGAGGCGCTTCTGCATCTTCCAACTGCACAGCCACAGCCTGTAAACTTTTCCTTGGCCCTCCCTTTAGTCCATATTCCTTACTTCCTGGATGCCACCGGTCAGAGTGCCTCCTGCATCCCAGGTCCTGTGCCAAACACATAACGTACAGGATGCTGCATTTACCCCTCTGTGGTGGGAATTTGTAGTGTCTCTAGTTTATAGAAGAGGAAGCACATCCAGAACAGGGAAATAACTTCTCCAAGGCCACCAAGCTGGTAGATAACTGTGGAAGGATTTGAGCAAAGGCTGTCTGGTCCCAAATCCTGCATCACTCGACTGAAAGGAAAGATGGCATAAAGGGCTTTTAAGGGGGTGCCCAGAGCCAGGGAAATCAGGTGGAGCCTCTCTGGGCAGGTGGGCTCTGGATTCCTCCGGGGCAGGTCTGTGTCTCTGTGTCTTCTCTCTTCCCCTGCATGGAGAACAGTCGAGCCTGTTGGGTAATGCCTGGGAACACCCTCCTCTGGGCTTAGTCTTCTCATCGACAGAACAGGGTCTGACATTTCCAGCAGCCCTGTGCGCCAAGCTTACCCAGAGATCCGGTGATGGCTACACAGCCTTTCTTCCACTGGTTATAGAGTCACTTTCTCCCAGGTTTGCTGTTCTTCCCTGCAGTGTGATGAGCCGGCGTCTCATCCCCAGCTCCCCATCCCCCAATATCTGTGTGTCTCACTATTTTTAAGCTCCGTGGGCTTAATGAGCTGCCTGCCATGACACGTCTTCGACATTTACCTTTTTCTCTAATGAGCCTCAGAGAGCTAGCCTGGGCTTATTTTTCCCTTGACAGTCCCCCACCCCAGTCAGGAGGCCAGAACTGGGCTATTTCCCTTCTGGGCCCAGACTTGGCTTCCTGAGACCCCAACAGCAGTGTGCCCCACAAATTACCTAGTGGTGGCAACACTGCAGATTCCAGGCCCTGGGGAGCTGACTCCTTCTCTGGTACCACCTTCTGTCTTGTTTCTCCTCTCTTACCCCACCTCAGCCCCTTCCTGCAGAGTGGTGATGTCATAAAGGAAACTCTTGTGGTCCCCACATAATTGGCAGCTACTTCTCTCTGAGGACAAACTGCCTGGCAAACCAGCAGGGCCAGGCAAATGAGGCCAATTGGCAGCAAGGGCTGGGATGGAGATGTCAGAGATTTAGAGGCTCTCAGGGTTGGAAGGGGGACCTCAAATTTCATCTAGGTCAATGCTGTGTCCCCTTACCTGAGTCCTGTCTATAATATCCCTCCCAATAGTGGGCTAACCTCAGCTTGAATGCTCCCGATGATGGAGCACTCATTACCTCCTGGGACCACGAACTCATCAATGGGTGGTGCTGACTGTGCAAAAACCCTCCTTCATTTTGAGCCTAAATCTGTTTTCCAACATGAAGAGAGAAGACCCCCGCAGTGGGTTCATCCTTCTTCTGGCTCCAGCCCTCAGTGCTGCGAAGGAGCCGCAAGTCACTCTTCATGAGGAAACATGCCCGGTGTCTTGGGTGGGGGCAGAGGCACCACTGATCCACAAAGATGTGGTGTGATTTTTTCCTCTCAGGGGACTTTGCTTGGGGGAGGGGCCACTGGGAAGAGCCAAGAAGCTGCTAGAAAAAAACTGAAGTCGTTCCTCCTTCTCAAGTGCGAAGTGAACCTGCAGCAGAACATTAGAAACCCTGATGCAGGCTAGCTCCGTCTGTGGGGACTGTTACATGCTGGTTCTCTGTTGCCAGCTCCAGGGAGTCAGGGTCTAATAGGAGCCACCCCAGGTATTCCACTTATAGTTATAGCTCCAAGCAGGGGTCATCAGCAGGGTGACTGGAACTCCCTGCGGTTCCAGAGAGCCACAGATGCTCACCCATGCTGGCTTTGGTAGGCAGGGAGCTCAGTAAGCCTCTCCGAGGCTCAGGATTTTGCCAGTTTGGAAGAGCACTGGATGATTTGGAAGAGCACTGGATTCCAAGCTTGGAAGAGCACTTGGAAGAGCACTGGATTCCAAGCCAGCTTGGAAGAGCACAGTAAGGCAGGCTTCTTACTCTGTCACTTCGGACAAGTCCCTTCCTCTCTCTGGCTGTCAGTTTCCTCAGCTGTGATATGTGCTATGTGTGGACCTTCAGAAATGGTGCAGGGCTGGGCCCTGCAGCTGCCGAATGCCATGTGTGTGGGTGGAGGTGCTTCATCCTGGGCCGTGCTCTGCAGGACACAGTGTTTGTCACCAGTGGTCATATGAAGGGACAGTCCTCTGCCCAATTCCATTTCCCCTCTCCTCTGGCCCAGAGCAGGGAGGCCAGAGCCCTGTGTACTGCTAGGCAGGGCAACGGCCCATTCTCAAATGTTTGCTGGGGCCGGGGGTGTGGAAAGAGGCTCCTGTGAGGGAAAACCTTGAGGCCTCTGGTGTCCTGGACCAGGGAGGCTCTCCTGCCCTAAGTCAGGCTCTGTGGAGAGGGTCCCAGATGATGGCGTCTCTGGAGCCGGGGTGTGTTCTGCCGTGTCATCACCTTCCCAAGTCAGCTGTCATCGCTGCGCTTTCCAGGGTGGTGGCTGTGAGGGGTCCCATCATGGTCTGTGGTTGCCAGACACCCACCCAGGTGGACGTCTCTTGCCTGGAAACTGGCCAGCCTCTTCCAAGCCCACCCCATCTCCTCCTAAACCTTGGCTCCCTGCTGCTTTTCCAGGAAGCCTTTCCTCAGTGGCTCCCTGGTTCTAGGTGCCTTTGCCCTGTGGTTCTCAGCAGAAGCGCCTGTGCATCATGGGAAAGCCGGTTGGCGATGGGATGCACGGCGCTCTATTAGGGTCTATGCTCTCTCTACCCATGGTGTCCTCCAGCACCTGGTCAAGCCAGAGTGTGTGGGAGCCAGGGGTCCACCCCTAGCTCTTTCTGCTCTGCACATTCGTTTTTCTTTTTGATGAAGTTATAACTTAGATTCAGCAAAGTGCACAACTTATGGATATATGCACCAGTATAATCACCAAAGAAATTCCCCAGAAGGATCCCTGTCCCCTCCCAGCCCCTGCCTGCCCCTCCGGTGTAACCGCTCTATTGCCATGGAGTCATTTTCTGTTCTTCAGAGCTTTCCTCCGATTCCTGGTCATTCCTCAATCTCCCTGGCTTTCCTCTTTCTCTACAAATCCTCCAAATGCTGATATTTCTAGAAGCCCATCTCTGGATTTCTTCTTATGCCCACACTCTCCCCAGCGGATTATTCTTTTGTGCTAGTGACTTCCAGAGTCACTTCTGAGCAACACACCTGCCCCTCCCCTCCAAGCTGCCTGCTGGGTATGGCCGCTTGGCTGGTCTGCTGGCATGGCTAGGTCTCACCTAATGTCAAACTCCTGGGCTCCAGTGATTCTCCCACCTTAGCCTCCTGAGTAGCTGGGACGACAGGCATGCACTACCATGCCTGGCTAATTTTAAAATTTTTTGTAGAGATGGGGTTTCACTGTGCTGTCCAGGCTGGCCTCAACCTCCCAAAGTGCTGGGATTACAGGCATGAGCCACCACACTAGGGATAGGTTTTGCCTGGGACATCCTTGGGGAGTCTGGGCAACCTCACCTCTTCACATCCCAGTGTTGTCATCTATAGGATGGGAGTGGCAGCTAGAGGAAGAACAGCTAGACTCTGCTGACTTCTGAGAGGAGGATGTGGTCAGATACCCACAAATGAGAACTTGAAAATTAGAGCAACCAAAATAGAGACTCAGCAGCCACGGTTGGAGAAGCCATGGCTGCTGAGAGGCCTGAGTATTGGGGAAGGTGGGCTGGAGGACGGGGAAAGGCTTGGCAGGATCTGGACACAGGGGCAGGAAAGAAGCCAGGGATAGTGCAGTGGCTCAGAAGAGAGGACTTGGCCCAGAGGTGGGCATCAAGAAGGCCGTCTGGGCTGGAGCTAAAGGCATGGGTAGAAGGAGGACCATTGATTAAGAGAGGCCTGAATTATCCCAGGAAATTTTAAAAAGGGGTGGCTTAATCTGGCCCTTAATAGGGGGTTAGCAGAGAGGCTGCCCCACCTCTCCACTGGAGCCATCCCCGTGTGCTTCTGACAGGCCTGTGCCCAGCCTGGCTCAGGAACCAGCCATGGACATAATGCCATGCTTTACATACAGTGCTCCTAAGCCTCGCAGCACTGCACAGCAGCTTCCATTATCATTCCCGTTATGCAGATGGAGTGCTGAGGCCAAGAGAGGTTAAGCAACCTGCTCAAGTTCCCATGGCTAAAAGTGACAGAGCTGAGACTCCAGTCCAGGTCAGTCTGTCCAGAGCCCAGGTGCTAATTCACCCCACTTGGCTGCACCTGGTGTTTCACTTGGCTCCTCTTCCTCAGCAGAGCTGTCTTCTAGGTTTGGATCCACATAGAATTCCAAGTTGAGGCTTTCCAATTTGGAATTCTCCCCCTCATTGCTCCCCTCCTCCAGCCCATGGGTGTTTTGAGGCCATGGTTCATCCCTCCTGGCCCCTACCTCCCATGTCTGTCCCGGCTCCCGGTCAGGCAGGAGAGAGCTGGCTTCTTTGGAGCACCTAATTGTGCCCCCGGGACTTGCATGCTCCACTTTAGTTTCTGGAGACCACGAGCTGTCATAGGTGTTGGTGATAATGGGCATCTCTGTCTGAAGAGTGATGGGTACATCTCTGTCCCTGGCGCCTGGCCAGCATCTGGAAGGACGGAGGCGCTCTTGGAAACGGGAGGACCAGACTGCACCTTCCTTGGCTGGCTCCCAGCTCCCACTGAGAGCAGGCTGGGCTCTCCAGACGTCTCATGACCTCTCCCAGGTCCCGGTGTGGCCCAAAGCGAGCTACTCTGCTGCCTGGGAGTACAGCTGTTTCCGTCCTCTGGGAAAGGGTGCTGTGAGCGAGCGACCTGTTTCGCTCCGCCTGAGGCCCAGTTTCCTCAATTACAAAATGGGAATCACAGTCCCCACCTCACAGGGCCCGGATGAAATGAAATACACCGCTGGAACGGAGTGGGCACAGTGGAGGTCTCCCTCCCTGCCCCCGGCACCCACCTCTGAGCCCGGTGCCTTTGTGGTCTTCCCGTTAGACCCACCTTCCCAGTGTGCTTCAGGAGCTCCCTGGGGCTGTTTGTTGGGAAGGAAAGAGCCCTGGGCTGAGTGCTAGGAAGTCAGGGTTCAAGTGCACCGGGAGGCCTTGGGCAAGCTGATCTCTGAGCCTTAGCTGTCTCCTCTGTCAAGGGGCAGAACCACATCTGCTGCACCTCCCAAAGGCCTGAGCTCTGTTGTCTCCCCGTGAGCTGCTTCAGGATGGGGTTGGGTTTTATTCTTCTTGTATTCCCAGCACTTAGCACGGAGCCTGACATAGGATTTGGAGAAAACGAAAGTGAAGATCAGAGGAAAGAGTGGATTTTTAAGCAATTAAACATGCTAGGGGTTATTTTCAAGGTTGGGTAAGGCAGACAACTCCTGGCCAAACCCTCATTAACTGGGGAAGTGGTCTTCATGCCCTTCCTTCGCGCATGACTCTCCAGAGAACCTGAGCTGCACTGGACCTTCTTTCCCCATGGGGAGCCACGGGCCTGCCTACCTATAGTGGAGCACCGCAAGGCAGTGCGCCTGCCCATCCACACCCCACCCATGACCACTCAGGCCCTGGGTGTCAGGGTCTGAACTAGACAGGGTGCCTCTTTCGGCTTTGGGGTTTCTCTTCTCTCCTTTAGCAGGGAGCTTGATGGGACAGAGGTTGCCAGAGTTGGGGGGGCAGTGCCTGCTGAGATCCCCCACCTCCTCCATTGCCTGCTACCAGGCTCAGCAATCAGGCTGCTCCTCTGGGAGCTGGCAGGAAATGCAGTCGTGAACAAGACACGTTCCCACCTCACAGCCTTAGTGATCCTCCAGGAGCTGAGCTGCTTATACAAGTACCTTTGACACCAGGAAGAAGTGACGCAGTCTCTGCAAGAGGAACACACAGAGCCAGGGAAGAGAATTCTGGGCCTCAGGCTCCCCAGCCGCACAACCTCTGCAGCAACCCTTGCCCTCCTGGACAGAGCCGGGGCTGGCTCAGAGTCCCTGACTTGGCGAGCACTGCACCCCTCGTTGTGGGTAACACAAGGTCCGTCCTTGAGTCCATGGTCAGCATGGACTCGGCCTAGCCCCGCTGAGAGGAGAACTGAGGAAAGGAAATGAGTATTTATTTAGGGACCACTTTGTGCCAGCACATGTGGCCTCTTCAATCCTCATAACATCCCTGTGAGACAGGCACCTGATCCTCGGTTTGTAGCTAAGAAATGATCCCAGGGAAATGAACTCATCTCCCAGGGCTGCAGAGCTGCTAAGTGTCAGGTTGGAAAGCAGCCCTGGCTGTTCTAAAGCCCAAGTTCTCTCATGACCCCACTACTCTTTGTGCCCGCTCGCCTTCAGAGGTAGAACTCTCCAAGCATCTCGGAAGGCTCGGTTCTAAAAGCTGAGAGGCTATCTAGGCCGCATGCGGTGGCTCAGGCCTGTAATCTCAGCCCTTTGGGAGGCTGAGGCAGGTGAATTGCTTGAGCCCAGGAGTTTGAGACCATCCTGGGCAACATAGCGAGACACCTTCTCTACAAAAAAGAGCCGGGCATGGTGGTGCGCCTGTAGTCCCAGCTACTCGTGGGGGTCGAGGCTGCAGTGAGCTGTGATTGCGCCACTGCTCTCCAGCCTGGGTGACAGAGTGAGACCCTGTCTCAAAAAAAAAAAAAAAATGAAAGCTGAGAGGCTATCTTGGGAGATGCAAAGCCACTTTCCAAAGGATGGAAAGAAGTGGAGAGAAACCAGGTCTCCTGATGCCTCTTTCAGGTCCCAGACCTCTTGCCACCTTTGGAGACAGAGGGTCTGGCAAGAGTTGCCGCTGCAGAGGGAGGGTGGGGGCTGGTGACCCTGTGGTCTCTTCCAACCCCGAGGCTGTAAGGTGACCTGCACCGTAGTCCACCCCCTCCCATTACCCAAGTACGGGGCCTGTAGCTATCACCCCAGCTTCCGGGACAAGTCCTGTGGCCCCAGACCCCCAGCCCTCCCTTCCCTGGGGCTTCTCACATTTCTACATGTGGCAGTGTAATGCACCTGCACGCAATGTTTGTATGCATGTTCACAGTGCCGGTTCATGCATGTTTATACATTCATACATGGTGTTCATACACATGGCGCTCACGTGCACCCACATACACATACACAGCCTTTCTGGCATTCTCTGCCACGTCCCTGCACTGGCTGCTGTCACCCATTTCAGCTGGGCCTGAGAGATGGAGACAGGACCCCCACCCCGGTGCTGCCGGCTAGCAGATGCCACAGTGCTGATGTTCTGCTCCATTACTGGGTTGATGGAGCCTCCTTCTGCCTCCGGCCTCCCACCGGTTGCCCACCTCCTCCTTTCCAGGGTGTGAGCGTTGACTGGGGGCCTGGGAGGCAGTGAGCCTGGCGGGGGTGCGGCTGTGTGCGGAGGGCATGGGCCTGGCTTGGGTGGAGATGGGGCTGGAGGCAGGCGGCAGGCTCCTGGACGGACAGCAGGGGGCACCACTAGGTCTCCTCGCCGGGCCACAGGAAGGGAGGAGCCGGGCCTCCAGGCTGGGGAGGAGGCTGCGGTCTCTCCAGCTACTCTCCCGCAGCTTGAGCGGGGGCACCTGCCACCCAGCCCGGGCTCCTGCCCCTGCTCCCTTCCCCCTCCCCGCACACTGGCAACACCCCCTCCCCTTACACCCCCAGTCCACGCCACACACACACCCTACTACACACCACACACACCACACAGACACACACCACACACATACCACACACCACAAACATCACACACCCTACTACATGCCACACACACCACACAGACACACACCACACACACACCCTACTACATGCCACACACACACCACACACATCACACACACACCCTACTACATGCCACACACACCACACAGACACACACCACACACACACCCTACTACATGCCACACACACACCACACACATCACACACACCCCACTACACACCCCACATACTACTAAACACCACACACACCACACACACATCCACACTCTACTACACACCACACAGACACACCGTACACACCTTACTACACACCACACACACCACATGCACACACCACACATACACACCCTACTACACACTACATGCACCACACAACACACACCACACACACACCACACACACCCTACTACACACTGCACACATACCTCACTACACACAACACACAACACATACACATATTACACACACCACAGATGCACTGACACACACATCCCACACAAACTCACTATACCCCCATACCACACATATGTACACACCACACATATGCCACTACCCACCACTACCCACATACCCCCTGACACCCCACTAGAGCCTCCACCCCTAACCCACACCACCCCCTACATCACACACACACACCATATACACACACCCCACTGTCCCCCACACCCTAGAGCCCACATTACACACTACACATACAGCACACACATCCTACACACACACACCACCACGTATACCCCTACCCACCACACACGTACACACACCACATATGCACACTCACATCACACACACACCACCACACTCACGCACTCCTATTAAAAGGCTTTTGCTTTCGTGCCAAACCTCTAAACCCATCCCTTAGAGGGGCGGTGATCGGCAGAGATAGTATGTTCAAACCTTGTAACATTTAGTCAGAAAGAAAATGCATCAATTTGTAATGGTTTGTAGCTGAAATTGAAGATGTGCATCTGGCATGAAAGATATCGGGACTGTGCTGGAAGGTGCTGTGTGCCTCACATGAGGCAGAGCTGCTCACACTGTGGCTGGAGGATCCATTGATTGTGTGGGTTAATCACTGCTAAGCCACAGAGAGCTCCCCTTTCCCCTGGTGAGCGCTTCCCCAGCTGACAGTTGCCCACGCGCTCTGCAGAAAGCAGTGCCTCTCTTGGGAGCACGACCAGGGCAGACCCCCACGGTCCTACCCGTCCTCCCTCACACTCAGAGCATGCGCACAACAGACCTCCTGGGGCCCACGGGTGCACCCCCACACACACACACTTTCCGTATCCTACACCAGGCAGCCCAGGGCCCACTGGTCCCCAAGCCTCCATCTGTCCCCACTCAATCACTCATTCGGGGTCCCCCACCCTTCCTGGCGTGCTCCCAAGCATCTTGACACTCAACCAATGGAAGACCCTCTCCTCCGCCCCAGGACAGCTGCCTGTGGGTTTGGGAGATGTTGTGGGGTGCTGGGGAGTGGGGAACCCTGGAGGCCCAAGATGCTGAGTCTCTGGAGAAGGAGGTGGGAAGGCAGCCTGTCTGGGGGCCAGAGGCAGCCCCCTGGGCTGAGAGCAGCTGGGGGCCCCAGCAGGCAGCTCAGGGCTGGCCAGGCAGCTGGACTGTGACTCAGCAGCTTCTCCGCCTTGGCTAGAGTGCGCCGTGCTGCAGTATTAACTCCCTCTCCAGGGAGCCTGGACTCCAGCTTCTCTCCCACGGGGATGGCGGGCTCCTCTGTGCTGTTTCAAGTTGATCCTGGCTGGGGTGGCAGAGCGGAGGGTGTGCTGAGGGGCCTGCCTGGCCAGGGCATCCCTCTGCCCCCTCACCACCGCTACCCCTACACCCTACAAGAGTTAGCCAAGGATCAAATGGAGCCAGGGCTTGGTGGGGTGGCCTGAGGAGCTACAAAGGCCTGGAATCCAGGAATTGACAACTCAGGCAGTTCTGCCACCATTTAGTGGTGTTGTTTGTGTGATGGAGGTAAGCCACCTCCCTTTGGGGCCTCGATTTCTTTGTTTTCGAAAAGAGGCTGTGGACTGCATTGTCTGTAAGAGTCCTTCAGCCCTCACAGGCTGGGTTTTATTAATATTTGTCTGTGATTTAAGGGTATCCATGCCTGGGGTCTAGGTTCAGAGAGAAATAATCCGAGGCAGGCGTGAGGTGCTGCAGATTTGCAGAGCCTTACTCAGGAAACTTCACCTTTGATCATGGAAGCAGTCCTTAAGGCAGGGAGGGCAGGGATGCTTAACCCTCACACACAGCTGCACAAGCGCAGGGAGGCTAACAGGCCAGCCCAAGATTGATGCAGGAAGGGCTCAATCCTCAGCCATTGGATTCTGAGGTGCCCATCAGGTGGCCTGGGATTGCTGATCTCAGCATAGATGCAAGAGAAGGAAAATGAGTGTTGCCGCAGCAGGAGAGATTGAAGTTAGACACTAGAAGGACGTTCCAACTCTCAGGAACCTGGGAGTTGTTAGCTTCCCCAGGGCCAGTCAAGAACAGACTCTGCTTCTATGTGTGCAGAATGACAACCTTGCTCCAAAGTGGAGGTGTGCGTGGACTGACCAAGAAGGCTCATCAGACCTCGGTACACAAGGAACTCAAAGAAATGGGTAATTTATTTTCAGAATGAGCTAGAAAATTAATTCATTAACACTTTATCCTCAGCCTCCCAGGACCAAATGTTGGACTGAAGCACTGGTGCAAAACATAAAGACAAACATTTCTCCTTAAGTATTGATCTTTTTAGCCTACGAGCTTCGGCGACAGGTGTCTTGCTGGTTAACCTATTTCCATCTCATTACTTTGGCTTCTGCAAATACAATGCCGGGAAAGATTAAATACTGTAAGCTGTATCCAGTCAGCTCTCCATTATCTGCATTAATCGAGGCCAGTACTGAGTGGGATAATCCACAGAAGTGCCTAGTCCCCAGATCATATTTAATTGATTTGGGGTGGCAGTTGATGGTGAGTGTGTGTACATGTGTGCACACACACACACATATGCTTTTGGTGAGGGTGAGGATCGAACTTACTCATCTTTGATGTGGCATCAGGATCCCATTTTGGAGGCAGTCTCATTTGGGGGCACACCAAGGGAATCCCAGAAGCCTGCTAGAGGAGACAACAGGGCTTCTAGTCTCCCGACTTTTTGTAGGGAAGAAGAGGCAAAGTGAGAGTCCAGGTGTCCTCTGAGGGTGAGGGGGGCAGGTCCTGGTGGCATTCTCCCTGCAGCATGCCTCCCACCTGGAGCAGGTCAGGCGATTTCCGGGTGAGCTACACAAACCCACTCATTTGTTCTCTCTTTTGGCCGGGCGCAGTGGCTCATGCCTATAATCCCAGCACTTTGGGAGGTCAAGGCGGCAAGATCGCATGAGGCCAGGAGTTCAAGACCAGCCTGAGCAACATAGTGGTACCCTGTCTCTACAAAAAATTTTAAAACTAGCCAGGCATGGTGATGCATGTGTGTGGTCCTAGCTCCTTGGGAGGCTGAGGTGGGAGGATTGCTTGGGCCCAGGAGTTTGAAGGCTGCAGTGAGCTATGATCACGCCTCTGTATTCCAGCCTGAGCAAGGGAGTGAGACGCTGTCTGTAAAAAATAAAATAAAATTAAATAAATTTAAAAACACACAAACCCCCCTCGTTTGTTTTCTCCTTCTCAAGGCTGAGGATCCAGCTCCAGGGTTCTGAAGTACCAGAGGGTGGAAGAGACAGGCAGATTTTCATGGGCTTCAAAATTTTAAAGATACAGAAAGATACCCAGTGAAATATTTTCCAGCTCCTGCTTTCCCAACTCTGCTCCCCAAAAGCAACTACAGCTAATGTCATCGATTCCTTATGCACTTTTCCAGAGCCGTGCTGTGAATATAGAAGCATACAAGCATACATATGCTTCTCCCCCACCCTTTTACACAGGTATCTTGCTCACTCCCCTGCACACTGATTCTTCCACTATCTCCCTTGGAGATCATTCCCTGTTCACCCACACAGAGCAAAGCTCCAGGGCATCTGGGTCTTCTGTGATTCTCCCACGTGGGCTGACCATGGGCAGAGTAAAGACCCTCAAAGCAGAACATCCCAGAACTACTGAGAGTGTGAGGGTGAGTGTGTGAGGTCGTCTCACCCCACCTTCCTCCTCCAGCCTAGCTCCCCTTCCCTCCTACTCAACTTGATTGTCAATCAAGTCTCTCTTTAGTTTAGGTACAAGAACTGTGGCTGAGCTCTGAGCACATCTGGGCATTTGGAGTTAAGGAAAGAGAGAGCCTCTAGACATGCTGTTTCTGCTTGTTATAAGAGGGCTCATAATAGGGGGAGAGATGGTGGCCCCTTCCCCCTGCACTCCCCATCCTGGTGTATCCCTAGGCTCTCTGTTGAGAGCATTCTTTTTGATACTCACCTGAAGTCCTGCTTTCTGCCCTGACAGCTCTCTACATGATAGAAAGAAAAGGATAAGATAAAGGATAAGCCAACCAGGTTGTCACCTGCTCCCCAACTCCTCACCCAACCCAGGCCAAATGTGGCTGTTCTCCCCAGCAAAGGGGGCCAGAGGCAGTTAACTAGCACTCCGAGACCCAGGCATGTTCTAGGGTCTGTGCTGGGATATGCATGCCAAGCATGGTTCCTCCTGGACCCATTGCTCCCAGCCTTGGGGCCACTTGCAGAGGCCTGAGTGCTTGGGACTGACACTGTCACAGGGGCCAAGTGGCCATCCTGGGCAGACAGAAGGACAGTGGCCAGTGGACCAGGGAGAGAAGGGAATTCCTGCGTGGATTCTGTTTAGTGACCTTGCTTCTGGTCCACCCCTGCTTCTCCAGCATCATTTCCCACTATTGGAGACTCCCCCTTCCTGAGCTTTCCCTGAGGACTGGGCCCCCTACCTTGCTCCTGAGCAGGAGACCTGGCCTCAGTCAAATTTAGACCCGGTTCTTTATTCTGATCAACTGTGTGACCTTGGGCAGGTCACTTACGACCTGTCTGAGCAGAATTTGCCTTGTCTTTGAAATGATGCTGGTAATTGTGCCCTCCTCCCAGGTGGGTTAGATGAGAACATCTGTGTGCTCACCAAACAGAGTTATGGTGATTGAACCTGTTGTTGCCACCAATGTCCTCCTGCCTGCCCTGCCTTGATGCCCTCCAGGTCCGCAGTGCCTCTGAGGCTTATTTTACTTCCAGCAACTGGGCTTGGACTTTGACCTCTCTGGCAAGAATTTCTGAATTACTTAGAACCTCATTTTTTCAAAGTGTGGTGCCCAGATCACCTGCATGAGAGGAAATGGGGGTGCTTGTTACCATGCAGATCCCTGGGCACATTCCAGTCCACTGAGTTTTCTGAGTTAGGCTCTGGGAGACAGGTGCGATGGCAGAGGGTCTACATTTTAACAAACTCCCCAGGGGGGCTTGATGCAGGCCAAGCCTGAGAGACCCTTCCTCAGTCCCTTCCCTTGTGTGTCTTCTCCCTTGTTGGGGCCTCCCAGGCCCCTTCCTCTTCAGACCTTGACCTGTGGCCCAGCAGGCTGGGAGCAGGCATCTCTCCACACCCCCAGCCTCCCTCCCCGGACAGCTGCAGCCTTCACCTAATGGTGCCATTTCATGCTTTCCTGCTCGGGTGATTCTGACCAGACAGAGGAGTTCACTCTGTCCTGGGAGCCCTGGCACCCAGATCCATTTATCGTCCTTGAGTCTTCCAGCTGGCTGCTCTCCCAGGGACTGCAGCTCCCAGCCATGCGGGAGGCGAGGCAGCTGTGAGTTCCCGATAATTTGGCTCTCCCTCACACCGTTCTCACCGCCATTCCTCCACAGCCATGGGAGCCCTGCCTCCTAGAGTGGGGGAAATAGTCCTGGAGGCGGAGGAGGCTGCTGGGCTGTGGAAGGAAGCACTGGACTGGGGGTCCAGGGATTTAGATTCTTCCTCCACCAAATGCCTGTGCGACCCTGGACAACTGGCTTCACTTCTCCGGGCCTCCAGGAGTCTTGGGGGTGGCATGTGGGGTATGAAAGGGCTCCTGCTGTTTTCCTTCTTTCTACATTTTTTTTTCTCTGACTCTACAAGGGACAGCAGAGCCAGGTGATAGGGGGTCACATCAGAAGGAGAGACAGCCGAGGGAATCTTGGTCTCTCAGCTACTGGCATGTCTCCCAGGGAAAATGGAAATGCAACCCAAGGGCAGCCTGGGAAAAATAAGCAGTGGTTCTCTACATGCTGGGTAGACGTGGGCTGTGGGAAGGACATGTGGTCTCCACCCATGCAACGTCTCATTTAATCCCAGCCTCAACTCGAGGGTTTAGGAATAAAAGCTGCATTCCAATAGTTTAGAAGTCTGACACTCAGAGAGGTGAAAGAAACCACATGAGGTGAAATGGTTCATAACGGGGTATGTCTGACTCTCTATAGTCCTAGGCCTGCTGCAAGAGGAGAGGAAGGGTGGGCAGTTCCCAAAGCTGTGCGCAATGCCCCTACCTCCCATGCCAGCTTTGGGGTCTCACTGTACACACACACACACACACACACACACACACACACACACACTCTCACACCAGGCCTTGGTTCCTTCCCAATCTATGCTTGAGTGGGTGCCCCTGGATACAGCCTGATGACGACTGAGTCTTAACATGGTTTGTGGAAAGAGCCCCGGGCCCAGAGCCAGCCTGTACTGCACGGGGGAACCCTAGGAAGGCCACTTCCCCACAGAATTCAGTGTCTTCTGTGAAATGACATAATGTGACCCAATCTCAAGTCTTTCCTGCTTGATCATTTACAGACCCACATATTTATTGAATGTGGGCAGATTACCTGAGGTCAGGAGTTCGAGACCAGCCTGGCCAACATGGTGAAACCCCTTCTGTACAAAACTACAGCAAATTAGCTGGGCGTGGTGGTGGGCAACTGTAATCCCAGCTACTTGGGAGACCGAGGCAGGAGAATCGCTTGAACCCGGGAGACAGAGGTTGCAGTGAGCCAAGATCATGCCACTGTACTCCAGCCTGGCAGACAGCGAGACTCCGTCTCAACAACAACAACAACAAATGTGTAAACAAGTGAGCGTCCCAACAAAATTTTACTTACAAAAATTAGGTGGGGGACTGGATTTAGCCCCTGGACTGCTGTTGGCCAACACCTGCACTAGAGCAGCAGCAGTGAGCAAGACAAATGAGGTGGCTGCTTATACAGTCACAAGCTGCATGAGTACCATGGGGATGAGAATGGAGAGCCGGGAAAGTAGGTGGTTGGGGCCTTGATGCTGGGTAGGGGAGGAGGGAGCCATGGGTGTGTGGAGGAAGGTGCACTTGGAAGTGCTGTTTGAGCTGAGAAAGATGTGTAGACTGTATTAGTCTGATCTTGCACTGCTATAAAGAAACACCTAAGACTGGGTAATTTATGAAGAAAGGAGGTTTGGTTGGTTCGAAGTTCCACAGGCTGTACAGGAAGCATGATGCTGGCATCTGCTCGGCTTCTGGAGAGGCCTCAGGAAACTTACAATCATGGCGGAAGGTGAAGAGGGAGCCAGCACTTCACATGGCCAGAGCAGGAGGAAGAGGCAGGGGAGTGGGGGTTGGAGGGTGCTACACACTTTTAAATGACCAGTCTCATGAGAACTCACTATCACTAGATCTGACCCTGTGATCCAATCACCTCCCACGAGGCCTCACCTCCAACATCAGGGATTACCATTTGACACGAGATTTGGGCAGGGACACAGATCCAAACTGTATCATAGGATTTAGCTCCATGAAGGGGGCACAGCATGTGCAAAGGCCCCGAGGAGGGTAATACAGTGTATTAGGGGAAACAAAAGAAGGAGTATGGGCTGGTGTTAGCAACCCAGGGAGGGAAAGCCGAGGTGCTGCTGGATGGAGAGCATGAGGGGCTGTAGGCGACGCTAGGGCTTTTGGCCTGTCTCCCTGGGATGGCTTTTCATTACGGCGACATGACCGGCTTTGCATTTTATGAAGATTGCCTTGGTGGCAAATACGGAACTGACTGGAGGTGAGCAAGAGGAGACCCAGATCAGGCGGCTATGTCGGGGGCCAGTTGACCTGTGGGCCTGGAGCTCAGAAGTGGCTTGAATCTGACCGAAGAGGATGGCACTGATGCCAGGGTGTGGAAGGAACCACTCAGGGAGACACCATGGCTGAGAAGGGAAGGACCCCAAGGGCAAGCCTGAGGCAACCGAAGGAGGAGTAGTCACAGTTATGATGAAAGCAGGCAGCGGCCAGCTGGTGACCACAGCTCAGGGGTCCAGCTCAAGGAAAATGAAAATGTGGCCTGGGTTTAGTGACCTTGTGTTCATCATCCATGACTTTACAAAGAACTACTTCAGCAGAGGGATGGGGCAGAAGCCACAACGGAGGGGCTGATGAGTGAGGCGGACGTGATGAAATGGGGACCATGTGTTGCGTGTATGTGTGTGTGTGTGCACGTGTGTGTATGTGTGTGCATGTGTGTATGTGTGTGCGCAAGTGTGTGTGTGTGTGTGTGGTCACAAAGGGAAAGGGAGAACAAGGCAGCAGGTGGAGCTCATTTTTGGTGGGTGATGTGATAAACTGGACTGGTCCAGCCTCAGCCGAGGGAAGGGGGAAATGTTAGGCACAAGAAAGGGCAGGGATGGCAAAGACTTCCTGAGAAGTCAGGAGGGATCCTGTGCAGGAGCGGGAACTGGCTTAACCAGAGGAAAAGCCCTCAACTGAGAAGGGGTCAGGAGGAAAGGTCTGTGGTTTGACCCGAGGCTGGGACATTTTGAGAGATTTCTCACTTTTATTTTTCTTTAAAACAACAGGAAAGAGACAGGAGGGGTGTGAGGGAGCCACAGGCCTGCGGAGACTGGAGGAGGAGGCAAAGCTGGTGGGGAGGCGTTTCCTGCAGTTTCTGTGCAGTGCAGAGGGCCTGGATGATCCTGGGGACTGATGGGGCACGGGCTGCCCTCGTACTGTGGGGAGACTCTCACCAGGGGGCTCAGCAGTCAGGGGTAGCCATGGAGAAGGAGAAAGCTGTCAGTGGGATTTCTCCAGGGCTGGCGCTTTGCCAGGTGAATACCACAAAAATGCCAAGGGAGTGCAGGGAATTGTGAACAAGTTGTAGGCACCACAGACCATGGTGGGAAAAGAAGACTAGAGGGGCTGATGGTGGCCCGGGAAGGTCAGGGAGATTTCTCCAGGAACAGCATTCTAGGCTGAGGGAGAGTAAGTGCCGAGGCTGTGGGCTGGGGGTCTGTTTGGTGGGTTTGTGGCTGGTAGCAAGAGGCCAGCATGGCAGGAACTGAGTGACTGAGAGCAGGGACAGGAGATGCCTGTGGGAGCCAGCCAGGGGCCAGGCCAGGCAGGGATCTTATTCTAAATGTGACAAGATGCCACAGGAGGGTTTTAAATAGATCAGTCTGGCTGCAGTGTGGAGATCAGGCTGAGTGGAGGGGAGTGGAAGCTTCCAGATTGGAGGCTACTGTGGTACTCCAGGTGGAGGGTGGAAAGCGGCCAGATTTGGAAGGCACTGTGGGTTGTTGATGAGTTTGCAGACACCTGGGATGTGGGGGGTGACCCCACATGGATGGGAAGGATGACCCCAAGGCTTCTGGTCTCAGCACCTGGTGCCATGTACTGGGTGCATAACTGAGAGGTGGGCCCTGAATCCACCCCATCCACTCTCTGGGCCCACTGCCCATGCCTGCCTTTGACCGAGAGCCTCCTTCTCAGGCATCTTTTATTCCCTTGCTGTCTGGGCAGCTATAGCCTCCTGGTTTTTTTGGAGTCTGGAAAAGCCTCGAATCTGCTGCTGCTGCTTCATGGACTCCCCACATTCCCTCTCTGCAGCTCTAAGTCATCTTCCTCTGGCAGGTTCCCCGGGAACACTGTCTGTCTTTCATAAGAGCTCGGGGATGACATTTGTTATTGGCTGTTTTCAACTCTTTCCCCCCTTTCCTCTGGAGTTATGCTCCATCCTAGTCTTTTTACTTATGACAGCCAAAGTGAAACTTTCAAAATATGCATTTGTACATGTTACCCCTGCCCCCACCCTAAAAGGCCTCCCACAGCTTCTCATTCCTCTTTGCGAAGGACAAAACTCCTTGACGCAGCCTATGGTGCCCCTGATTCTGCCCTGCCCGGCCTGCCAGCCTCACCCTGAACCATGCTCCATCCACTCCAGCTGCCCTGGCCTTCCCTCAGGCTTTGGACTCACCACACTGCATCCCACCTCTGGGCCTTTGCATAGGCTGTGCTCTCTGCCTAGGCTGCCCTTTCATCTCCTCTTTACCTGGATAAATACCCACCCTTCGGGTCTCAGTTCAATCATCAATTTTTCAAGAAAGCACTTTTGCTTTCCCAGATTAGTTCAGGTATGCCCCTTTATAAATGCTCACCACCACCAGATGGCTCTCCTTTCTTGCACTTCTCATAATTACAATTTCATATGCACTTATGTGAAGTGCATGGTAAATTCCATGAGGGAAGCAGGATATGAGCTCAGTAAATACTTGAGTGAGTGAATGAATGAATGAATGAATGAATGAATGAATGTGTCTCTCACATCTGTTCTCTCTACTCCATTCCTTACCTTCCCATCCTAGTGCAGGTCTTTACCATTTCTGGTCTGTGGAACCAGCCTCCCTGCTCCACTCCCCATGGAGCTAACTTCACAAACCCCACTTATAACTGCTCAGCACCCTTCAGTGGTTCCTGCTGGGTATAGAGGGAAGTCTAATCTCCTTTTCTTGGACTCCAACACTCCTGAAATGCAGTTCTCCCCCTTCATTCCTGGCCTGCAGGTTCCCTGAACCTCTGGAGCATTAAACATCTTCATTCCTGGCTGGTTCATTTCACTCCAAGCAGCTTTACTTTGCTACAGGACCATTTCTGGATGGTCAGTCTTGGAGAGAAAGCCCGCATCCACCATGAACCTTGGGTCCCTCTACAGTGCCAGGGCCACTTCCAGGTGCCTCAGATAAGGTTCAATGAACACTTCTCAGATTCACATCCAACCCACATTTATTGAATGCCCTCTATGTGCCAGACACAACCAAATTTATTTTTAAATTTTTCACAGCAGTTCTGAAAATTAGGTATTATTTTCCACAATTGTATATTGAAGAAATCAAGTTTCACAAAGGGATTTGTTTGGAGTCAAATGACAAGTGGTTGGCATTCTTGGGACTACATTCAGCCTCTTCCCGCAGCCCGTGCTGCCTCCTGCCCACCCTGCAGTGGAGAGTGAGAGGGTGGGGTGCTGTAGGGACCGTGGACCGGCTGTGGGCAGCTGTCTGCAGAAAGGGGAGGAGGACTGCCAATCCAGGGGCAAGGGTAGAATGGAGGAGCTAGGCTCAACCTGATAAATGGCATCTACAAAAAGCCCACAGCTAACAGCTAACATTATGTTAAGTGAAGAAAGATTGAAAGATTTTCCCCCAAAGATCAGGAAAAAGACAAGAATTCCCAATGTCACCACTTCTGTTCAACAGTGGACTGGAAGTTCTAGTCACGGCAATTAGGGAAGAAAAAGAAAATGGAAAACTGTCTTCATTTGCATGATTCTATATCTAGAAAATCCTAAGGAATCCACCAACACACGCACACGCACACACACACAAATTATTAGAACAAATGATTTCAGGCTGAACGCAGTGGCTCATACCTATAATCCCAGCACTTCGGGAGGTGGAGGCAGGCGGATCACCTGAGGTCAGGAGTTCAAGACCAGCCTGGCCAATATGGTGGAACCCCATCTCTACTAAAAATACAAAAATTAGCCCTGCATGGTGGCACATGCCTATAATCCCAGCTACTAGAGAGGCTGAGGCATGAGAATTGCTAGAGCCCAGGAGGCAGAGGTTGCAGTGAGCTGAGATTGCACCACTGTTCTCCAGCCTGGGCGATAGAGTGAGACTCTGTCTGAAAAAAAAAAAAAAAAAAAAAAAAAAGAACCAATGAGTTCAGCAATATGGCAGGGTACAAGACTGAGATACAAAAATCTATTATATTTCTATACACTAGCAATGAACAATCTGAAAGTGAAATTAAGAAAACAGTTCCACTTATAATGACATCAAAAAGAGTAAGATACCTAGGAACAAAAGAAGTGCAAGATTTGTAGTTGAAAACTACAAAACAATCTTGAAGGAAATTAAAGGTCTAAATAAGTGGGAAAATAGTGGAAAACTCAACATTGTTGATATGATCCCTGAGCTGATCTACAGATTCAACACAATGCCTATCAAAATTCCAGCTATTTTGTAGAAATTAACAAGCTGGTCCTAAAATTCATATGGAAATGCAAGGAACCCAGAATAGCCAAAACATCCTGATTAAAGAAGAACAGGCCTGGTGCAGTGGTTCATGCCTGTAGTACCAGCATTTTGGGAGGCCAAGGCGGGTGGATTGCATGAGCCCAGGAGTTCAAGTCCAGCCTGGGCAGCATGGTGAAACCCCTTCTCTACAAAAATACAAAAATTAGCCAGTTGTGGTGGCATGGGGCTGTAGTCCTAGCTACTCAGAAGGCTGAGGTTGGAGGATCAATTGAGCCCGGGAGGTCAAGGCTGCAGTGAGCCATGTTCACGCCATGTACTCCAGCCTGGGTGACAGAGTGAGACCTTGGCTCAAAAACAGACAAACAAAAAACAAAGTTGGAAGACCCATTCTGCCTGATTTCAAAACTTACTACAAAGCTACAGTAATCAAGACAGTATGGTCAATAGTAGGCAGGTGCTATTAAAAAAATAATAAAAAATAAAACCAGTGTGGTATTGCCATGAGGTTAGACATACAGATAGAATTGAGAGTCCAGAAATAAACCCTCATATTTGTGGTCAGTTGCTATTTTACAAGGGAATAAGACAATTGGATGGAGGACAGAATAGTCTTTTCAACAAATGTTATACACCAAATGGATATCCACATACAAACGAATGAATGTGAACGCCTTCCTTATGCCATACTCAAAGTGGATTGTAGAAACATAGTGAAACCTAATTTCTAGAAGAAAATTAAAAATTAGCCAGGTGTAATGGCACATAGCTGTAGTCTAGCTACTCGGGAGGCTGAGGCTGGAGGATCACTTGAGCTCAGGAGGCCATGGCTGCAGTGAGCCATGATTGTGCCACCGCACTTCAGCCTGGGTGACAGAGTGAGACCGTGTCTTAAAAAATAAGTGGATTGTAGACTTGAATGTGAGACTGAAAACTATACAACTCCCATAAGAAAACAAAGGAGTAAATCTTAGTGCCCTTAGGTTTAGTGATGGTTTCTTGGATATAGCACCAAAAATATGGCAACAAAAGAAATAGCTAAATTGGACATCATCAAAATTGAAAACTTTTTTGCTTCAAAGGACACCATTAAAAGCTGAAAATATGACCGGGCACAGTGGCTCATGCCTGTAATCCCAGCACTCTGGGAGGCCAAGGAGGCCAGATCAACTGAGGTCAGGAGTTTGGGACCAGGCTGGCCAACATGGTGAAACCCCGTCTCTACTAAAAATACAAAAATTAGCCAGGCATGTTGGTGAGCGCCTATAATAATCCCAGCTACTTGGGAGGCTGAGGCAGGAGAATCACTTGAACCTGGGAAGCAGAGGTTGCAGTGAACTGAGATTGTGCCATTGCACTCCAGCCTGGGCAACAAGAGTGAAACTCCATCTCAAAAACAAATAACAAAAAAACACCACACACACAAAATGAAAATATAACCCTAGAATGGGAGAAAATATTTGCAAATTATATGTTCAACAAGGAACTGGTATGCAGAATATATACAAATTCTTACAACTCAATAATAAAAAGACAAAATATTTTAAGATGACCAAAGGATTTGAATAGGTATTTCTCTATGGAAGACACACAAATGGCCCTTAAGCACATGAAAAGATATGCAACATCATTAGACATCAGGGAAATGCAAATCAAAACTACAATGAAATGCCACTTCACCTCCACCAGGATCACGGTAAACAAAAAGACATAATAGCAAATGTCCTTTTGGCTTAGGATTGACTTGGCAATGTGGGCTCTTTTTTGGTTCCATATGAACTTTAAAGTAGTTTTTTCCAATTCTGTGAAGAAAGTCATTGGTAGCTTGATGGGGATGGCATTGAATCTATAAATTACCTTGGGCAGTGTGGCCATTTTCATGATATTGATTTTTCCTACCCATGAGCGTGGAATGTTCTTCCATTTGTTTGTATCCTCTTTTATTTCATTGAGCAGTGGTTTGCAGTTCTCCTTGAAGAGGTCCTTCATGTCCCATGTAAGTTGGATTCCTAGGTATTTTATTCTCTTTGAAGCAATTGTGAATGGGAGTTCACTCATGATTTGGTTCTCTGTCTGTCTGTTATTAGCGTATAAGAATGCTTGTGATTTTTGCACATTGATTTTGTATACTGAGACTTTGCTGAAGTTGCCTATCAGCTTAAGGAGATTTTGGGCTAAGACAATGGGGTTTTCTGGATATACAATCATGTCATCTGCAAACAGGGACAATTTGACTTCCTCTTTTCTGAATTGAATACCCTTTATTTCCTTCTCCTGCCTGATTGCCCTGGCCAGAACTTCCAACCCTATGTTGAATAGGAGTGGTGAGAGAGGGCATCCCTGTCTTGTGCCAGTTTTCAAAGGGAATGCTTCCAGTTTTTGCCCATTCAGTATGATATTGGCTGTGGGTTTGTCATAGATAGCAAAGCTGGAGGCATCATGCTACCTGACTTCAAACAATACTACAAGGCTACAGTAACCAAAACAGCATGGTACTGGTACCAAAACAGACATATAGACCACTGGAACAGAACAGAGCCCTCAGAAATAATGCCACATGTCTACAACCATCTGATCTTTGACAAACCTGACAAAAACAAGAAATGGGGAAACGATTCCCTATTTAATAAATGGTGCTGGGAAAACTGGCTAGCCATATGTAGAAAGCTGAAACTGGATCCCTTCCTTACACCTTATACAAAAATTAATTCAAGATGGATTAAAGACTTAAATGTTAGACCTAAAACCATAAAAACCCTAGAAGAAAGCCTAGGCAATACCATTCGGGACATAGGCATGGACAAGGGCTTCATATCTAAAACACCAAAAGCAATGGCAACAAAAGCCAAAATTGACAAATGGGATCTAATTAAACTAAAGAGCTTCTGCACAGCAAAACAAACTACAGGATGGGAGAAAATTTTTGCAACCTACTCATCTGACAAAGGGCTCATATACAGAATCTACAATGAACTCAAACAAATTTACAAGAGAAAAACAAACAACCCCATCAAAAAGTGGGCAAAGGATATGAACAGACACTTCTCAAAAGAAAACATTTATGCAGCCAAAAGACACATGAAAAAATGCCATCATCACTGGCCATCAGAGAAATGCAAATCAAAACCACAATGAGATACCATCTCACACCAGTTAGAATGGCAATCATTAAAAAGTCAGGAAACAACAGGTGCTGGAGAGGATGTGGAGAAATAGGAACACTTTTGTACTGTTGATGGGACTGTAAACTAGTTCAACCATTGTGGAAGTCAGTGTGGCGATTCCTCAGGGATCTAGAACTAGAAATACCATTTGACCCAGCCATCCCATTACTGGGTATATACCCAAAGGATTATAAGTCATGCTGCTATAAAGACACATGCACACGTATATTTATTGCAGCACTATTCACAATAGCAAAGACTTGGAACCAAGCCAAATGTCCAGCAATGATAAGACTGGATTAAGAAAATGTGGCACATATACACCATGGAATACTATGCAGCCATAAAAAATGATGAGTTCATATTCTTTGTAGGGACATGGATGAAGCTGGAAACCATCATTCTCAGCAAACTATTGCAAGGACAAAAAACCAAGCACCACATGTTCTCACTCATAGGTGGGAATTGAACAATGAGAACACATGGACACAGGAAGGGGAACATCACACACTGGGGCCTGTTGTGGGGTGGGGGGAGGGGGGAAGGATAGCATTAGGAGATATACTTACTGTTAAATGATGAGTTAATGGGTGCAGCACACCAACATGGCACATGTATACATATGTAACTAACCTGCACGTTGTGCACATGTACCCTAAAACTTAAAGTATAATTAAAAAAAAAAAGAAGTGTTGTCTGGGATGTGGAAAACTTGGAACCCTCATACATGGCTGGTGGGAACATAAATTGGTGCTGGCACCTTAAAATGTCAAACATAGTTATGACCCAGCAATTCCATACCTACGTATATACCCAAGAGAAATGAAAACGTATGTCCATGCAAAAACATACATGGATGTTCACAGCAGCATTATTCATAATACCCCACAAGTGGGATATTATTAGCCATATTTAGTTATAAAATAGCCCAAAGTGGAAATAACCCAAATGTTTATAAATTGATGAACGGATAAATATAAAATGTGTTCTAGGCAAGGTGCGGTGGCTCATGCCTGTAATGCCAAAATTTCGGAGGCTGAAGTGGGAGGATTGCTTGAGGCCAGGAGCTTGAGACCAGCCTGGGCAATATAGGGAGACCCCATATCTACAAAAAATTAAAAAATTAGCCTGGTGTGATGGCATGCACCTGTAGTCCCAGCTACTCAGGAAGCTGCGGTGGGATGATCACTTGAGCCCTGGAGGTGGAGGCTGTAGTAAGCCATGGTTGCACCACTGCACTCCAGCTGTGCGACAGAGTGAGACCCTGTCTCAAAAAAAAAAAAAAGTGTTCTACCTACACCATGGAATATTATGTGGCAATAAAAAGGGAATGAGATACTGATACATGCTACAACATGGATGAACCTTGAAAACATCATACTAAATGAAAGAAGCCAGTCACAAAGACCACATATTTTATAATTCCATTGATAGGAAATGTTTAGGATAGACAAATCTATAGAGTCAGAAAGTAGATTAGTGGTTGCTGGAGCTGGGAAGAGGATGGGAACGAAAAGTGACTGCTAATGGGACTGGGTTTCTTTTTGAGGTCGCAAAAATGTTCTACTTAGGTTATGCAAATTGTTCCACAATTCTGTGAATACAATAAAATGCACTGAACTGTATACTTTAATGGGTGACTTATATATGAATTACATCTCAATAAAGCTGTTTTTTGAAAAAAAGGTCACAGAGCCCTTAACAGTTTTGTAGAAGTGAGGGGAGATGGACATGGCGGAAGGCCCTGGACACATATTTATCCCCTTGTGTGGCTACTTGCAGTTCCCGCCAAACTGCACCCATCTCTTTGTCCCCAGAGGTGAAGTCCAGTGGACCTTGGTTTTTCACTTCAAGACCAGTTTTGGGGTCAAGGCTATTTCAACATGGCAGGTAGTAAGAGTTTAATAAATGCTTGGTGAATGAACCTACATTGCATCAATGTGCAGGTCACCAAAAGTACTTAAGGCTGGAGCAGTCTCCAGGGCTGGGGAGGGGATCTCAGCAGGTTTTGAAAGGAAGGGACAGAACCTAAGAGCTTCTAAAATGTTCCTTCAGAAGAACCCTGAGTCCAGAGGAGAGTTAACACATCCCTAACATGCAGTAAGAAAAGTCTCACATTTTTTCTTTAAATTCTTGTGCTGTATGCATCCTACTCTATATTTCCAGCTTGTTTTAATTTAAAAATACTGTAAATTGCCATTCAGTAAAACGGATGCTTCAGGGAGTTGTGCTGTTTATTCCTGCATCCTGGAATACCTGTGGGTGTATGCTGCTATGTTGCCTCAGAGGACCTCAATCAACAAATACCCTGAGTGCCCACTGTGTGCTTGGCAGGAGGGGTGCTGTTGCCAACACAGGATCTTCCCTCATAGGACTTTCAGTTGAGAAATGAGTGCATAGCCCCGAGGAGCAAAAAGAGCTCGGTGGAGAGGACAGAATTATGGGGGGGCAGAGTTTGGAAGCTCGTAAGAACATTGCCTTAAATGAAGACCAACATATATGCTCAGTGTTTTACTAGCAAAAAGTTGAAAACTGCCTAAATGTCTAATAGTGGAATGGCTAAACAAATTATGGTGTTACCATGTAGTACGATATTCTGTAGCTATTTAATAATACAAAACAATAAAGGAAAAGGCTTATGATGAAATTTTATGTAAAAAATCTTCAAAAAAACTATGCATAGCATGGCCTCAACATGTAAAACATACTCAGAAAAAATACCAGCATAGAATGCCCCAAATGCTAGTTGACTTTGGAGGGTAGAATTATGGGGGGATTTCTCTCTCTCCCCAAATTTTCTACAGTAAGTCTGGGTTATGTTATTAATAAACATCACATCTTTGATGCAGGAAGGCTAATGTGCAGCTGCATGTGGGGGCAGGGCTAGAGATGAACTTGGAGTAGGGGCTACAGAGTGGACCCGGGAGGAAGGGCTAGAGATGGAGATGTGGGTGCCGTCTTCCTACAGGAGAGGTCAAAACAAACCCTGAGTGGGCACTGAGGGAGCCCATGAAGAAACTACAGAGGGCTGAGGAGTCTTGGAGGGCAGGAGGAGGAATTGGAGTCAGGGATGTGGAGAGTTCAAGTGTCATGGAGCTGGGCAGAGATTCTAGGCAGAGTAATATCTAGAAATCCTTGGAAGTCAAGGAGAGAGGTTGAAAGAGGAGCCCTCAGTGTAAAACCTTGTCTCCTTCCTAGAGTGGTGAGGTTAGATTTAAATGAGATATAGGAGAGTGATTAGCTATACAAGCTCTGGAGTTGGGTAGACCAGTTCAAACCTCAGTTTCAGAACTTACAGCTAAGTGACCTTGGAAAAACTTTCTAACCTCTCTGAACCTGTTTCCCCATCTGTTAAATGGAAACAATAAAAACCATTAGGTTATTTTTTGGATTAGATGAATAATGCATGGAAAGTGCTTTGCATAGTGCTTGGCACATATATGTACTACTATTTTTTTTAAGAGATAGAACCTTACTTAGTCACCCATAGTTCATGTAACCTCAAACTCCTGGACTCAAGTGATCCTCTGTCACTTCAGCCTCCACCATGCCTAATTAAAAAAAAAAAAAATTTCTAAAGATAGGGTCTTGCTATGCTACCCAGGCTGACTGTGTACTAATTGGATGATGTCTATTATTATTGGTTTACTACAGTTGTTAATATTATGCAAAATATCTTTGATCGATAAAGAGCTTCTCCTGGTCCTTTGGGCATGGCTTTCTGAGGGGAAGACAACCTCTGGGATGCTCACCCTGCCCTCTTCCCCTCTCATCCCCATCTGTCCCCTCTGCCACCATGAGGAACATTTTCAAGAGGAACCAAGAGCCTATTGTGGCTCCTGCCACCACCACCGTCACGATGCCCATTGGACCCGTGGACAACTCCACCGAGAGTGGGAGTGCTGGGGAGAGCCAGGAGGACATGTTTGCCAAACTGAAGGAGAAGTTCTTCAATGAGATTAACAAGATTCCCTGTGAGTGTCCCTGGTGGCTGAGAGGGTGGGGCAAGGCTACAGTCTGGGAGAGGTGAAGAAGGGTGGGGATACCACTGGGATGCGATTGGCTGGGCTCTTTCCTAACGCTTAGATTTTTGGAGATCCCCTGCAGGAATCGGGGAGGGGAAAGTAAGGTCTGCCATTAATGTGGCAAACAAGGGGATTTATGTGCATCAACTTCTAAGGGAAAGAAAAATTCTCATAACTTAAAAAACTTTCTAAAGATGAAACCAAAAGGCGATGAAAAATTATGAAACAGAAGTCACTATTCAAGTTTGCCAATAATACTTTGAAATTTATTTTGGAAGATAGAAAATAAAAGCCCTCTCTGCTTTTGAATTTCTGGCAGAGGCTGTATAGGAGACACCAGAGATGCAGATTAAGGGGAACCAGCCACACTGGTGGGAGATGGTGCTTCAGAACCACAGAGAGCAGCCCAGGACCCAACTCCAGTTGGGTTTTGCAAAGCCCGGCAGCAGTCTAGGTCTAGACTCAATCTTAAGTCCACTCCATGGACCCACAGCTGAAGCGGCAAATGGAAACCACCCAGAACCTTGTGGACTCCTACAAGGCCATTGTCAACAAGACTGTGTGGGACCTCATAGTTGGTTTCATGCCCAAGACCGTCATGCACGTCATGATCAACAACGTGCATGCACCACCTCATAGGGGCAGGGGGCTCCTGTGGCACTGGGGATGCAGGTGGCCATGTTGGCCTGGGGGAGATGCCGACCAGCCCTATGGGACCAGGTTCAGGGAGGGAGGCACAGTCCAGACCAGAGCTGTCTCATAGAACTATAATGTGGGACTAGGGACAGTGGTCCATGCCTGTAATCCCAGCACTTTGGGAGGCCAAGGTAGGAGGATAGCTTGAGCCCAGGAGTTCGAGACCAGCTTGGGCAACATAGTGAGACCTGGTCTCTACACAAAAATTTTAAAAATAGCTAGGCTTAGTGATGGCACATGCCTATAGTCTTAGCTATTCGACAGGCTGACATTGGAGGATCACTTTGAGCCCAAGAGGTTCAGGCTACAGTGAGTGGTGATCTTGCTCACTGTACTCCAGCCCAGCAACAGAGCGAGATCCTATCTCCAAAAAACATTTTTAAGAAACTGAGTAGACAGGTGTCCTGGTGGCATGATAGGTCCTGGGTCCCCTCCCAGATGTGTGACCTTGGACAGGTGACTTTTCCTCTGGACCTCAGTGTCCCTATCTGAGTGAGAAAAGGGCGGTGGGGTGGCAGATCTTTGAGTCTAAGCGGTGTAGAAGCCGCGTGTGCAAAGCCATACTCAGGGCTCCAAGTCCAGCACACTGTCCCAGCACAGGCATCAGGCCAGCACATGCATCAGGTCCCAACCTCCTTCCCTCTTTGCCCCCTCTCAGACCAAGGAGCTCATATTATCAGAGTTGCTGTCCAACCTGTACTTGCATGGGAACCAGAACACGCTGATGGAGGAGTTGGCAGAGCAGGCACAGTGGCGAGATGAGATGCTGCGCATGTACCACGTGCTGAAGGAGGTGCTCAGCATCATCGGTGACATCAACACAACCACCATCAGCACGCACATGGGGGCCCGTGGACAGCTCCTGGCTGCAGGTGCAGAGCGTCCTTGCCAGACGCAGGTACCAGGGCTGGCCCCTATGGCCCCAAGTCTCCCCAGCCCCCATGGCTGAGCCTGGGGGCTCTTGGAACAGGCTCCGTGCCCAAGCTGGCAGATGTGGGTGGTCTCTGGAGCCATCAGGGAGCTCGTGGTTTATGGTGTAAGGGCTGAGAGCTTGGAGGGGGTTGTGTGTGGGGCTGTACTCTGAGGTGGCCAGAGGCCCAGGAATGTCATCCTGGGCACACCATGCCTTTTGTGCTGTCTGAGCCATGCTGCCAGGGTGGGGCATCCAGCTCCCAGCCTGGATGCCTTGGAGTGCTGAGGGCCAAATCCACTGCAGAGCAGGGGTGATAGGGTCCCACCTCCTCTATCTGTTGGCAAAACAGTGGTGATCTAGGATAAAACCTCGAGAGTCCCATACACATGGTCAACCCAAAACACACCTCACAGGTCAGGTAGGGGCACACAGCCCCCTTCCCTCCCTCCCAGGTACCATCACAGCTGCTAGCATGTGACTGAAGGCAGGGTCCCTGGGCCCCGCTGAAGCACTACCACCAGCCAGCGGGCTCACGCACCTTGGCTTGTTGCTCCTAGAGATTGGCCCTCCTATTCAGCCGAGGGGAGCCCAGTGCCTGCTGGCCCAGCTGAGCTCTGCCCAGCAAGCCCACCCACCTCCCTTGCCATGGTCTCCGTCTCCTTTCCCTGGGAGGAAGGACCCAGCCTCACCTATGGGACCTGCAATCTCCAACAAGCTGAGGCTCCCCTCTTAGACTTATAAGTTTATAGCCAGTGGCATCTGGCTGCCTGCCCACCCTGCCTCCCCCAGGGTCCCTTCAGAGGGTCCTGAGCTTCCTGACCACCCAGAGGGGGCTCCGGCGATCACTCCAACCATCCATCCCATTTAGCTTCATCATCCTTGTTCGAGCAATTTTCCTTCTGTCAGGCCTGGTGGCTGTTATGTTGGGTTCCCCAAGGTGAGAGGTGGCCCTAGACCAGTTGGTTGGAAGACAGGTTGGAAGACGACTTGGAAGACAAGTTGGTTGGTGACCAGAGAAGAGGGAAGCCCAAAGGGGCCGAGCGTTGGTCTGACCTGTGGGTACACTGCCTGGGTGCAATGGAAGAGGCCAGCATGTGTGGGGTGGGGAGGGCCGCCACAGTCCCCAGGCACTACCTGTGAAGCTCCGGCTCCTCCCTCCATCTTCCTCCCCTTTCCCTTCCAGCCCCTCTTTTCCAGGAACCTTGCCACAGCCGCACCTGCGCCCTCCCCTCCCTGGCCCTCCCACAGCTGCTGTGGCACACCTGTGCTCTGCACTGGCCTCACCAGCTCTCTCCTCCCTTTTCTCTCTCCTCTTTTCTCTCTGCTTTCTCTCCAACTGCCAGCCGATCAGGTCACGCAAGTCCATCCCATCCTGAGAGCCCCACGCCCCCCTTCGACCTCTAAACAGATCCCTTCTCTTCTCGGAGGCCTCCCTTTCCAAGCCTGCCTGGGCGGCTGTTCTGTGACTTGGCAGTGGCTCCCCCAGCCCCAAAGCCAGCCCCCTTCATCTGTGACTTAGTCTGTTGTAGTGGTGAGCTGACACGTCCAGGTGTGACTGTTGTGAAACTTGTGCCCCCCTCTGTGGTATGCCCTCGCATTGTTCTATAAATATCTATAAATACCCATACACACACACACACACACACACACACACACCCCTACACCTACATGTGGCCAACGGCCTCGCCTCTAGTGCTGGGAATCAGTCACCGTGCTGTCCTCTTGGAGTCTTGTGGCCCAACAAGAGAAAGCTGTCCCGACATTGCCCCTCCAAAGTGCAAGACCTCCGGTGAGTCTCCCTGTCACGCCTGGCCTATGGAGAGTCAGCCCCCGCCATCCCTCCCGCCCCCCCACCAAGCATGGGAGTGCTGTGCAGGCAGCTGTGTGGCCTGACAGTCTCTACCAGTCCTGCTGTCCCTTGGCTGAGAATCAAACCCATTTCTGGATGACGGGGAAGTGTGTCCTCTGCTGGCTGTGTTCTCTGTGGAGCTCAGGGGAGGGGAAAGGCCAAGCCATTTCTAGGGTGCTGTTTGGAGGGGTGAAAAGGCCATACCCTTTCCAAGGGACACTTTTCCTGGAAAGCCCCTGGAACTTAGCTGGCTCTTGTCCTGTGAAGCCGGCTCTGGCCACCAGGGGGCAGGGCCACGAACTCAGCCTGAAGGGAGCCTGCCGGGCAGCCGGCACTCTGGAGGGACAGAGAGAACAGGCCACCAGGTGCAGACAGGGGAGGGAGGCAAGGTGACGGAAGGGAAGACGCCTGGGGTGGGTGGAAGTCAGTGCCCTTAGGTGCTGGTACCTGTCTTCCTGGCCACCGCTACAACAGGCTTCTGAGCCTGTTGGCTGTCAGGGCTGGACTGCGCCCCATAGGCACCATGGCAGTCCCCGTGGAATCCCCCAGGCGCCACTAGGCAGCATACAGGTAACACGCCTGGAAGGTCCCTAACAGCCTAGCTGGACATACTCAAGACACTCTGGGGCTCCTCGTTTGGTGGCACAAACTCCAGGACCCAGTGAGGGAAACGGGAACACACCAGGCCGAGCAGTATGGCTAAATCCATTTATTCCAAAATAAAAAGCAAAATAAACAGGAGTCGCATCACCAGGGAGCCACGACCCCATCCCCGCCTCCTTCCTCTGTCCTATGCTAGCAATAAATAAGTTTCCCAGCCACAAATAATTATTACAACCTCCTCCCCATGTGCCGGCTCCAACCTCAGCTAGGTATGACACAGGGGTGGCCCTACCCTCTGGAATATACAAAACCTTACACAGACACAATGTGTACACCGGGGAACGGGGGCCACCCCAGCAGCCCGTGCCCTCGCCTGGTCCACAGTTAGCCCCACTGTCCTACCTCTCTGAATAAGAAGGGAGCCCCCCTGAGGGAAAAGTTGCTATGGTGAGAGTAAGGGGGACATCAGGCCTCCTCCAAACAAACCAACTCCACCAGCCTCTGGCTCTTAAATAACAATCATCATCATCCAGAAATTTAGGGACTCAGCCCTGGTCAAGGTGGCAAAGGGTCTGTTTGTCTTTCCCCATTAGACAGAGGTCTTGTCCTGCTACCCTAATTGTAAAGGGGTGCCTGGGAAGGGGTGGTAGGGACATGGTGGCGGTGGAGACTCCGGCCCCACTTCTCCAGGCTTTGCTGACAGGGGCCTGCTTTTAATTTTTATTTTTATTCCATGACTTTTTAAAAAAGAATCCCGTAACTTCTTTTTCATAACTTTTTTGGTAACTTTTCATAATACTGTTTTCTACTTTGTTCCCACAAGTTTTTTTGCCACAACGTTTTTACATTTTTTATCCCATAACTTTTTCACCCCATAACTTTTTTTAATCCCATAATTTTTAAATCTTGTGTTCTTTTAAGAAACACTTGCATAGTTATATCACAACTTTGTAAAAATGAAACACATTATCTCGTGCCAAGCATGCCCAGCATTTGCACAGTATCAATACCTTTAATACTATAGTTTTCAAGAAACACAAAATAAAATTTTAAGGCAAAAACAACACATTGAAACAATTTAATAATTTATTACATTACAGTGGCATCACACCAGCAGTCAATAAGGCCACTCTAGGGAAAAATCTTTCAGTATTTCCATGACACATTCTGTTTACAATAATTCATAAACTGGTAAAATTCATTCTAAGAAAACTTGGCAAATAAAACTTTGGACTGGAATTGGCATTTCTTTCTCTGCTTTTCGTTCCCACCATTTCTTTCTTTTATACTACAGTATTCATATTTTAAAATGTTTTAAATTATTTCAGAACATTAAGATAGCAGTTACATTTTTTAATAGTTATATTATTTTAAAATGACTAAGATAAAGTTTTAGAGAAACTATATTATGGATAGGGCTGATTTACATTTTCAAATTTTCTAAAATCGCTTTGGTTTTAGAGCTGATTTTTTTTTTCATTTCTGGAAAATTATCAGGTTGAATCAAATACTTTTAAAATGATTATTATATATTGCCATCTTTAAATAGGTGTTTTGATTCTTCCTACAGACATTAAAATGTATTCAGTGGAACTCACAGTTTAAAATTCTATGTTTCTGATGAACTCTAACATTCCAATGTTGCCTTCTAAGCAAACTGAAAGCTGCCTTATACTGAATGAGGAAGAGCACAAATACTCGGCTGAATGAGGTATCGCAAAAGACTGCATGCACTTTGGAGAAAGACTTAAGTTATTGTCATACAATTTCCATTCTTTTTAGCGTTTTCTTAAGTATATGACAAATGCCTACACAAAGAGTGGTATTTCAGTCAATATAGTAAATTTATTTTCCAGACTGACCTTCAGCTTAAATATGCCAGTGTGTGATTTAATCCATAGGCACCTCATGAACACATTATTGTCAGATTGGTTACAGATGCTAAACGCTATCCGAAGGTCATTCCTAGTCACTGATATTTATCAGGGTAAAAGTGAAGTGATTTCAACGATAAAAGTACCTTTGCAATAATTTATCAATGTATTAGATAAACCCAGTTTCAGAATGATAAAAGAAAAAACGTTAGACCAAATAATGTGGCTGATTAACAGTGGTCCGATTTCTAGCCCGAGGGTTTAAAATGCTCTTAAAGTAACTGTCTTTAAACTGAACTCAAAGAATGCAAAAGCGGCAAGTTCAGAAAATAAAAGGCGAGAACAGGACTTTAAGTGCATTTTAAACCCACGGGCTACAAATCGTACCACTGTTAATTAGCCGCATTATTTGGTCTAAGATTTTTTCTTTATCATTCTGAAACTGGGTTTATCTAATACATTGATACATTCATAAAATTTGGAAGAGTCAGTGGAAGTCACAAGGACCGAATATTTGCACTCTTTCAGTGAATGCCAGCAAATCTGTTATTCCATCGGTAAAATCGTATTGTTGCTCTCCTGTTAATGTCATATTTATAGAAGTATCATGAGGATGCCAAATGCTAAAAATGGAGATGATCTAGTAACTAGAAATCCCCACCGCAGGGAGCACACACACCTATCTCCCTGCATCCTAACAATGTGATGTGTTTTGGAACACAGACATTAGAACTTCATGAAGTTTTAACTGTTGAGTCTTTCCCAAGCATCATCAAGTTACGATTTAGGCAATATATAACTGAAATGTATTCATTCATCATGCATAGGCACAATCACATAAATATCGCACAAAATATGTCCCGAACAGAAACCCAGAGGTACAAAAACATATTTCACTTTGTAAAGAAGTCTGTGAGAAAATATAACTCTGTGATTGTATAGACACGTTTCCTGATAATACATTGACATTCACGAACAGTAGATTGCACTGCAGTTTGTACACATTTTAAGTTTCATAAACTTCTCCTTGATTTTCAAAGAGAGTACAATACCATCTACTAAAACTCCTTTTTGTTTCAACTAAGTATCTCACATATATTAGTTTATAATAATGTTTCTATTATTTTTTAAAGTGTTTTCCATTCAAGGAAAAAGAAGTAAATTCCTATGTCAGAGTAACCAAGGTGGTTGAAGAATAGGTATTAGCCAAAGAGGTCTAGATGGTAAAATCAATCTTCAAGCCTCAAAGAATCTCCGTGAACAGAGAGGAATGCCAGGTGTCACACAGCTTTCCTTCACTCTAATTCATTCTTGACTAGAGCCTGTATGCCTGTTCCAGGGACGTTTGAACTCATAAAGGATTTCTTATGATCTTCACTAAATACATTAAGAAGAATGCCAACCAGTGCCCTTTTGTGTACTGGGACATGTAGTCATGTGATTAAAACAGGTAACATGAACTCTGACTTTAAAATGTATTGTAGATACAAATGCTCTAAGCTAGGAAAGGTTTTCCACATCCACAGTCAACGATGGGAACCTTTCATTCCTCAGAAATAAGCCCTTTTTAGGTCATCGAAAAAGAGTACAACTGCTGCAGCTCATGATGCAATATCTTCATGAGCCCAGAGCACATACAAATCCTAAGGGAACCACCATAATACACCGCTAATTCCTGGCACCGGAACAGATGAAACACACTCTATCCTGCACATACCTGCCAGAGGAGGCCACTTTCCTCTTCTGTGAGATTTAAAAAGCTCCCCCAAAAGGTTATCACTCCCATCACCAATACACAGAAAATGGAGGAAAGGCTGTTTCCAGTTCTTGGCCTTTAAACAACTCTAAATGTCAGTACTCATAGTGGCGTATTACAAAGTAATAAACAGTGCACACTTGGGGGCAAACTACATATTGAGCTAAGGAAGAGCTCACTGTGATTAAGATTAGATCAAACAACAGCAGAACATAGGCAAATTTTGTCTGAATGCTGTAGTGAATATACATGCTGCAATAACATTAAAAAAGCATGGCAGCCTATTCCAAACCAAAGAGAACAGTTTTGGGCAAAGAGTGGGTCTTTGTGTGTTTGAACTCCCACCACGTAAGGGCAAACTCGATATGCACGCTAATGACCTACAATTATGAAATTAAAAAAGAAAAATGCTAAAGGATGCCAGAGTGAACATCAGTGAGAGCCACAGACACCCACTCTCTTTTAACTTTTTACAAATAAACTTAAACTATAAATTAGAAACACAAATAATCATGAGTGAGTCTAACATTCAAAGGAAGTAAATGAATTGTGTAGGAGATTAACCCCATAACTTGGTTTCTTATTTAAAAATTTCTTGAGCAGCTCTTTGAGGATGGTGATGTTTATCTCCTTCTTCTTGGCAGCCAAGCCCAGCACAAGAATGGCACACAGCAGTTGCTGCCCAAGCCTGGGTGCTCCTGGTGGTCCTGCACGATCGGCTGTGCAGTAGGCTTGTCAAGGAGAGGATCCTCCCTGGCCTCTCCTTGGGCAGAGGAGGTGAGGCTCACCTCACGAAGATCTTTGGAGAGAGGGAGGCAGGGATCTGAGCACAGTGGGAGCCCCCTCTTCCTGCCTGCCCACCCCACCTGAGGGCTCTACTCACCACCATGCTTGTCTGCAGCCCCAAGCTCCTGGGGAGCTGGGGCTCCTGGACCGGGCTCATCAGCAGGGTTGTGGGCAGCGGCCAGGAATTTTCTGTGCCCATTGTTGTAGTTGCTGTAAGCCGCAATACCATCTGCTGCAGCTCCAGCAGCTTCACCTGGAGGGAGGGGTGCTCAGCTGCCATGCCGCTGCTTGCGCCCACCCTCACACCCACCCCCACCCCCACCCCCACAGAGATGTTGCACACCCTACCTTCATCTCCTCCCTGAGCTCCAGCCTGATGGTGTCCTCCTCCCAGTGCCGCATCTTTGGCACAGCCCCCTGGTTCTGATAAAAGGTGATGGGTTTTCCTGCGGGAGGACAGGGCTCAGACGCTGGGGCCCCTCCGACGGCCCTGTAGCTCCCCCTGCCGTGCCCTGGCCTCCCACTCACTGATGGCGTCTGTCTCGCCAGTGGTGGATGAAGCAGAGTTCTTTTTTCACCAGCTCACTCAGGTCTGCCTTCTCCTTCAGGTGGTCCATAAAGCTGCTCTGGAGCCAAAATATTGCAGTCACATCTCGGCAGCGACCTGCCCTCAGGTGGCATTTTCAAGTCATGGAGAAGGTGGAGGTGAGTCCTGGCATGGGCCAGCTTCTCCGTGACTTCCTGCAGGGCCCAGTGGGTCTCCCTACTCACAGACTCGCCCCCAGGCCCTGGGGCTCCAGGGCCTCTGGCTGCCTCTGGCTCCTTCTGGGCCGAGGCCACCGGGTGAGCCAGGCGCTGGCAGCACACCCTCTGCTCTTTCACCTGCTCTTGTAACTGTGCCTGCTTCTCCTGGGCACTAGCTCCAGCGGACTTGAAAAATGCCACCTGAGGGCAAGATGTGAGCATTCTTCTAGGGGCATACACAGAAGAAATGGGGCAGAGAGGTGGAGCGCAGCCCCTTCCCTTGGGGCCTCAGAGAGTGCACCTGTTGGCCACAGGTGAAATGGTGTCTGACCACTGGCTCTCGGAAGGGGTGAGGGTCCAGAGAAATCAGAAGGCAGGGAAACGAAGAGCATAAAGGGGTCTTGGAGGGACCACAGAGAAAGGTGGCAAAATGGGTGCAGGGGGAGTCAGGCTCACCATGGCCTCCCTGCTCTCCAGGTCCTCTGGGACACTCGGCATGGGCTGAGGTGCCTCCTCCCCCTCACTGTCCAGATGTTCTCCTCCGTGTCCTGTGGGGGGTGGCCAGAGGGGTCTTCAGACAACCCAACAAGGGAGGTACTGTGGGCCCACCTCTACCTCCACCCTCACTGTGTAACCCTGAGCCAGCCCCTCCCCAGAGAGGAATGAGCTGTTGTTCTTTATTTTTACTTTTAAGAATCAAGATCTTGCTATTCCGCCCAGGCACACTCCCACTACTGGTCGATGTGGGAGTTCTGACCTGCTCCCTTTCTGACCTTGGCCAGTTCAGCCATCCTTAGGCAACTTGGTGACCCCCCGCTCACAGGAGGTCACCACACTGATGCCGAACTTAGTGCAGGCACCCGGTCGGCATAATGACCAGCTGTTCTAAAGGTCTCTTCCAACTCCTCAATCCTATGCTGCTAGCAGTCCCCCCTTCCTCCTGGGGCTCTCTCCTCTTCCTCTGAGCAGTCTCCCGTACCTTCCCCAGGGAGAGCCATGAGGCTCAGCTGGGCCGTTAGCTGCTGGTTCTGCTGGCTGGCAGCTTCCAGGTGCTCCTGAGGGGCCAGGACAGAGTGAGAAGGGGTGGAGTTTGCCAGGTCATCCCCCTCACAGCCCCATCCTCGGCAGCTCCCTCCCCTGGGTCTCCTGCAACTTTTGGCAGGCCATCTCAGCCACCGCTTTGCCCCAAGCTTCCTGCTGCTGCAGCTGGTTCATTAGCTGGGTCTGTTGCAGTCACTGCCTGTACAGCGCCTCCTTCTAACAGGTCAGCTGCTGATAGGTGGCCACGTACTGCTGCAGGTGACCCAGGTAATGGTCTGGCTGCTGCTGCAGACTCTGAGCCTCTTGGCTCTTCAGCTCCACCTGCAGGAAGACCCTGGGTGTGAGGGCACGTGGTGGCTGGTTTCCAGATTCTGGGCCCATTAATAGGGTAGCGAGGGCACTGTGGGGCTCTGTCAGCTGCCCAGGCCCCTGTCCCCTTACTCCAGGCCTAAGTGACTGCCTCCCTTTCCTAGAACCCCATGCCTCCTTCCCCAGCCTCAAATCTCATACCCTCTTCTCATTTAATCCTCAGCACCTCTGTAAGGAAAATGCTAACTTCCCTTTGAAGTTAAAGAAACAGAGACTTAGAGATGCAAAGTACTTGAATGGTGACCAGTGCAACCGAGGCTGGAATCCAGTTTTAATCTAAGGAGTCTTTTTGTTTTGTTTTCAGACAAGAGTGTCACTCTGTGGCCCAGGCTGGAGTGCAGTGGTGCAATCTCAGCTCACTGCAACCTCCACCTCCTGGGTTGAAGCAATTCTCGTGCCTCAGCCTCCCGAGTAGGTGGAATTACAGGCATGCGCCACAATGTCCTGCTAATTTTTTTTTTTTTTTTTGTAATTTTAGTAGAGATGAGGTTTTACCACATTGGCCAGGCTGATCCCAAACTCCCGACCTCAAGTGATTCTCCTGCCTCAGCCTCCCAAAGTGCTGGGATTATAGGCATGAGCCACTGCACCTGGCATAAGGAGCCTGTTATACCACTGTCTCTTCCCCTGTGATTGGGGGCTCCATGCCTCTAGCTAGGATGATGATGTCCAGACCTGAGAGGATCCCAGGGCTACCCACCTTTAAAAGTCAGAGGCAGGAAGCAAGAAACAGGACTGCCCTGGGGGGTGCTGTGGTCACCAGCCCCCAGGCTGGAAGCTGCCTCTGGCCTCGTACCTCCCCTCCCCAGAGTCTGCTGCCCGCCTCCCAGCCCTTCTTGGATGGGGTGGAGGTTTCCGTCTCCTTCACCTCGCCAAGCTTCTCCTGTAGCTCCTTTACTTGCTGCTCCAACTGCAGTGCGTTCTTGTTCTCATTGTTCTGGACAGAGAGAAGCAATCAGCAGCCACCCACTGCAGCTGGAGACCCCAGAACTTGGTGTCTGCCTCCCATGGCACTGGGAAGGCTGGAGGCAGGTTAGAAAAATCACTCCCTCTCTCCCACAGCCACCTGGCTCACAGGTGCCTTTAGAAGTAACATTTCATGTGAGGGCTACACTGCCCCATTTTAGAGGTGGGGAAACAAAGGCCCGGAGGGCTAGGGAGGAGGGCAAGCTCCCCAGTTTGGGCAACGCACCGGCTCCTCGAAGACGCTCTGTGGCTTGGCCAGCTGCTGAAGGCTCTTGTGCTGCTCCTGAATCCTCTCCTCCTGCTTCCGAAGCCTCTCTTCCTGCTCCTGAATCCTCTCTTCTTGTCGCTGGTTCAGGAGACTTATGCGCTGATTCTTTTTGACCTGGGCCTGGAGCTCTCCTGCCACTCTCTCTAGTTCCTTCCTCAGGTGCTGCAGCTCCACCTCAGAGGGCACTGCTGGGGGCTCCGGGGGCAAGGGTTCAGCTGACAAAGGAAGCAGATAATAAGGGCCTCTGGATTCTCGGAAAAGAAAAACCCTCCTCTTGGCGCACAGCTCCTCTCAGGCTCCTCAAACTTGGCCTCACTGCTAATGATTCCTCGCACCCAGATGGTAGCCAGTCTTCCAAAGCACTTTCAGAGAAAGAGCACTGCGGGTGGCTGACAACGGGCCCTCTTTCCTGATGGGGACACTGAGACACTGAGACTCATTGAGATGACAAGACTCGCCGTCTCCTGGCACAGATCTCTTTCCCTCTGCCTCAAAGCCCTTCCATCCACCCACCTCCCTGGGGCACTCTAAGCCACCCTCACAGCCCTCTGATGCCAGTCCTGCTCCTAGGTCATGCCAGCCCCATCTTACCCATCTGGTTTTTGAGTTTGGACAAGCTCCTCTCCAGCTCCTCTACCCGACGCATATCTTGCTGCTTCTCTTTCTTTAATGTGCAAATCTGCCCAAAGCACAAGGGGAAAGGGCCTTGGAGAGAGGGGCTGGTGGCTGGACAGGCTGCCCTCTCCCTCTCTGCCCCCACCTCCACAAAGCCCAGACCCATGACCACCTCTGGCTCTACTATTCCCATTTTACAGATGACCAGAAAGATCCAGTGACCTATCTAATGTGGGGGGGCTGAAGGGTCAGATCTCACCTCCTGCGACATTTTTCTCATCCTCTGCTGCCACCGGGCCCTCTCTCCTTTTAGATGTTCAGAATACTCATCTCTTTCTAATTGGACTTGTTGAAATGACTCCTTCAACTGCAAGAATGGGCACAGAACTTAGGAAGGGCTGTCACTGGTCCTCACCTGCTCCTGGCCACCTGGGGTCATCTTCCTTCCACATAACTCCCTCAGAAAACCTCACCTGTGTCAGCTGCACTTTCAGTAGTGTCTCCTCCCGCATGGACTGCTCTAACTTCCACTCCGTACGTGCTTTGCTGCGGCTGGACAACTGGATGGTGAAGAGTGAGAAGTTTCAATCTGGAGAGCCTGGGCATTTCCACACAGTGCCCCTTAAAAGGGCTAGGGCTAGGCCCAATATACAACTCGGTCAGTAAAGATCAAGGCATTTCCAAGCCCGTGGTCTGGTTTTTAAAAGAACTCAGTAAAGTTGGAACGGACAGGGAATGAGATTGAATTTATAGCTGGCTAACAGAGGCCCAGAGAGATCAGATAATATTGCTATTGTTATTACTGTTATTATTACCACTGTTTGAACCTTTGTGGAATGCTTCACCAGGTACCGTGCTAACAATCCCATTTAATCCTCGCAACCACCATAGGAGACAGTTACTATGATTCCCTCTATTGTGGAGATGAAAAAACATGGAGTATTTGAGGTTAAGTGCTTGCCTAAGTTCACTTAGGCAGAGCTGGGATATAAACACCCAGGTCTATCCAATTCTCTAAGCCCGTTTTTCTTGCTGGGGATGGGGGCACAGATAGGAAGGGGAAAATTAATCTTTTGTTCACTTTTTGAAAGGATGATACATTTGCATAGTCCAAAACTCAGAAGGTACAGAAGGGAAGTATCTCCCGGCCATCTTGTTGCTCTCTCCTGACTTTTTTATGAACCCTTGCAGACATGTTTTATGTATATTATCACAGTATGCACACACACACACACACACACACACACACGCACACACGTTTCCTCTTTCTACAGAAATGGTAACATACTAAAGGTACTCTTCTGTACCTTCACAGTACAAGTACCCAATACCCCACCTAGGACTAGGACTTGCCCAAGACCACAGCCAGGTAAGGGCGGGGCAGGCACTTGGCCTCCAAGCTCTGCGTCCAGTGCTCACTCCACACAGTGACCCCCAACTCACCCACAGCAGCTGACTCAGCCCCAGGCTGCCACTAAAAACCATACAAAAAAGTAGCAAGAAATGGCCATGCTGCCTTCTGGGCAGGACACTCCATCCTGCAGAAGGGACCTTTAGGCTCACTCCTCCATCTGCAAAGCCAGGCTCCCAGGGGATGGGGCAGGTGGTTGGACTCACCTGGTTTGCCTTCTTCTTCTGTGTGGCCATGACATTAGAGAGAACACTCTCTAACTCTCCTTTACGCTGCAATGAATGTTGCAGGCGGACAGCCAGATCCTTGGACTTTTCTGTAATGAGAGAGTTGAGATGGGGCCCAAAGGACTCCCCCTGAAGACCTGTCAAAGTGCCAGGTTGAAGGATGACAGGGTGCCCAGATTCCCACCTTCAAAGTATCTGAGAGAACGTTTCATGTGGTACAGGTCCGTATTTAGTTCCTCTTTCTGTATGTTCAATGTCTGGATTTGAACCTTTGGGAGAAAAGCCAAGCAAGTGCTGAAAGAGAAGGAAAGAAACCTTCTCCGGAGGACAGGAGGAAACTGCACACCCTCCACTCACCTCTAGCACCCTTTTGGCTTTCTGTTTCTTGTTGTTTGCTTTCTTTTCCTGTAGGAAGAGGAAGACAGAGCTCTTACCAGGGGGAGGCAGAGATGGCACAGCAAGAGACATGCCCCCAGAATGCCACCAATGCCCCAGGACAGGCCCACCCATGGGACCAGGTTATCAGGGGCCCTGTGGGGATGGGGTGGAATCTGAAGGGTGAGCCTTCATCCCCAGGCTGGGAGTGGGTGAGACGAGACTGGGGCCTGTATGTCTGAGTGCCCCCCAAACCCAGCAGTCATGTTGCGAGGAAACGAAATCACGTTACTTCTTCCAGCTGATGTTCCACTTGTTTCTTCTGTTGTTTCTGTGGGGAGAGTCAAATAAGGTGGATGGGAGGGTGGCCCCCTCAACTCTATTCCCCAGACCAGGAAGCGGTAGGCAGGGGCCAGGAATGGATTTTAAAGGCAAAGTTCTCAGACATAATGGGAACACGAACCGGTAAACTCTCCTCAAGCTCCCAAGGACAGAGGATTTGGGTCTTTGTTGGCTTTTGCCCACAGCCACAGAACTCAAAGTCTGAATCTGGAATCTCTTGAGAGGACAGCAATATAAACCTCTAGAGATGGAGTTTCAGAAAGGCCCCTCCTTCTGGCAGCTTGTGATTTAGAGAAGTGGGTTCATTCAATAAACATTTACTGAGCATGTATGGGCCAGGTACGGTTCTTTACAGCAGATATAGGATGGAAAAGGACAGACAGGAGCCCTTAGCCCTGAGGTTTCCGTTCTAGGGGGCCTTTAAATCTCAGACTCGAGAGCTAACAGAGACCTTTGATACTCACTACCTCCTCTGGAAACACGAGCCCAAAAAGGAGAGGTGGCTTGTCCAGAATCAAAGAGCAAATTAGGGACTGAGTCATGGCAGAAATACGGGGCCCTTGACAACCAGTCAGGCTAGCACTTCCCCAAGAGGCAACAACCCCAGGGCGTGTGTAGCAAGGACTCGAGCAGGGGTGTCTGGAGAGGAGAGAGTCGGCAAAGAGGGCAGCAAAAGAAGAGCCATGCTGCATGCTCTGGGGTCCCTCCAGGTGAGGCCTGGGCACCCAAGCTCCCTATTTGTCCCAGGCACCAGGGACCCCCAGCCCCTTTCTTCAGGGCCCCAAGGGGAAACTGGAGCCCAGGATTGGCAGCGTGGAATCAGGGGACCCCAGTGGACTCTTACCAGAGATTTGATGGTGTTCTTCAGTTGACTGATTTCTACGGACCTTGAATCCAGGACTACTGCTCGTTCTTGGCACGGGCTCTGAGGTGCATGCAGAGAGGAGGAGGTGGAGCAGGAGTGGGGGGAGAGGTAGAGAGAACAATCATTAGGGCTGGGGTGTGTGGGCTGTCTCAGCTGGCAGAGGGGCACCCAGTCCCACCTGGAGGAGGAGGTTGGAGGGTTGACCCGAAGGGTCACTGCACCTCCGCCCAGAGCCTCTTACCTCCAGATCTTTCAGGGTAGCAGATGATGTAGGGCCTTCCCTGTGGAAACCTGTTGCTGACTACAAGAGATGAGAGTGCACATGGAGATGTTCTGTCCCCCACAGTGTCTGAGCCCTCTGACTTCCTTTCTTCCCCATCAACTGGCAACATTTTCTTTTCTGCCTATCTTGGACCTTTTGTCCCATAACTCCTTTGTGCCAACTTCTCTCATGGTTCTTATCTCCCCACCATCCCATCCTGGGGCCCCTTCAGTGACTCCTGATGGCAAGTGGCTGTTCTCATTGTCCTGGTTTCCCCCTGAGACTGGGGATGAGGAAAATCAAACCATATCCTGGGTGTTCTGAGTGTTTACAGCAGGCCATGTACTAGGGATTAACATAAAAACAACAATAACAAATCTCATTTAAACTTCACAAATGGAAGTGAAACAATAACACCTCTATTATACAGATGTGAAAAGAGAGGCCCGATGAGGTCTAGCAACTTGCCCTAAATCATATCCCTAGCAGAGCAGATGGAGAGGCAGGATTCAAACCCAGAATTCCTTTTTTTTTTTTTTTCTTTGAGACAGAGTCTTGCTCTGTCACCAGGCTGGAGTGCAGTGGCATAATCTTGGCTACTGCAAGCTCCACCTCCCAGGTTCACACCATTCTCTTGCCTCAGCCTTCTGAGTAGCTGGGACTACAGGCACACGCCACCACGCTTGGCTAATGTTTTTGTATTTTTAGTAGAGACAGGGTTTCACCGTGTTAACCAGGATGGTCTCGATCTCCTGACCTCATGATCCGCCTGCCTTGGCCTCCCAAAGTGCTAGGATTACAGGCGTGGGCCACCACACCCGGCTAAAGCCAGAATTCTTAACCAGTACCCAGCAGTCCATCCACAATCTTAAGAATTACCCTCTATTGCCCCTTGGGCCCCCTGTCCCCAGAAGCCTGGTCAGCCAAGACTCACATCCCTAGGTGGCTGGCAACCACCAGAAGTGGCTTTCTCAGGGATACTGCCATTTGTTTTCCTGTTCCTGTTCGCTCCTGCTGGAACTCTAGGGCTGTTTTTCTGCCAATATTCTTTTAACTGTTGGAAAGAAGAGCAGTAATACTCATGAGAACCGTCAGCCCCTACAGCCACATCCTCCTTTACAGTTTTTACAAAATACACTTACACACCATCTGATTTAATGACACCAACAACTGTACAAGGTGTTGTCACACTCATTTAGTGACTGAGAAGGATTGATATCATGGCTAGAAAAAAAAAAGAAAAAGGCAATACTGGAACTTTGAAACTCAGTCTTCTGACTCCAAGCTCTGAGGTTTTGCCAAGAATCAGCAGCTGCCAGGGACCAAAACCAGAGGCAGAGGTAGAAAAGTAAACATTAAGTAGGCAGGAACTGTATGCCATGTGGTTTAGAGTCACACATCCTCACACGTCTGTTAGTGTGAAGAAGTGCACCAGTACCTCTCAAACTCTTATATCAATGTGTCCTCATGGCAGAAGGCAGCCTTTCTCTTAAATCAGAATTTATCAGAAAGAGGACAACCCAAGCCTCATTTCAGAGAGAGGTCTGGTATACTCTTAGAAACCTATGTGACTGTCATCCCTAAGTACATTCATGTTTTTTCTCTTGATCTCAAGAGAATCAAGGGAAACTGATGCTTCAGAAAGATGTCCCATATTTATCCTGTGGCACTCAAAGTACCCAAGGTTGAGATAATATGAGGAAGATTCAAGGTGTCAAGTTCAGTTTCCCAAGATCTATTCCACAGAAGATGAGCAAATGTCACTTCAGAGACCACTGACTGAAGGAGAGTCTGGTCCCAGAACCATGGAGAATTAGAATATGAGGTGGAGAACTCAGAAAAAAATGTTAAAATCTCTCTGGAAAGTAGAAGCCTGGGAGAAAACCAAACCAAACCCATTCTCTCATTGCCACCCAGAGATACTGTCAACGTTTTGAGTTCATGGGGGAAGTGTAGGCTTTTCCCACCGTCAACATCTGTAAGGGAGTGAGGCAGCCTGGAACCTCTTGCTCCTAGGTCCCATAGTCTCCATTCCCCTTCCAGCTGGAAATTTGTGCTGTGACCAGAGGAACCAGAAACGGGGTGAGAACGCTTAGGGGACTGGGTCGTAAGATCAAAGGCCAGTCTTGCAGTAACAGCAGTTACTAGGTGGACTGTGACATCACAACATTCCACTCCTCCTGGTCGGGGGGAGGGACCATGTCAGCACCATGTCCAAGTCGCTGCTCCACGATGGGGGAGGGAAGCACAGGGTTGGGACCCAGCTCCTTGGAGACGCCAGCACAAAGAACCCAGGGAGGTCGACCTTGAGGCAGCAGGAGGGGAGGGCACAGTCTGCAGCAGGGAGTCCCAGGAGTCACCAGTCCAAAGTCACCCAGGGATGACTGGCGAGGGTGGGGCCTGGCTCCTTGGAGATGAGAGCCCAAAGAGCCCAGGGAGATCAAGCTTGGGGCGGCAGGAGATGAGGGCCCAGTAATGGAGCGGGAAGCCCCAGGACTCACCCACCCAAAGTCACCCTGGGGTGATTGGCGAGGGCAAGGACTGGGCTGCTTGCTGAAGGGGTGGGGCTGACTGACAAAACTTTGGTGGGGGTAGCCCAGAGGCACCGGGGTAGGGGGGACCAGTCCAGTGTGCCTCAGGAGTCGTATAGACTCTGGCAGGGGTCTTGTCATCAGAGGGGATCTGTGGCTGGGTTGAGGGGCTATGACCTAGTGCGTTTTTACCTTTTTCTTGGCTGCAGCCAATTTGTTGTGTTGAGTTTCTTCTGCCATCGCAGGGTGGGGAGGGAGGCAGGGTTGGGGTCACAGCAGCAAAATCTCAATGAGAACCGATCAAGGCCTCCAGTCACCTACCAGGCAGCTGTGTGACTGAGCCAGAGGAGGCGTAACCAGGGCCCCAGTAGAATGCGGAATAGGGGCGTGGCCTTAATGCTCCAAGCCCATTGGTCAATGAGAAAGATGAAAAGGAAAGGGGGCGTGGCCAGAAAGCAGTGTGTCCAGAGGGACCTGTGGCTCACAAGGAAAGCTGCCCATGGCAACTGCTCTCCCCACCCACTCTAAGAGAGGGGAGAGGCCTCCCACTCTGGAAGAGAAGAGGGGCCGGCTTTTGCTTTAAAAGCTTTAAAACTTTAAAAAATATATGTGTGTATACTTTATATATATGTGTGTCCGTGTGTGTGTATCTATGTTTTTCTCCATAGCTGTCTTCATTATCCAGCTTCTATGCAAGGTCTATGATTTTGGCCTATATTCTTCATCTTTGATTACAGTACAAAAATTACCAGTATTACCTTAACTGAGATACAGATCCTATAAAAATGGAAAATGCATAGCATGCTTGATGATTAATGAAGCAGACTATATTATCCAACATTCTAATAAGATAAAATAATCACAATGATTTCTCTTTTTTGGAAAAATGTTTCTTTTATTCTCCTACGTTTTCATTAAGATTTTTTTTTCTTAAACAAGAAACATGTCTAATATCTGTAAAAACACAAAGCTTTTGGGCCGGGTGCAGTGGCTCATGCCTGTAATTCCAGGACTTTGAGAGCCCAAGGTGGGTGGATCATGAGGTCAGGAGATCGAGACCATCCTGGCTAACACGGTGAAATCCCATCTCTACTAAAAATACAAAAAAGGCCGGATGTGGTGGCAGGCAACTGTAGTCTCAGCTACTTGGGAGGCTGAGGCAGGAGAATGACATGAACCCCCGAGGTGGAGCTTGCAGTGAGCCAAGATCATGCCGCTGCACTCCAGCCTGGCTACAGAGCAAGACTCCATCTCAATAAATAAATAAATTAATTAATTAATTAATAAAAATAAAAAATTAATAGTAAGAGCAATGTGAACAAAAGTTGTAATAAAATAATTTAGAAAATACAAACTATTAAAAAATAGATTTTAAAACTTGTGCAACAAAGTCAAACAGCACCCAACGAAAATGTATACCCTTACATGTTTGTTTAAAAAGCAATTTAAATTACATTGATCCACTAAACTGGGAAAAGCAAAACAAACAAAAAGGGGGAAATAATTAAGACATAAGGAAAAAGGAAAAAGAAAAACCACTAGATTTAAAAAATAAAACTGAAGGAGGATTCTTTCAAAAGACTGAGATAATAAAACAGTCAAGCCTCTGATAAGTAATCAAGATAAAGAAAACTTTGAAGAGAAAAGGGCATATAGCCACATGTGAATATGATGCAAAAAGTGAAAACTTTACACATCTTTACAACACCTTAGAAGTATGGATGACATGTTCATTTTTTTTTTTTTTTTTTGAGACGGAGTCTTGCTCTGTCACCCACGCTGGAGTGCAGTGGCGTGATCTTGGCTCACTGCAAGCTCCGCCTCCCGGGTTCACAACATTCTCCTGCCTCAACCTCCCGAGTAGCTGGGACTACAGGCGCCCGCCACCACGCCTGGCTGATTTTTTGTATTTTGGCTTAGTAGAGACGGGGTTTCACCATGTTAGCCAGGATGGTCTCGATCTCCTGACCTCGTGATCCACCCGCCTCGGCCTCCCAAAGTGCTGGGATTACAGGCATGAGCCATCGCACCCGGCCAAAGTGTTCATTTTTTTTTTTTTAAGAACCTACAGTTATGAAAACTAACTGGAAAGAAATGGGTTTTGGGAAAGATTGAGTACATTTTTGTGATGTTCAACATTATTTTTTCTTACAGTTTTAAAAACACAATTGATGTTTCTATCAATTTGACTTAAAAAAATTAAGAACTATATTAAAATTTACCAGCAGAGGGGAGTGAAGGAACACAAAGCAACTTTCAGTTTAGGGTAATTTTTGGGCATAAACAGGGCAGCAATGTCCTCAACTCTATTCTTCTTTATTAGCCAGTGAATCCATGTGAGCTCATTAAATGTTATTAACAGCTCAGTCTATAATGGAGGGCAAATAAAGAGACTTGTAGGTCACAAAGGTATTGACTTTTGATCAGAAGTTCCAGGGGGCGAGAAGAATGAACTAACTCCATGCATTCTTTTTTTGTTTTTGTTTTTGTTTTTTTTGAGACGGAGTCTTCCTCTTTTGCCCAGGCTGGAGTGCGGTGGCTCAATCTCGGCTCACTGCAAGCTCCGCCTCCCAGGTTCACGCCATTCTCCTGCCTCAGCCTCCCGAGTAGCTGGGACTACAGGCGCCCACCACCACGCCCAGCTAATTTTTTGTATTTTTTAGTAGAGACGCGGTTTCCTCGTGTTAGCCAAGATGGTCTCGATCTCCTGACCTCGTGATCTGTCCGCCTCGGCCTCCCAAAGTGCTGGGATTACAGGCATGAGCCACCGCGTCCGGCTCCATGCATTCTTATGGCCACATTTTTCCAGTTTGAAGTTTTATTTTCCGAGTTTCTTGAAACAATTGTGAAATCAGTTTTATTACACTAAAATCACTGTATTTTCTTATTTTTGGATATCTATTTAAAAATATTCATTTAGAATGACATTCCAGTGAAATACATTTTTAACGGCTGTTCTATGTCACAGGGATAACAATTTGACTTTCACAAACTGTATTTCAGACGTACAAGGTCTTCATTTTGATGAAGAGGGGCTGTGGGAACATAATCTGATGCCTGTTCAAAATGTACCAGAAGTGCACGCATGTGTATGCAGGCATGAGCGCACACACACACACACACACAAAACCCCATTGGGATTCCATTTAGCACACACACACACACACACACACACACACAAACCCCACTGGGATTCCAGTTAGCACGCACACACACACACACAGACACACACACACAGCCCATTGGGATTCCAGTTATTTACCTCGAGATGGATGCTTGCTGATGTTCCAAAACCTCTTTAGGTCTTAAGGCAAAGGGCCTTTTGAATGCAAAAACCCTTACCTAGATGGAATAGACAGCAGCAATCATTGTCAACAACCTGAAATATATATTGAGTAGTTCCCATGCTAGACATTAGAGACATAAAGATGCAGAAGAGGCCATCGCCTTAAGGGAAATAATCCCGTTCAGACAAATGAGAATACATTGTGTAATGAGCTATCTCTTATAGGAAAGATGAAGACCAATCACCAACAGACCAGAATTCCAATATTTCACCAACTTGTAATATTATTCCAACTTCTCCTTCACATTCACTTAATTCTCATAGAGCAGTAACCAGAGTTTTGTGTTCTTTTTCTTTTTCTCTTCTTCTTCTTTTTTTTAAAAAACAAAGTCTTGCTTTGTCGCCCAGGGTGAAGTGCAGTTGTGCGATCTCGACTCACTGCAGCCTCCACCTTTTGGGTTCAAGAGATTCTCATGCCTGAGCCTCTTGAGTAGCTGGGATTACAAGCATCTGCTACCATGCATGGCTAATTTTTGTCTTTTTAGTAGAGACAGGGGGTTTTATCACATTGGTCAGGCTGGTCAGTTTTGTGTTCTTACTAGAGAGTTCTACTCTGTTATGTCAGAGAAGGAAAATGTCTTTTGATTTCATTTCAATGAAATGTCTATTCATTAATTACATCTTCATTGGCATTTCATACAGGATTAAGACTATCTTCTTTGCCTTAATGGTATACTGTGTGCATTGTTCCTTACCCATCGTAGCAGCTTTGAAGGTCTTTTATCCATATTGGTATTTTCCAGGACCAGAAAACCAAGTCTTGAAAGAAGGACTTCATGTCTTATCCATGGACACGCCATGGTTCCAGAATGTGTTGTCAGTTGATAAGATAGGCTTGATTTGTTACTGGTCTTAATGAGGGCTTTAGGTCAGCACACCAGGCAATGTAGGAGTTCTGGGACTGTTAGGGAAGGCCTGATGGAGAAAATGGAATGTTAGCTGGGCTTTAAAGAGAAAGTAGAAATTAGATCACTGGGGGAGGGGGTAATGTAAAAAACATTCCAGGTAAGAGAAAGTGCTTAGCAAGTAAGAAAGCATCCAAAATATTAGAAAGTACCAGGCTGGTGCAGTGGCTCACACCTGTAATCCCAGCACTTTGGGAGGCCAAGGCAAGTGGATCACTTGAAGCCAGGAGTTCAAGACCAGCCTGGCCAATATGGTGAAACCCTGTCTCTACTAAAAATACAAAAGTTAGCGGGGCATGGTGGCATGAACCTGCAGTCCCAGCTACTTGTGGGGCTGGGGCTGAGGCTGAGAATCTCTTGAACCTGGGAAACAGAGGTTGCAGTGAGCCGAGATCACACCACTGCACTACAGCCTGGGCAACAGAGCGAGACTCTGTCTCAAAAAATAAATGAATAAATAAGTAAAATAAAAAATAAAATGCTTACAGGAACTTCAACCACAATTTTTCTTGTTCACTGATAGTAAATCTAATAGAGAATTCAGGATTTATCTTACACTTGAAATTTTGTTACTGATTACTGAAAAATTATCTACAAGCACCCAATTGTGAGTTTTACAGAAACCTGGTCTCAGGAGTTATGAACCAAAGATTCACCAGTGGACTCCGCAGAGTTTTCAGATCCCCTGAAATCATGTGCTAGGTGCTGACTGCATTTTTCTGGAGAGGCTATAATGGTTTTCATTCATCTGATTCCTCTCAAATGGTAAAAATCACCAGTGGAATGGAGCCACACATCCTGTAGCAGAAACTTCTAAAAAACCAGGAAAAAGATGAAACGTGGTACCATGTACCTGCTCAGCCTCTACAGATCCTGCTTCCAGAAGTTGAAACAAATTCTTAAAACTTGCACAACTTTTTTTCTAGTGCTTGAATGACCTCTAGTGGCTCCTTAAATTATCACAGCCAATTGCTCACAGCAGGAAATAGGTTGATGTAAAAGAAATTCACAGATTTTGCCATTAAAAGTAACGAACTAAAGAACTAAAAGGTGTGGAGAAATAATAAAATTAAGATGGCATCACAAAGGAGCACCTGGCTCAATTTCAAGTTATTATATAAGCTCCCTACTATCCAACCAAATGTAGTTCACAATACAGTGTGTGTAATTCAAAACAGTTCACCAGATAGTTCAGTACACACCATTTTTTAAATGAAATAAGTATGATTTTCCCTAAGGTCTTGCATTTCAAATTAATAAAGCATCAGCAAACACCCATGAAGAGAACAGTACCGGAATCAAAGATACAAGAACCTCGGGAATTAACACCCACCCTTTCCTCTCAGTTGAGGCAGGACCAGGAATACAACGTTGACAAAGTATAACTGGAGTAGCAGAAATACTTTGAGAATACAAACTGGCCACAGAACTCAACCTGAGTGAGCACAAGTAACAAATATGGTCCAGGAACTGCTGGGCCAAACTCTCCAAGTGGGAGTGCAGCAGCCGCAACAGCAAGTACCAGTAGAACAAGGGCAGCACATCACCCAGGGTGACAAGCAGGTCCCAGATTACTTCACATGCCCTCTGCCCAGTCCCTTGAGAATTCCTGCAGCAGCAAAACATACCATCTTCCAGGCACTGCTACAGGGAGTCCCAAGCATACTGATACACTTTCATTCACTTATTTCAAAATATTTGTCAGTATCTAGATATACACAAGACACTGTCTAGGCACGGGGGTGGAGTGTTGAACAAGACAATTCACAATCCCTGTTCCAATGGAGCTTGTAGTCTAGTATGGAAAGAGAAATAAATACATAAAATGCCAGGTGGTGATATATGCTGTGAAAAAGATCAAGTAGAACAAGGGGTTTGGAAATTACAGGGTGCCCATAGTATTCTTTTCTATAAGTTGATCATCTCAATTCAGACTAGCTGTTCTTCAAGCACTCAATAGCCACAGTGGCTGGTGGCTACTATACTGGATAGTGGAACACATCTGAAACTATCATCCATGCCTTTTTAATTCACAATCTTTATCCTCTTTCTTTCTGAATCCTAAGAGAATTCATCCAACTGATCTTCAAATTCACTAACTCAGCTTCCTAAAGTATCCATAATCTACTGCAACTACTGAATCATTTAATTCAACAGTCATATTTTACATATTCAGAGGCTCTTTCTTCACAGCTTCTGAGCAACAAATGCCTGCTCTGACGATGCATGAATATCCTCTAAAATCTTGGGACTTTGTCTTGGACTTTATGTTCTCTCCCATCTTCTACAGCTACTCCATCTCACTGGAGACCTTTTGCTCTGAGCCATCAGAAGGAACCCCCATTTTTAAGATCCTAAGCCTTCTCATCTTCCTGGTAATACTGCCCTATATGCTCAATCTTTTAGATAAAAATCTACTCGACACATCTCTGAGAACCAAGTTGGGTACCATCAGTAATCACACAGGTCACAATTCATTTATTTTAGGCCCCCCAAAAAAGGAAACAATTAGACTTAGTGGCATTTTACTAGTAGCTCAGAGATCCAACAGTTTGCAGGAAATAGAGATGTAATTGTAAGCAAGGGAAATACAGTGAAATTATATTAATCTCCACCCAGACACTGTAAGGCCAGCTGGTATACTATCCCAGCAATTGGCTACTGCAGTGAATGGCACAGAGAGAAAAGTTTCCAATTCCTCTTGAGGCTCCAAATACCAATTGGCTACTATAGTGGACAACACAGACATAGAAAGTTTTCCAATTCCTCTTAAAGCCCCAAATACCACACAACCAGCTTCAGCTCTACAAAATCCTCTCTCCCTTACCCTTTTTAACTTCCTTCAGGACCTCTTGCTATTTCCCCTAAAAAGCCTTGGTTCTTTTCACCTACACTGACTCTTGAGCCTCTCCCAGTTCAAGGTATAACACTCTATTACCAATAAAGTGTAATATACATTAACAGAATAGGTAGAAAGTAATCTTTCATACGAAAACACTAAAAGCCAGAAGAATTTGAATTTTGAATTATAAGCTATGATTTAATTAGGAAATACATTAGCTGTAACAAAATGTTGGACAGACTACAAGAAAACGGGAAATGAACAAGTCTTATTCAAAAACAAATGAAATAATGATGAGTAGGGTTCACGAGCCTTGTTAACTCTGCTGTGCCATTTTAATGATGGACTACATTGTAAATGAGCCGCTATGTTTAAGCCTAAAGGTCTGTTGAGGTGATAAGTTTTTGAACAATTTCCACAATCCCACAAAGAAAAGTCAAGTGAAGGTCAAGGAAAGCCACATGTTCTAAATTACAGAATCAACAACAGTATTTCTTGTCATTCATCACATTTCAGTCATAAAAGACATTACCTCAACAACAGGTGTATTTTCCTGGAGATCAGTTTTGTGCGAAGCCAGTAAACCAATCACCCGAGCAACCTTGGCCCATCTGTAAACGGAGAGAAAACAGGCTCTGAAGAGAAGAGTCAGGGACTGAGGAAACTAACCCCAGCTAGTTACATTATGCAATGATGAGCATTAGATATAAGACTGTGAAATAAAAATTGAATGTGACAGGTCAGGCCCACACTCCCCCATGTACACAGCCCAGAGAAACTCTCCCTCGTATACACAGGGAGACATGAACTGTAATGTCTGCTGTAATTCTGCAACAGCAACAAAATTTAAACAAGTTATGGTGTAATAGTAAAAGGAAAAACAAAATTTGTTAAAAGCCTTAACCAGAGAAAAGAGCAACACAGTAATTAATCATTTTATTGCTGAGTACAGAGGCATTTGGCTAAAGGTCTCTTTTCTACTTGTTAGTAGATCAGTGAGTTTCTACGTAAGTGTTAAATATCTGAACAATAACATATCTGTATGTATTCATTTTAAAAGAAATTTTTACAATCAAAAGTTTCTAAAATATTGTACTATTTCCATAATCACTAGTCTTAATGAGGTGTGCCTTTAGTATCCAGCAGAAAACTGAATTTGATAAATCACAATTAATAAATCACATTCAGTGTGATTTGAAAAGGTATTTCATGCAGAAAAATTAGTTTTGATGAGAATTTTTTCTAATTGAAACAAATGGTGAGTTGATGAGAACTGCACTCATTGAGTGATGTCTGCATGTTGTCTGGAATAATCAATATGTACCTTAGTCAGCTTTTATTTTTTACCTTCTTAAAAGAAACCTATGTGGCACCCATGGAGGAAAACAAATCAGACTCAGAGAAGTACTTCAGGGAAAATGTCTGCGTTATCACAACTCTAACATACAGAAATAATTCTTAGAAATTTCAACACTTATTAAATTGCCCATTAAAATTTCTTAACATATACAAATTAAAGAAGACCTAGGCAATTGTAGAACTAGCATCCTACCTCTGAATAAAAAGATTATAGTTTAAAAGTAATCATTTTGAAAAATATCTGTAGGATAATTGGAAAAGCCATCCTCCCACCACAACCCCCCAAGTAGCTGGGACTACAGGCGTGCACCACCACGCTCAGCTAATTTTTTTACTTTTTGTAGAGATGGGGTCTCGCTATGATGCCCAGGCTGGCCTTGAGCTCCTGACAAACAATCCTCCCATCTCAGCCTCCCAAACTGCTGCGATTACAGGTCTGAGCCACTGCACCTGCCTGTCTATCTCTTTTCAAAGACAAGCTCAAAATACTTTTGAAACACTGAACCATTTTTCAATCTATAAAAGTAAATAATGGCTACCAGATTTAATCAATGGAAATAAAAATGTATCAACAAGCCAATTATTTTCCCTAATATGACCAAAACAATTCCTATTAGAACAAAAGAAAACACACTACCTAAAAACCCTATACTTTTAAAATAGAAACTTTAAATAGCTTATGAATAGTCACTTTTTACCAAAATCCTAAATACAAGTACCACATGCCCCATAGACAACACCCTCACAGTACAGGTTCCTTCTCAAAATTCAGGTTTTCTCAGGTCACCACTCCAGGTGCCCCCAGTGACTTGACACTGTACCTCAGAACCAACCCATCTCCATGACGGCATCTAAGGCACCACTGTCTACCAAACCTTCGTGCACTGACAAATGTCCCACATCTGCACTGTTCAATCCAGTATCCACTAGACACATGACTATCAAGCACATAATATATGACACATGCAAGTGAGGAACAACAAATTTTATTCAAATTAATTTTTTTTTTTTTTTTTGGAAGACAGGGTCATCCAAGCTAGAGAGCAGTGGCGCAGTCTCCGCTCACTGCAATGCCTCCCGGGCTCAAGTAATCCTCCCAATTCAGCCTCCCAAGTAGCCGGGACTGTAGGTGTGTGTCACCACACCTGGCTAATTTTTGTATTTTTAGTAAAAACAGGGTTTCACCATGTTGTCCAGGCTGGTCTTGAACTCCTGAGCTCAACTGATCTGCCCACCTCAGCCTCCCAAAGTGCTGGGATTATAGGCGTGAGCCACTGTATTTGGCCTTAATTTTTATTTTAAAAATTACCCCCACAGTTGAGGGTGAGGGAGACAGTGCCCTGGGGTAATTACTCATCTTTCATGTGCCTAGTCCTGGTTACCTCGTAAGTAGGACCGATAACAATACATACCGCATGTTGTTAAAAGAATCAAAGGAGATAATCCATGTGCAGAAAGTACCATTGTGTCCGACAATACATGCTGAATGAGTAAGCTACTATTAATTTAACTAATTTAAATAACCCCCATGAAGTGAATGGCTACCACATTAGAGCAGAACTAAAATTTTGCAGTTACTTATTCATTCATTGACTGGTTTATTGTCTGTCTCCTCGACCAGCCCAGAAGATCCATGAAGGCAGGACTGTATCCCAATCGCCACTGTGACACCTAGACAGTGCTTGGAGCGCACTCGGGCATCTAAAAATGTTGGTTGAACAAATATATCAACATCAAAAGCAAAATAAACACATTAGTAGGAAAGGAGTGCATAAAAGTATGGCTGTCCAAGGCAAACAAAATGCAAACAGGATTGCCAATGTAAATCTCAGCAGAATTCAAGGCTAAACTCTTCAGAAGAAGATTCCCTTTAAACGAAACACCATATGACCTACAGAAGATCTAAGATGTGAATCTTTATACACCAAATAACAAAGCACGCAAAGTAAACCCATGGTAGTGGTAAACTTCAATTTTCTTCTCTTCCAAGCACAGAGAGAAGGCAATAACGAATATATTAATCAATACATTCACACATTCAAGCATTCTAAATAAAACTAATGAAGTCAAAGTAACAGACGTATCTATCAAACTCTACACCCTACAAACAGTGACCACCCTTACTCAGTGGGAGGCTGCATAGGATGGTGTCTAACACTCTAGAATTCAAAGTCTTGGACCTAGCTCTGGCCCACCATTGGAGGTGAGGGAGACAGTACCCTGGGATAATTACTCATCTTTCATGAGCCTGGTTTCATGTTGTTCTAAGAATCAGGAGATAATCCACATGCAGAAATTACCACTGTGTCCTGACAATTTGTGCTGACTGAGCAAACTACTAGTACTACATTATTATCAATAGTTGACTACATTCATGGCATACATTAAAAATGATTTTATATTGGACCACAAAGAAAAATTATTAGAATTCCCTAGGGCAGAAATTATAAAGGACTCATTTTGATGTAGTAAAAGGAAAAAAGTAAAAATAACAAATACAAACCAAAAAACCTAAACACGTGTGGAGTTAAAAGCACTTCTCCTGGGCATGGTGGCTCACGCCTGTAATCCCAGCACTTTGGGAGTCCAGGGCAGGCTGATTACTTGAGGTCAGAAGTTCAAAACCAGCCTGGCCAACATGGTGAAATGCCATCTCTACTAAAAAATACAAAAATTAGTCAGGCGTGGTGGTGGGCGCCTGTAATCCCAGCTACTTGGGAGGCTGAGGCAGGAGAATCGCTTGAACCCAGGAGGTGGAGGTTTCAGTGAGCCGAGATCGTGCCACTGCACTCCAGCCTGGGCAACAGAGTGAGACTCCGTCTCAAAAATAAATAAATAAATAAAATAAAGCACTTCTAAACCTTATACATCATATTAAAAAATAAAAACTTTGGCCAGGTACAGTGGTTCACACCTGTAATCCCCAGCACTTTAGGAGGACAAGATGGAAGGATCACTAAGGCCAGGAGTTCAAGACCAGCCTGGCCAACAAAGTGAGACCCTGTCTCTAAAAAAAAAAAAAAAAAAAAAAAAAATTTAATTTAGCCAGGCATGGTGGCATGTACCTGTAGTCCCATTCCAGTCTGGGGAACACAGTGAGACCCTATTTTTTTTTAGAGTGAGTCTCTAAAAATAATAATAATAATAAATACATAAAAGAAACAAAAGGAAAAATAAAAGGGAAAGGGAAAGAAATAAAGCATCCGTAAATCACAATCGTGTAAGTAACACAGATGCAAACTTATGAGATATTCTCTGTCTTTAATGATTGCACACTGAACACTTGACACTCACTTTTCTGAACCCTCCAGAGTCTCTAAAATACAAGCTCTTTTTATTAAATGATAATTGGAAACAAAAAGGAGGGCTAAAAGTGGACTAGAAAGTTTGAGAAAATCTCAGATGACATGCACAAATAGAATTAAGACTGACAGAGAATCAACAAAGGAATCCCCTGTCTAAGAACCACAGGTAGACAGACGTTCCCAAGGAAGCCTCAGGGACTTGGAATAAACAAAGACAAAAAGAAAGAATGAGCCACAGGACAATAATCAGATTAAACAACTGCACAAGGAAAAATTGTGTCCTTGTACAAGGAACAGCAGAGCCAATCAGGTCCTGTCTCTTTTCCATCTCCCTTCCCTGGTACACAGAATAAACCCTGCAGCCCTGGCCTCCTGAGTAAATGTGGAAAATCATTCCTACAGTGAGCAATCCACCTTGCTCACTGGATGGATGGATGTGGGAAGCAGCAACTGTGGTCCTCCAGATACCGAAGCGGGGAAGGGAATAAATGAGGAAAGCCAGCTCCACTGCAAAGAAAAACCCACCCTGGCAATTGCAGAGGCCTCCAGCCTGCCTACTGATCTTCAGCCAGCTGGAATCCCAAATTAAAGTCAACCAGTCAACAGGCCTCACCTACCCACATACCAGCCCTTTCTTTAAAGGAGAAGCTATTGGAGAAAGAGACTTAGGCAAGAATAAAGGAAACTCATATTGCCAACTTCTATACCAATCAATTTAATCATTTATTCATAATATAAATGAAGAACCAGAGATCACCAGGCATTTGAGAAATAAACAGCATTAAAAAGCAGGACCATGATGAAAAAGAAGTGACCTGCAAGTTCAAGAGATAAGAATACAATGTTCATAATCCTAATTTTGTTCCCTTTTTTTCAAAGTCCAGGTTCCAGGCTTATATTATATAATCCTAATGTTTAGCCTTAAATATTAATAACAATATTTAATTCTAAATTCTGCTCCAAGATGAGGATTTTTATAATCCTAATATTTATCCTCAAATTCAAAAGTATATTATATACCAAATATAGGCAGCTAGGAAAAAGGACCAATCAGAGAAAAAGAAAATGAACAAAAACTTTCAAATATGATTGTTGAAATTAAAAAATTAACTGGAAATCCTAAATAATAAAATGAGTGGGGATAAATATCAAGTTTGAGAGCTCAAAGATAAAGTCAAGGAAGAGCAATAAAAGAAGAAAGTTTGCATGGACACAAAGAGGGAACAATCGACACGGGGGCCTATTTAGGGTGGAGGGTGGGAGGAGGGAGAGGATCAGAAAAAATAACAATTGGTCCTTACCAAGCTTAGTGCCTGGGTGACCAAATAATTCATACAACAAACCCCCATAACATGAGTTCACCTATATAACAAACCTGCATGTGTACCCCTGAACCTAAAATAAAAGTTTAACAAAGAGACTTTGGCAGTTCTTCAAAAGGTTCAACACAGAGTTACCATTTTATCCAGCAATCTCACCACTGTAGGAGAAATAAAAACGTATATGTTCACACAAAACCCTGTGGACAAATGTTCAGAGCACCATTATTCATAATAGCCAAATGTGGAAACAACCCCAAATGTCCATCAAGACCACATAAGCAAAATGTGGAATAGCCATACAAAGATTATTCAGCTAGAAAAAGAATGAAGTACTCACACATTCCACCATACGGAGGAACCTTGAAAACATTATGCTAAATGACAGAAGCTAGACACAAAAGGCCACACACTGTATGATTCCATTTATATGAAATATCAAGAATAGCAAATCAGCTGACAAGAAGTAGATTAGTTGTTGCCAGGGGTTGGAGAAGAATGGGTACTGGGTTTCACTGGGTGAGAAAACTGTTCTCAAATTAGATAGTGGCAATGGTTGAACAGTTTTCAATATACTGACACCTACTGAACTGTACACATTAAAATGGTGAATTTTATGGTATGTGAATTATATCTCAATAAACAAGAGAAAGTGAGAAAGCAAAAGAAAATTTGAAAGAAGAGTCATGAGACACAAACTCCCACACCCATCCTGTAGGGGTTTCAGGAACAGAAAAAGGGTGAAATAGAGAGGAAGAAATCTAGGAAGTAATATAATAGCTAAAGGAGGGGTGAGGAGGCTGGGCATTGTGGCTCACACCTGTAATCCCAGCACTTTGGGAAGCCAAGGCGGGAGGATCACATGAGGTCAGGAGTTCGAGACCAGCCTGGCCAACATGGTGAAAACCCATCTCTAAACTAAAAATACAAAAATAAGCTGGGCATGGTGGCGTACAACTGTAATCCCAGCTACTTATGAGGCTAAGGCAGGAGAACTGCTTGAACCCGGGAGGCGGAGGTTGCAGTGAGCCAAGATTGCGCCACTGCACTCCAGCCTGGGCAACAGAGCAAGACTCTATCTCAAAATAAATGGAAAGAAAAGAAGGGAAGGAAGGGACGGGAGGGGGGAAGGAAGGGACGGGAGGGAGGGAGAGAGAGAGGAAGGGAAGAAGGAAGGAAGGAAGGAAGGAATTAAGGAAGGAAGGAAGGAAAGAAGGAAGGAAGGAAGCAGGCAGGCAGGCAGAAGCAAATTAGTAAAAAGAGATGGCAGGCAGGCAGGCTGAAGCAAATTAGTAAAATGAAATTCCTAGAGACAATCTAGTAAAATTTACAGGCCTGGAATAAAAAGAAAAGCTAACTCAAACAAGACCTACAAAATAGGGAGGAAAAAAGAAGGTAAGGTTGACTCCCAAGTCCTACAGAGCTACAGTTAGTAAAGAGAAGACAGCTCAAACTCCAAAGCATGGCACAGAGGTAAGCCACTGAGAGGCCTTCTTGAAAACAAAACAAAACAAAAAATCTACCAGCTGGGTGCGGTGGCTCACACCTATAATCCCAGCACTTTGGGGGGCCAAAGCGGGTGGATCACCTGAGGTCAGGAGTTCAAGACCATCTGGCCAACACGGTGAAACCTCGTCTCTACAAAAATACAAAAATTGCTGGGCATGATGGCAGGTGCCTGTAATCCCAGCTACTTGGGAGGCTGAGATGGAATGATCGCTTGAACCTGGGAGGCAGAGGTTGCAGTGAGCCGAGATCACGCCACTGCACTCCAGCGTGGGCGACAGAGCGAGACTCAATCTCAAAAAAAGAAAAAAAAATTGGCAAATGACTTGACTAGACCTTTCTCCAAGGAAGATATACAAATAGCCAACAATCACAAAAAAAGATGTTCAACATCACTAGTCACAAAATACAAATCAAACCCATGAGATACTAACTTCATACCCATCAGGTGTGAAAACACTAATGTTCATAGCAGCATTGTTCACAATAGCCAAAAGATATAAACAAGCCAGTGCCCAACAACAGATGAAAAGATAAACTGTGGTATATTACATACAAAGGGATATTATTCAGCCTTAAAAAGGAATGAAATGCTGACACATGTTAGTTACAACATGGATAAACCTTGCAAATGAAACCAGCCCAATTGTCCTATAGAACTGATGTTTACAGTCTTTTAAAATAAAGATAGAAATTGACCCTCCCAGTCTTAAAACTTGAGAAAGTTACATTTGTCTTATCTGAGTTCCTTTCTTGGGAAACCAACCATCAGGCCTCCCAGATAGTTATCAAGGAACTGAAACTTACCAGATCACCACATCTGGACCATAAGACACCAGACCACCTCACCCATCACAATTGCCTAACCAACTACCTGCTTCCTGTCGACCAACTCCTCTCCCTCACCCTTCCCTAACTCCTGTTTTCCCATACATGGTTACATTTCTTCCCTGCTAAATAAACCTGTGGTTTTAGTCAGTCGAGGAGACAAATTTGAGATTGATCTCCCATCTCCTTAGCTGCAGCACCCAATTGAAGCCTTGTTCCCTAGCAACACTCATCGTCTCCGTGATTGGCTTTCTGCGCTGTGAGCAACAGGACCTAGACCAAACCCCTCGATGTTTCAGTAGCAATATGAGGTACTCACCATAAGCAAATTTACCAAGATAGAATAAGTAGAGTATAGGTTACCAGGACTGGGGAAGGGAAAGGAAAGGGGAAGTTATGTTTAACGGGTAAAGAGCTTCTGTTTAAGATGACGAAAAAGTTCTGGAAATGAATAGTGGTGATGGTTACACAACAATGGGAATGAACTAAATGTCACTGTACACATAAAAATAGCTAAAATGGAACATTTTAAATTATGTGTAATTTACAAGTAACACATTTTAAAGTTACAGTATTACACTATTACTATATATGAATTATACCTCATAAAGTTGATTGGCAAGGATAAAAGGATATACAATTTGATAAATACTCAACGTTGGAAGTTCTAACAAAAGGCATTTTAAACACATTGACTGGGATTATCTATTGATACAATGTTTTTTTAAGAGTATTTCAGCAATTTTTCAGAAGTCACAAAGATATTTACTGCCTTCTACCCATTTGTTCTAGTTCTATGAATCTTTCCTAAAGGGAAAAAGAAAAAGCGGGCACGAAGATTTAATCTCAAAAATGTTCATCAAAATGTTGTTTACAACATTATAATACTATCCAAAAATAGTAAACAAAATGATCAGATATTCACAACATATAAAACGTTTACCTTAAGTATTATGTATTTTATTTTAAAATGTTGATAACATTTAAAATACATAATATATATGTTATGGGGGAAAACAAACATAAAAAACTATATCATGTGATTCTAATTTTTTATAAGCAAAACAAAACTAAGTATCTACTTCAATAATAATTATCTCCCAGACTAAGTTAAGGACCCTTTATCATATGCTATCAAGGTAATATAACCTGAGGTCAGAGAAAACCTCGCTGGAAGTGGCTTTGGATGGAGAAAGAGAATAAAAGAAGATTCCTACCAGAGAACTTGTCTACCTCAGTATCATTTTATTCAAATTAAAACTGTTTTACAATCAAACCTCAATTTTTAACAGTGGGGGAAAAAACAGTATGTGTTAATTTTAGTATCCAAGGGGATACTAGAACCATTCTCCTGGCTGATACAGAGGGATGACTGTTCTCGGAAATGATTTGGAATGTCTGTCTGAAAATGTCAGCAGGGAGCACCCCATTCAGGTATATAACACGTTTTAAATAAAAGTGTTTAGATACATATTTCATTGATTCATTTTTAATGAGCATACCATAAGCCTTCTCAAAGTATTAAATGCTCAACCATTACCTAAAAATCCTACTTTCTATTACCAGATTTTATTTTGCGAGAGTAACATTAGAAGACGTATAATAAGAATTACCCTTATTATTAAACATTTTCTAAACTCCTATTGTTTCACCCATATTTCACCAGCATAGAAGAATAATTATTATACCACTGCCACAATTCACAAAATCCTTTCACCTCCGTTTTTTCATGTGCCTGTCCTAACAATCATGAGATAAGCAAGCTTCATGATAATAACTACAACTTCTACAACCCCAACCCCACTGTCAATGAAATACCCACTAAGAATCAGGCACTATACGGCCAGTCACGGTGGCTCATGCCTGTAATCCCAGCACTTTGGGAGGCTGAGGTGGGCAGATCACGAGGTCAGGAGATCGAGACCACGGTGAAAAAAATTAGCCGGGCGGGCGTGGTGGCGGGCGCCTGTAGTCCCAGCTACTAAGGAGGCTGAGGCAGGAGAACGGCGTGAACCCGGGAGGCGGAGCTTGCAGTGAGCTGAGATCGCACCACTGCACTCCAGCCTGGGTGACAGAGGGAGATGCCGACTCAGAAAAAAAAAAAAAAGAAAGAAAGAAACAGGCACTATACCAGGTATCTCACATATTTACCACATTCAAAGTTGAATAATTACCAAAAATCTATGAAGTAGTTATCCCATCCCAATTTTACAGATGAGGAAACTGCGGCTCAGCAATTAAAGTAATTGGCCCAGAAAGCGGATCTTTGATCCACACCCAGGTCTGTCTGAATCCTAAACCTATGCCATTTCCTTGTCCCACCCACACTCCCCAGGAAACAGAGATTGAGAAAAAGATAATCATTTGGCCAAGTCTTATAGGCAACAGGAACCCAGAGCCTTCTAACACTTGATCTACGGTGCTTTCCACCTGGTATGTTGCTTCTATAAAAAGTAAGGACACTTCCTTCCATCGGGAGTTTATAAATCATAATTAATCTCATTAGATTATAAATAACATCATAGGGAAGCTATGTGCTACATAGGGACAGATAAGGGTGCCCAAGGGAAACTTTGAGGAAGTATAACTAAATTAATACACAGGGATCAGGGTTGAAGTATTTTATAACCAATACTCAAAACAGTAACAGTTAGCCTGGCGCAGTGGCTCACGTCTGTAATCCTAACACTTTGGGAGTCAGAGATGGGAGAATCACTTGAGCCCAGGAGTTGGAAACCAGCCTGGGCAACATAGTGAGAGACCTTGTCTCTACGAAAATAAAAAAACAACAACAGTTAATAAAGTTTCCAGGAGTAGCTTAGATAATCCCAGAATCGTATCTATATTAGGAGAAGGGCTATTTTTAAATATTCTAAAGTTTATAATTGGAATGCCCATAAAAATTGCCTATGAGTAAATTCATCATTACATCAGGAAAATTTATGATAATTACTTAGGACTCTGCTTTTGATAAATATGTATGCTGTAACTACTTAATAAAACCATGAGAAATAATTTTTAAAATGTAAATGTTACTTACATATCGCAGTTTGCAGCTATCCACAAATGCTGGATTAGCAATTGGAACTAGAATAAAAAATGTAAATGTAAAAAAAGAAAAAATTAAAATATTTAAGTCATGAAACACAGAAAGTGACAGCAAAGTTAAAAACTCAGATCTTTATAAAAAGGAAATTTATACTGTACACCAAAAATGATATTTGCTAAATTACAAAGGCACTTGTATACGAATAAGATTAAAATAAAAACTAAGAACAGTACTTTTAGTTTCTCCTACCACTTTATATTCTCTAAATGACAGCCCTTACCTGATAGACACACGCCAACTATCAAAAAAAGCAATCTTAATACCATCCTGGAAGCAAGTGAACTTACATTTTTTTCAAGCCAATTCCCAAATGAGGGCCCACTACAGAAAACACCTCCGAACCACTGTAATTCCTTTCTGAGGATGACTCCAAACACTCTGCCAATCGATGCTAAACATGAGCCAAAAGAAACAAAAAAACTCTGACAAATTCCCATGAGCTTACCAATGGACCAAGATTGTCCAAAAAGTAATATTCCCAGAGGATAGGAAAAAAATGTCTTAGAGGGTTGATGTCTGCCTTCAATGTCACAGCAGAAACCTTGCAGTTTACCAGATGACCCAGTAAAGGAACCAACACCCACAACCCGTTCCACATGGGCAGTTAATTCCAGTCACTGATGAGAAGGGAAAAGGTCTGTCTTATGATATCACATTTTTTTTTGTTTGTTTTTTGTTTTTATTTTTTGAGATGGGGTTTCGCTCTTTTTGCCCAGGCTGGGGTGCAATGGCATGATCACGGCTCACTGCGACTTCTGGCTCCTGGGTTCAAGTGATTCTCCTGTCTCAGCCTCCCAAGTAGCTAGGATTACAGGAGTGCACCACCACGCCCTGCTAATTTTGTATTTTTAGTAGAGATGGGGTTTCGCCATGTTGGCCAGGCTGGTTTCAAACTGCTGACCTCAGGTGATCCACCTGCCTCGGCCTCCCAAAGTACTGAGATTACAGGCGTTCATTCCAGTCACTGATGAGAAGGTAAAAGGTCTGTCTTATGATATCACGCCCGGCCTGATTTCACATATTTTTTAAAAATCTTACAAGTTAACATAAAATGGAAACCTGAGTATTACAAACAACAACAACAACAAAAAGTTCAAAATCACCGTCTACTCTTATCTACTTTAAGACGTAAGGATTAAGCAGAGGATAATTTGCATAAACCTAAAATCGTGATAAATCAGTTTTTTCATGGTAGTTAAATCAAATTGCTATTTTAGCACTTGTTTGAGCCTCTATAAAAAACATAAATTTAAATGCATAAGTCATGTCACAGAGGCCTACCAGCGGGGAAAGGAGGAGCCTGGTGGCCACCTCCTGGTGACCAGCCACCACTCACAAACAGCAAAGGAGATTAAGCTTGGCTCAGGAGGTCCCCGAGCTCTTCTCACTGGAGTCGATCTGCGAGCACACTTGTTACAAAAAGTCATTCCAATCTTGGTCTTTCAGAAATTATAACTTATCCATTGCCAAGGAAAGAAAATAACAAAAGTATGATGATGAGAAAAACAACTGCTGGAAACATTACATGAGAAATAAACACAGAGTTACGACAGCTAAGATGAGGACAAAGAAAACATTACTCTGTCAACACCAAAAATACTCCAAAGATGACACTACTTCTATTTGTCCTTCTATATTCCTCATCTCTTTATCTATCCATGGAAACTTTTTAAACACTTCAATGGAAAACTATGCTTTCAAACCAAGCAGATGTCTAAAGCAGAATTGTCTCACAACCTAGATTATAACAAAATGCAAAGTTCAATACAACTGGAGTAAAAGACAAAAAAGCCTTTGTATAAATAAATCAACTCTCAGATATTGAGAAAAGCACAAACCACACAGTTATTAAAAAGTTCCAATGAAATTACTGTAAAAAAATAACGAGGATAACATGATAGCTAAAATCACCTGAAATTCCTACCTCCAAATCCCTATAAAAAAAGGGCAAAATCTAGGAAATGTGATACTCCCTAAAATTTTTTGCTAACATGTTTTTGCTGATCTCAATCTTTAGACAAAGAAATTGTAAATATAATTTCCTAAGTAACTCAAAGAAGAAAAAGGAAATAGTATTTCCCGATAATAATTCTCTAGGTTTGCATAAATAGACCTACTTGGCACTGAAAGCACTATTAATATTTTGCTTCACTTTGGTCTTTCAAAAACGTCCTTCTACACAGGTTTTTTTGGTTGTTTTTATCACTAATTAAGTTGACTGATATAAACCCTTAGCTGGTTTATTTAAACCTAAATATATTTTAAATTTACTTCAAATCATAGATTCTACTCTAGCCACAATGAATAATTTTCCCCAAATTGAGTTTAACAGCTTAAAATATAATTTGTTAAAAAAAAAAAAGTTTAAGGTATGTAAAAATTTCTGACTTTCACCGTAAATAAGATTTTCATTAGCTCAACAGAAATGTAATAATTATCCCTTAAGTATCTCCACTCCCACACCATCTCCACAGTCATGAACCACCTAGTCCCGTTCTCAAATGTCCTGGTCCCGCCAATAGAATCCCAATCCTTCCTTGTTGTCCCCAACCCTGTGCACCTACACCTGCCATAAATGGTGGAAATTCAACCAGCTCTATGAACGGAAGGGAGGAGGCCCCCCACCCACTCTACAGGAAAACTTGCCCAGATCTACAGGAACCTCCCCACTCACAAGAGGACAGGGCAGCCCAGACTCAGCTGAGAAATGTCAACAGCTGGCACAAATGAATTACAGATTATTTACAATTCACATAACACTGACCCAAGAATATAACCAATTGTCAAGACAAAATAAATTTAGTTGTTCACATACAAATATTCCATTTGTGAATAAATTTCATATTCGTATCTGTATACAGACAGTCTACATGTTCGATAAGTCCTTTATGATCCTACCTGAAAATGCTGGTAGATGCAATATTTTTGCATCAAATTTAACCGATGGTGGTTGTTTCCTTATCTGTGGTTAAAAAAAAAAAAAACTTTTGAGGCAATTTTAAAGATGGATATCTGTCTCCTTATATGTCCCTTATATCAGATAATAAATCAATGAGGACAAAAAAAGAATGTGTAAAATTTGTTACCAAAAACAAAAAGAACGATGCCTTTTCAGATTAAAACATACATATATAGATAATAATTTATTTTTTAAAATCATTTCAATTGATATCTGTAATAAAATAAAGCTTCAAAGAAAAAATTCACCCCATCCTGGCTTACTTTTTAGGTAATTTACGTCTAATTAGAAATTCAGTCTTTCAACAAATATCTATTGCTTACCTGCCAAGGTAAGGCTCTATGTCAAGTGCTAAGGGGGATACAAAGATATAAAAGACACAATCCTATTTTCAGCGAGCTGACTTTCTGGTTGGGAAGATGAGACAAACATTTGATAAACAAGAAAATATTTCACAATTCAAAAGAGGCAGGACATAACTACAGACAAAACCCTGGACAGAAAGAATTTTTTTTGTAAATAGTAGTTTAGAGAATACAGCAAGCACTTTACTTGATATACTTGACACCGGGTTTACGGAAGACGTAGAAGGTGGGTTGCGGTCTTGAAGGATGGCTAGAACTTTATGATTATATCAGAGAAGACACCATTCAAGGAAGCCATAATAGCATGAATTGGAAAGTGCATAATTTATTTGAGAAATGTGAAGAAACCATGTAGTTGGATCCATGAGCTTAGGACAGCCAGATACTGCATCTTGAGACTTTTAATTAAAAATTCAACCATCATTTCTATACCTAACTTCTGCAAAACTTCTATATGTAATATTTTTAAAACCTTTACTAATTAAGTAACCAGCATTACTGTATTTACTGTAGTATTCTTACTAAAATGCATATTCTCATTCTAATCTCATAATCCAAATTCATAATCTCATTCGAGTCATGAGAAACCCTTAGACAAACCTAAATTAAGGGACATTCTTCAAAACACCCAACCAGTTACTCTTCAAAGTGTCAAGGACTTGAGTCATACGTTTTATAACATGTATTACAAAAACATACAAAGGCCAGGTGCCGTGGCTCACGCCTGTAATCCCAGCACTTTGGGAGGCCTAGGCAGGTGGATCATGAGGTCAGGAGTTCAAGACCAGCCTGGCCAACATGGTAAAACCCCATCTCTACTAAAACTACAAAACTTAGCCAGGTGCAGTGGCAGGTGCCTGTAATCCTAGCTACTCATGAGGCTGAGGCAGGAGAATAGCTTGAACCCGGTCGGCAGAGGTTGCAGTGAGCTGAGATCGCGCCACTACACTCCAGCCTGGGTGACAAAAAACAAAACAAAACAAAATAAAAGACAAACTGTCAAGGTCATGAAAGACAAGCAAAGTCTGAGAAATTCTGACAAAACCGTGAAAAACTAGGACAGACTATATGAGACTAAGAAGGCATAACAACTAACTGTAATGTGGGATCCTGGAACAAAAAAAAAGAGGACATTAGAGGCAACCGGTAAAATTCAAATGCATTTGGTAGTTAGCAGCACTATTCTCATGTTTTATTTTTCCCTTTTCAGGAAGAATTCGAAAGGAGCAGTCAGGGTATTGCATGCCATCATTACACAGAGATATGAATCAAGTATCATGCAATTCCAACTACCACATTCTGCTGCCCTCCAAAAGGAGGCACAGGTAAGGATTATCCCGCCTGACTAACACTATACCAATGTTAATTCCCAGGTTTTGCTAACTATACTATAGACCTATAAGATGTGAACATTAAGAGCAGCTGGGCAAAAGCTATACAGGAGTTCTCAACTATTTTTTAATCTTTTCTCTAAAAGTAGTTTAGAATTAAAAGTTAAACACAAAAATTTCCACTGATGAAGGCTTCCCATAAACTATCAAATATGGTTATAAGAGGAAAAAAGGAAACACAGAATATTGTGTAAAGCAAGCTTGTCCAACCCGCAGCCCGTGGGCTGGATGCGGCCCAAGACGGCTTTGAATATGGCCCAACACAAATTCATAAACTCTCTTAAAACATCGTAAGAATTTTTTTGCAATTTTTTTTTATTGGTTTTTTAGTTCATCAGCTATTGTTAGTGTATTTTATGTGTGGCCCAAGACAATTCTTCTTCCAGTGTGGCCCAGGGAAGCCAAAAGACTGGACACCCCTGGGAAAGATATCACAAATTGTTCTAGAAAGCCCATTTTGAAAATGCGCCAATGCACATCAAACTTAGCATAATAAAGTTACACTGCCAGACATATGAACTCACAAAAAGAATTAGCTCCATTATGAAAAACAGCTAAATCATCTATATAAAATGCTGTCTATCTAGAAAATAAACATGAATCCAAAAACCCTTACATTGTTCTAAACCACACTAATGTTCCCAATGAGACAAGAAAAAAACAGTCATGAATTAATACAGAAAAAGATATTTAAAAAAGAAAAAGAAGGCCAGGTGTGGTGGCTCATGCCTGTAATCCCAGCACTTTGAGAGGCCGAGGTGGGTGGATCACAAGGTCAGGAGATCGAGACCATCCTGGCTTACATGGTGAAACCCTGTCTCTACTAAAAATACAAAAAATTAGCAGGGCGTGGTGGCGGGCACCTGTAGTCCCAGCTACTTGGGAGGCTGAGGCAGGAGAATGACATGAACCTGGGAGGCGGAGCTTGCAGTGAGCCAAAATCGCGTCATTGCACTCCAGCCTGTGTGACAGAGCAAGACTCTGTCTCAAAAAAATAAAAAATAAAAGTAAAACTAAAAAAAAGTAAAAGAAGCAGTAAAGTTAAAATAGAGAATAAGTAGTGGAATGTGAGTATGTTGGGGAGCTGGAAGTCAAGACAAAACAGAGGGACTTAGAAATGCATCTGTTTTTTAAAGTAAATACTCATTATCCCCCAGCAATAAAGTATTATATTCCAAAAGACAAGAAGCAAAAAAACTCACAGTGGTTTAGAAGTACATTGTGAACCATGACTCCTCAAGTTCCCATAGTGTCTCCCCACCATCTCCCCTGCAGTATTAACAACCTGTGACAGGGCAGGGCTTCCGTGTGATCTGCCTGCCCAGCCCAGCCTGGTGAGCAGTGCCCTCTGACTGCTTCTGCCTTCAAAACACATCAGAGACTAGAATACTTAGAGTGATTCACATTAGTGCAGATGGAGAAACGATGGGACTGAGAGCTAAGGTCTGAGGTCAAGAGGCTGGCAACCCCTCCGTGGCATGTGGAAGAAAGCAGTAGTGAGAAGCAGAGCTGACTCATTCAAAACAGAGGGGGGAAAACTTAGAACTCCAGTGAAGCGGAAGTGAAGGCAGAGGAAAGGGTTGCAGACAGAGCGGGAGCTGGAAATGCAGACATGCAGCACAAATGAAAGAGTAGCGGACAAGAGAAACAGGAAAGATTAGACAGTAAATAATATTCTGAATGAAAATCTTATGCAGATTTCAGATCTCAGTAAAGTCTACAACTCACTTGTCAGAGTGCTTTCTGCACCTTTGGATTGTCAATAATGGGGGTGACAACAAGATCTGAGTCGTGTAGATAAGCTCTCTCATCTGGGATTCCAGGTCCTGCTGACTCAGGTGTCCACTTGTAATCTGAAATGAGAACAAAAATTTGACTTTGTTTCTGTGACTAATATAGAGCTTTAAAACACTGAACTAATATGATGCTGAGGAAGACACCACTGTAAAATATCACCTATATCAATGTACTTCCACTGCTATTCAAGACACTTGCAGTCTCACTTGATTTTCACAAAAATCCTAAACTGTAGGTACCATAATTTCCATTTTACAGATAAAAATATAAAACTCTGAGAAAGTAACTGAATTGCTCATGTTACCATTAAAACTGGCTAGGACTACAAAAAAGATCTTTACAATTCAACGTTCTAAACTCTGATGAGGCAAACTGCTTTTTCGATTACCAGCATGGTTTTTTTTTGTTTTTTTTTTTTTTTTTAGGGATGGAGTCTCAGTCTGTCACATAGGCTGGAGGGCAGTGGTGCAACCCTGGCTCACTGCAACCTCTGCCTCCTGGGTTCAAGTGATTCTCCTGCCTCAGCCTCCCAAGTAGTGGAATTACGGGTGTGCACCACCATGCCCAGCTAATTTTTTTTTTTTTTTTTTTGAGACAGAGTCTTGCTCTGTCACCAGGCTAGAGTGCAGTGGCGCGATCTCAGCTCACCACAACCTCTGTCTCCTGGGTTAAAGTCATTCTCCTGCCTCAGCCTCTCCAGTAGCTAGGACAAGGTTTCACCATGTTGGCCAGGCTGGTCTCGAACTCCTGGCCTCAGGTGATCCACCTGCCTCGGCCTCCCAAAGTGCTGGGATTATAGGTGTGAGCCACTGCACCCGACCCATGGCTTTATTTTTCATTCATAGAATGCTGATCAATTTATTTCTGCTTTACAGAATATTCAATGTGAAGTTGAAACTGTAACATACAAAAATTTTCAGACTTAAATACAGACCGGTTACCTAAGTGTTAAACCTCAATTATTTATTAAGCCTCATTAGAGATGATACATAATAAAATCAATCACCAGACATTCACCATCAGTTATTCCTTTGAGATGGTTCTTTGTGCTCTATTTAAACATAATTTGTATTCCTAGTGCTATGCCCCAGTATTTCCCATCAGAAAAAAAAAAGGATTTATGCTTAAGAACCTTAAAAGAAACAATGACTAGCAAACTAAATAAAATAGAAAAGTAAATCAGTGAAGTAAGGAAGAAGGAAAATAAATTATCCAAAACTAGTGAGGAAGGGTCATAGATAAAGGAACAGAGTTAGCTAAGAAAATTCCTGGAAACCCAAGGTGCCCCTTGCAACTCAGATGAAAGATATACGAAAACACACAAAGAGGCCGAGGCCGGGCACGGTGGCTCAAGCCTGTAATCCCAGCAATTTGGGAGGCCAAGGCGGGTGGATCACGAGGTCAGGAGTTCAAGACCAGCCTGACCAACATGGTGAAACACTGTCTCTACTAAAAATACAAAAATTAGCTGGGTGTGGTGGCATGTGCCTGTAATCCCAGCTACTCAGGAGGCTGAGGCAGGAGAATCACCTGAACCTGGGAGGCGGAGGTTGCAGTGAGTTGAGATTGTGCCACTGCACCAATTAAAACAATTGTATGCAAAAATTAGTTTCCTATAGGTAAATTGAGTGTAGGCACAAATGCCAAGTTATAACAAATATCCCACTCACAATAGCAAAAATATATAAAACAAAATGTTCAGGAATAAACTAAATGATCAATAATTGCAATGAGATCACGATCATTAAATGAAAATAATCGTTATAAAATTATACTCTCTTGCTTCAAAGTGAACACATTATGTATAAAACCAGAAGTAGTAATATCAAAATGTATGAGATGTATGAGGTTACAGTGAACTATGATGGTGCCACTGCACTCCAGCCTGAGCAACAGGCTCTAAAAAAAAAAAAAAAGGTAATCAGTGTTTACTTGGGAATTACATTGTAAATAATTTTTCTACTGTCTTTGTCCTCTTTTATATTTTACAAGTTTTTTACAATTATATATGTTTTGTAATAGAATAAAAAGTATCATTTAAAAATTATAAAACATAAGGCCAACACAGTGGCTCACACCTGTAATCCCAGCTCTTTGGGAGGCCGAGGCGGGCAGATCACTTGAGTCCAGGAGTTTCAGACCAGCCTGGACAACATGGGGAAACCTCTACTAAAAATACAAAAAATTAGCCATGCATGGTGGCGCACACCTGTAGTCGCAGCTACTCAGGTGGCTGCGATGAGATGAGATAAGCACCTAAGCCCAAGAAGTTGAGGCTGCAATGAGCCATGATCGTGCCACTCCACTCCACCCTGGGTGACAGGAGTGAGGCTCTGTCTCAAAAATAAATAAATACCGAGATATATATGTAAAATAAACTACCTTAGGTATTCACATTATTGATTATATTTTCTCAATAGAATGATTATATATTCCTCTTTATAACCATCTGCCAGAAGAGCTTCAACATCTATCGCATTTCAGAATGAATTTTTTTTTTTTTTTTTTTTTTTTTGAGACGGAGTCTAACTCTGTCGCCCAGGCTGGAGTGCAGTGGTGCGATCTCAGCTCACCGCAACCTCCGCCTCCCAGGTTCACACCATTCTCCTGCCTCAGCCTCTCAAGTAGCTGGGACTACAGGTGCCCACCACCACACCCGGCTAATTTTTTGTATTTTTAGTACAGATGGGCTTTCACTGTGTTAGCCAGGATGGTCTTGATCTCCTGACCTTGTGATCTGCCCTCCTCAGCCTCCCACAGTGCTTGGATTACAGGTGTGAGCCACTGCGCCCGGCCCAGAATAAATTTTTAAATTTACATTGATTTTCTATTTCACATAACCAAAAAATTAGCACAGTCAGATTTTATTATAACCAATTTATACTAAATTTCAAAGCAGAAATAAGCTTCACAAGGTCCAAATACAGTTCACATTACATCAAAACTACAGTTAAAAACTAAAAGCAATTATATTTGTCAACCAATAAGTAGCATAAAAATTACTTAGAATTAATTCAAAGTAGGTCTGCATTCAACACAACTACGATTGAAAGAAATTAAAGGAAGACCTAAATTAGTACAAATACATCCTGTGTTCATGGAGGAAAACTTAATATTGTTAAAATGGCAGTACTTTCTAAGTTGATCTACATATTCAATGCGACTGTGATTAAAATCCCAGCTGGCTCCTTTGCAGAAACTGACAAGCTGATCTTAAAATTCATATGGAAATGCAAGTGACCCGGAACAGCCAAACCCACCTTAAAAAACTTTCTGGAGGATTCATACTTTCTGATTTCAAAGCTTACTAAACAGCTACAGTAATCAAGAGTGTGCTACTGGTATAAGGACAGATGAACAGAGAAAAGAATAGAATCCAGAAATAAACTTTCACATATACAGTCAATTGATCTTCAATAAGCGTTCCAAGACAATTCAATGGGGAAAGAATAAGCTTTTCAACAGATAGTTCTGAGATAACTGGATGTCTAGGTGCAAAACAATGAAGCTATACCCCCCTACTTCATGCCGCATGCAAAAATTAATTCAAATGGATAAAAGAGCTCAATATAAGAGATATTGATAAACTATAAAACTCATAGAAAAAAACATAGGCAGAAACCTTTGTGACCTTGGAGTAGCAACGTTTTTTTAGATATTACACCAAAAGCACAAGGAGCAAAAAAACACAAATGAAAAAAGATAAATTGGACTATATCAAAATTTAAAATCTTTCTGCTTCAAAGGACACCATCAAGAAAGAAAAAAGACAATCCAGAAAAAGGAAGAAAGTTGTTATAACTCCTATCTAGAATATGTAAAAAATTCTTACAGCTAAATAATAAAGAGATACATAACCCAATTAAAAATAAGTTAAATTTTGGAATAAGTATTTCCCCAAAAAAACAGACAAATGGCCAATAAACACATGAAAAGATACTCAACATCATTTGCCATCAGGTAAATGCAAATCAAAACCACTAAGACATAGAAATTCACACCTACTAGCTGGGCGCAGTGGCTCACACATGTAATCCAAATACTTTGGGAGGCGGAGACAGGTGGATCATTTCAGGTCAGGAGTTCGAGACCAGCCTGGCCAACATGGTGAAACCCTGTCTCTACTAAAAATACAAAAATTAGCCAGCTGGTAGTGGTGCATGCCTATAATCCCAGCTACTCGGAAGGCTGAGGCAGAAGAATTGCTTGAGCCTGGGAGATGGAGGTTGCAGTGAGCCAAGATCATGCCACTGCACTCCAGACTGGGCGACAGAGTCAGACCCTGTCTCAATCAATCACTCAATCAATGGAATTTCACACCTGCTAGATGCGAAATAGGATGGCGATCATGAGAAAGACAGGCAATGCAAAACTATTCACAATAGCCAATAGGTGGATGCAACCCAAGTATTCATCAACAGAGGAAAAGATAAAAAGGCATATTAAATACATACAAGGGAATATTATTCAGCCTTAAAAACAAATGAAATTCTGGCACATGCTACAACATGGATGAACGTTAAAGACATTATGCTAAGTGAAATAAGCCAGGCACAAAAGGACAACTACTATATGAGACCACTTATGCCAGCAGTCCCCAAACTTTTTGGCATCAGGAGCCAGTTTTGCAGAAGACAATTTTTCCACAGACAAGGTTGGGGGAGATGATTTTGGGATGATTCAAGGACATTACATTTATTGTGCATTTTATTTCTATTATTATTACATTGTAACATATAATGAAATAATTGTACAACTCACTATAATATAGAATCAGGGCTGGGCACGGTGGCTCACGCCTGTAATCCCAGCACTTTGGGAGGCCAAGGTGGCCAGATCATGAGGTCAGGAGATCGAGACCATCCTGGCTAACACGGTGAAACCCCGTCTCTACTAAAAAATACAAAAAATTGTTGGGGCGTGGTGGCTGGCGCCTGTAGTCCCAGCTACTCAGGAGGCTGAGGCAGGAGAATGGCGTGAACCTGGGAGGCGGAGCTTGCAGTGAGCCCAGATTGCACCACTGCACTCCAGCCTGGGTAACAGAGCGAGACTCCCTCTCAAAAAAAAAAAATAAAAAATAAATAAATAAATAAATAAATAAATAAATAAATAAAAAATAAAAAAACTACAAATGATAAGCAACATAGAATAGATATGTAAGGAAAGGCTTTAAAAAGGAAAATAAGATCAATATAAACTAAGAAAAAATTATTACAGAACAAAGAGATTCTAGGGAGAAGACAAAAGAGTATCAAAATCACTTCGTAAAGATACTTGTGAATATATTACATGTATAAAACAAAACAGAGGGCGGGCGCGGTGGCTGACGCCTGTAATCCCAGCACTTTGGGAGGCTGAGGCGGGTGGATCATGAGGTCAGGAGATCAAGACCATGCTGGCTAACATGGTGAAACCGCGTCTCTACTAAAAAATCCGTCTCTACTAAAAACACAAAAGTTAGCCAGGCGTGGTGGCGGGCGCCTGTAATCTCAGCTACTCGGGAGGCTGACGCAGGAGAATCGCTTTAACCAGTGGACTGTCAAGAGAGGTAGGCTGCAGTAAGCCGAGATCGCGCCACTGCACTCCAGCCTGGGCGACAGAGTGAGTGAGACTCTGTCTCAACAAAAAGAAAAAAAGAAAGAAAACTTTTTTTTGAGAGAGAGAGAGAGAGAAGTCTCGCTCTTCTCCCCCAGGTTTGAGTGCAATGGCTCGATCTCAGCTCACTGTAACCTCCGCCTCCCGGGTTCAAACGATTCTCCTGCCTCTGCCTCCCAAATAGCTGGGATTAAGTCGCCTGCCAACACGACCGGCTAATTTTTCTATTTTTTAGTAGAGATGGGTTTCACCATGTTGGCCAGGCTGGTCTCCAACTCATGACCTCAAGTGATCAGCCCGGTTGGCCTCCCAAAATGCTGGGATTACAGGCGTGAGCCACTACGCCCGGCCAAAAAACCGAAAATCTTAAAGGCCTTTCCCCTTCCCCGCCTGGGCTCCAACAACGCGGGAGCCGCCCTGCCCCGCCCTGTCGCGGTCCCTAGAGCAGGTGGGCTGACTGAGGGCGACCATGGGTCCCAAGAGAGCTCCCGCAGCCGCGGGCTCCCACCTCGAGGCGCAGCGACAGGGGCCGAGAGGGGCCAGCAGCCCCCAAGCCAGCCCCGCGCTAGGAGTTGGAGAGACGCGCCCTCCGCCTTCTCCCACCCAAGCCTCTGCCTTGCCGGGCGGGCCAGTTGCGGGAGAAAGGGGCGGGGAACCGCGGCCTCTCTGGGGCAGCTTCCCCTTTCTCCTGGGACTCTGGGCACCCGCTTTCCGCCCTCGCCCTGCCCCGCCAGGCCGCCACCCGGCGACTCACCTTAATGTTGCGGTGGGGCGTGAGCCGCGGCTGTGGCTCCTGGTTCTCCTGGAAGATAGAGGCCAGTAACTTCGGTTTGCCCTTGAACCCGGACATGGACATCTTCCCCTCACCTCCGGCGGGAGGGGCGCGGAAAAGGAGCCAGTCCCGAGCCGCTGTCATGGCCGCGACCACCAGGCGGGGCCCCCGGCCGAGCTCTCGCGGCTCCACCTCTCCCCGCCGCCGTGACCCTCGTGGGAGCGCGGCTGGAAAATGGCAAGGGGCACCGAGGACTTGGCGGGAGCTATGTGGCGGCCTGCGGGGCTGCTCCCTTTATAACCGACTCCACCGACAGGAGGCGCGGCTCCCGTCAAGCCGCAGTTTAAAAGGGCAACAGCACCACTGCCCCCGCTACCGCCTGGGAAAGGGCTGCCCCTACCCCGCCCCGGTCCTCGTCGCCCCTCACCTCTTACCCCTCACCCCTCACCCCTCAACCCGGCGCGCCCCGCGCGCACCCGGCGTGCCCGCGCTACCGGCTGCCCCCTCCTCTCTTGACCCAGCACCTTTCTGCCCGACCGATCTGGTCCCTTCCTCACACTCGCGACTGGACGGCACAACAACCAACTCTGTGTGTGTGTGTGTGTGTGTGTGTGTGTGTGTGTGTGTGTCTATGTGTGTGTGTGTGTGTCCCTGTCCCAAGGGGGCGTGGCTCACGCCTGTAATCCCACCACTTTGGGAGGCTAAGGCGGGTGGATCAGGAGGTCAGGAGATAAGACTATCCTGGCTAACACGGTAAAACCCCGTCTCTACGGAAAAAATACAAAAAATTAGCAGGGCGTGGTGGCGGACGCCTGTAGTCCCAGCTACTTGGGAGGCTGAGGGAGGAGAATGGCGTGAAACCGGGAGGCAGAGCTTGCAGTGAGCTGAGAGCGCGCCACTGCACTCCAGCCTGGGCGACAGACCAAGACTCCATATAAAAAAAGAAAAGAAAAAAAACCTCAAAGGATCACTAGTGGTCAGCAACTGTGTGCAAATAAATAGGAAAACCTACCAAAAATGGATAAATTTCCAGACACATCTAACCTACCAAGATTGAACCATGATGAAACCCAAAACCTGAACAAACCAATAACAAATAATGGGATCAAAGTGGTAATAAAAAGTCTCCCAGCAAAGAAAAGCCTGGGACCTGATGATTCACTGCTGAATTCTAGCAAACATTTAAAGAAGAACTAATACCAACCTTACCCAAACGATTCCAAAAATAGAGAAGGAGGGAATACTTGCAAACTCATTCTACAGGGCTAGCATTACCCTGATAACAAAATCAAACACACAGACCAAAAAAGAAAACTACAGGCCAATATCACTGATGAATATTGATGCAAAAATCCTCAATAAAATATTAGCTAACTGAATTCCACAACACATTAAAGTTGGGGTGCAGTGTCCCAGGTTCACTCAACCCTTCCCGTTTTCCTCTCTGTGTGTGTCTACTTTGCCGTGTTCCCTGGTGGCGGCGGCGGTGGCAGTGTTGGTGCATGGGCCTCCCAGGACAAGGGGAAAGTGAGTATGCCCCTTTCTTGCCCCCTGCCAGGCGTCTGCAGCCTGGCACAAGCTCTGGCCAGGTCTCCAACAGGGGACCTGGAGATGTTTTTTTCCAGTTTCTGGATTGGTAACTTGAGGCAGATTCTGGGCACTAGAGTCAGAACTAAGAGGAGACTGAATCAGGGGAGTCTGGGGTCCTGAGAGGCAGATACCTGAAACCGTCTAGAGCGTGTGGGGAGCTCGGTGCATGTTCACGCCAGTTGTTTTTCTCTGTGCCTCAATGTTCCAGGTACCCTTGGAGGTGCTGAGATCCTAGGGATTCCTGGAGCCTGGCTGCATGGCCTGGCCACCCTGATGCCACTGTGTTCTCCATGACAGGACAGCAAGGCTGAGGAGAATGGCTCCGACAGCTTCATGCACTCCATGGACCCATAGCTGGAGCGGCAAATGGAAACCACCCAGAACCTTGTGGACTCCTACATGGCCATTGTCAACAAGACCGTGTGGGACCTCATGGTTGGTGTCATGCCCAAGACCATCATGCACGTCATGATCAACAACGTGCATGCACCGCCTCATAGGGGCAGGGGGCTCCTGTAGCACTGGGGATGCAGGTGGCCATGTTGGCCTGGGGGAGATGCTGACCAGCCCTATGGGACCAAGGTCCAGGGAGGGAGGCACAGTCCAGACCAGAGCTGTCTCATAGAAATATAACGTGGGACTGGGGACAGTGGCCCATGTCTGTAATCCCAGCACTTTGGGAGGCCAAGGCAAGAGGATAGCTTGAGCCCAGGAGTTCGAGACCAGCTTGGGCAACATAGTGAGACCTGATCTCTACACTAAAATTTTAAAAATAGCTGGGCTTGGTGGTGGCACGTACCTATAGTCCTAGCTACTCGACAGGCTGACATTGGAGGATCACTTTGAGCCCAAGAAGTTGAGGCTACAGTGAGTGGTGATCTCGCCCACTGTCCTCCAGCCTAGCGACAGAGCAAGATCCTATCTCCAAAAAACATTTTTAAGAAACTGAGTAGACCGGTGTCCTGGTGGCATGATAGGTCCTGGGTCCCCTCCCAGATGTGTGACCTTGGACAGGTGACTTTTCCTTTGGACCTCAGTGTCCCTATCTGAGTGAGAAAAGGGCGGTGGGGAGGCAGATCTTTGAGTCTAAGCGGTGTAGAAGCCGCGTCTGAAAAGCCATACTCAGGGCTCCAAGTCCAGCACACAGTCCCAGCAGGGCCCGGCAGGAGGCCAGGGCAGCAAAGGCATCAGGTCCCAACCTCCTTCCCTCTTTGCCCGCTCTCAGACCAAGGAGTTCATCTTCTCGGAGCTGCTGTCCAACCTGTACTCACGTGGGGACCAGAAAACGCTGATGGAAGAGTCGGCAGAGCAGGCACAGTGGCGCGACGAGATGCTGCGCATGTACCACGTGCTGAAGGAGGCACTCGGCATCATCGGCGACATCAACACGACCACCATCAGCACGCACATGGGGGCCCGTGGACAACTCCTGCCTGCAGGTGCAGAGCGTCCTTGCCGGATGCAGGTACCAAGGCTGGCTCCCACGGCCCCAAAGCCCCCCAGCCCCCATGGCTGAGCCTGGGGACTCTTGGAACAGGCTCCGTGCCCACGCTGGTAGACATGGGTGCTCCCTGGAGCCGTCACAGAGCTCGTGGTTTATGGTGTAAGGGCTGAGAGCTTAGAGGGGGTGGTGTGTGGGGCTGTACTCTGAGGCGGCCAGAGTCCTAGGATAGTCCTCCTGTGCACACCGCACCTGTTGGGCAGTCTGAGTCATGCTGCCAGGGCAGGGCATCCAGCTCCCAGCCTGGGAGTGCTGAGAGCCAAATCCACTGCAGAGCAGGGGTGATAGTCAGAGTCCCACCTCCTCTATCTGTCGGCAATGCAGTGGTGAGATAGGATAAAACCTTGAGAGTCCCATACACACGGTCAACCCACAACACACCTCACAGGCCAGGCAGGAAACACAGGCCCCTTCCCTCCCTCCCAGGTACCATCATAGCTGCTAGCGTGTGACTGAAGGCAGGGTCCCTGGCCCCCGCTGAAGCACTATTGCTGGCCAGCAGGCTCACGCACCTTGGAGTGTTGCTCCTAGAGGTCACCTCTGCTATTCAGCCAAGGGGACCACAGTGCCTGCTGGCCCAGCTGACCTCCGCCCCACAAGCCCACCCACCTCCCCTGCCATAGACTCTCCCTCTTCTGCTTTTCCCAGCAGGAAGGGCCCAGCCTCACCTATCCGACCTGCAACCCCCAACAAGCTGAGGCTCCCCTCTTAGACTTATAAGTCTATAGCCAGTGGCATCCAGCTGCATGCCCTCCTTTCCTCCCCCAGGGACCCTTCAAGGGTTCCTGGGCTTTCTGACCCCCCAGAGGGGGCTCCGGCGATCACTCCACCCATCCATCCCTTTTAGCTTCATCATCCTGGTTCAAGCAGTGTTTCTTCTCTATCAGGCCTGGTGGCTGTTGTTTTGGGCTCCCCAAGGCGAGAGGTGGCCCTGGACAAGTGGGTTGGAAGACACGGTGCCCAGAGAAGAGGGAAGCCCAAAGGGGCTGAGCATCAGTCTTAACAGTGGGTGCACTGGGTGCCGTGGAAGAGGCCAGCACGTGTGGGGTGGGGAGGGCTGCCACAGCCCCCAGGCACTACCTGTGAAACTCCGGCTCCTCCCTCTGTCTTCCTCCCCTTTCCCTTCCAGCCCCTCTTTTCCAGGAACCTTGCCACACCCGCACGTGCACCCTTTACTCCTTGGCCCTCCCACAGCTGCTGTGGCACACCTGTGCTCTGCACTTGCCTCACCAGCTCTCTGCTCGCTTTTTTTTTATTATTATTATTATACTTTAAGTTTTAGGGTACATGTGACAATGTGCAGGTTAGTTACATATGTATACATGTGCCATGCTGGTGCGCTGCACCCACTAAATCGTCATCTAGCATTGGGTATATCTCCCAATGCTATCCCTCCCCCCTCCCCCCACCCCACAACAGTCCCCAGAGTGTGATGTTCCCCTTCCTGTGTCCATGTGTTCTCATTGTTCAATTCCCACCTATGAGTGAGAATATGCGGTGTTTGGTTTTTTGTTCTTGCGATAGTTAACTGAGAATGATGATTTCCAATTTCATCCATGTCCCTGCAAAGGACATGAACTCATCATTTTTTATGGCTGCATAGTATTCCATGGTGTATATGTGCCACATTTTCTTAATCCAGTCTATCATTGTTGGACATTTGGGTTGGTTCCAAGTCTTTGCTATTGTGAATAATGCCGCAATAAACATACGTGTGCATGTGTCTTTATAGCAGCATGATTTATAGTCCTTTGGGTACATACCCAGTAATGGGATGGCTGGGTCAAATGGTATTTCTAGTTCTAGATCCCTGAGGAATCGCCACACTGACTTCCACAATGGTTGAACTAGTTTACAGTCCCACCAACAGTGTAAAAGTGTTCCTATTTCTCCACATCCTCTCCAGCACCTGTTGTTTCCTGACTTTTTAATGATTGCCATTCTAACTGGTGTGAGATGATATGCTCGCTTTTCTCTCTCCTGTCTTCTCTCTGCTTTCTCTCCAACTGCCAGCCAATCGGCTCAGGCAAGTCCATCCCATCCTGAGAGCCCCAGGCCCCCCTTTGACCTCTAAACAGATTCCTCCTCTTCTCAGAGACTTCCCTTTCCAAGCCTGCCTGGGCGGCTGTTCTGTGACTTGGCAGTGGCTCCCCCAGCCCCAAAGGCAGCCCCCTTCATCTGTGACTTCGTCTATTGTTGCGGTGAGCTGACACATCCAGGTGTGACCGTTGCTGAAAACTTGTGCCCCCCTCTGTGGTATGCCCCTGCCCTGTTCTAGAAATATCTACAAATACCCATATACATACACACACACACACACACACACACACACACACACACACACCTACATGTGGCCAACCGCCTCGCCTCTAGCGCTGGGAATCAGTCACCGTGCTGTCCTTTTGGAGTCTTGTGGCCAAACAAGAGAAAGCTAACCCCTGACATTGCCCCTCCAAAGTGCGCTACCTTCAGTGAGCCTCCCTGTCACGCCCAGCCTATGGAGAGACACACCCCGCCATCCCTCCCGCCCCCCCCCCCCCCACCAAGCATGGGAGTGCTGTGCAGGCAGCTGTGTGGCCTGACAGTCTCTACCAGTCCTGCTGTCCCTTGGCTGAGAATCAAACCCGCTTCTGGATGGCGGGGAAGTGTGTCCTCTGCTGGCTGTGTTCTCTGTGGAGCTCAGGGGAGGGGAAAGGCCAAGCCATTTCTAGGGTGCTGTTGGGAGCAGTGAAAAGGCCATGCCCTTTCCAAGGGACACTTTTCCTGGAAAGCCCCTGGAGCTTAGCGGGCTCTTATCCTGTGAAGCCGGCTCTGGCCACCAGGGGGCAGGGCCATGAACTCAGCCCAGAGGGAGCCTGCAGGGCAGCCGGCACTCTGGAGGCACAGACAGAACAGGCCACCAGGTGCAGACAGGAGAGGGAGACAAGGGGATAGAACGGAAGATGCCGGGGCTGGGTGGAAGTCAGTGCCCTTAGGTGCTGGTACCTGTCTTCCCGGCCACCGCTAGATCAGGCTTCTGAGCCTGTTGGCTGTCAGGGCCAGACTGCGCCCCATAGACTACATGGCAGTCCCCTTGGAATCCCCCAGGCGCCACCAGGCAGCATACAGGTAACACGCCTGGAAGGTCCCCAACAGCCTAGCTGGACATGCTCAAGACACTCTGGGACTCCTTGTTTGGTGGCACAAACTCCAGGACCCAGTGAGGGAAACGGAAACACACCAGGCCGAGCAGTATGGCTAAATCCATTTATTCCAAAATAAAAAGCAAAATAAACAGGAGTCGCATCACCAGGGAGCCATGACCCCATCCCCGCCTCCTTCCTCTGTCCTATGCTAGCAATAAATAAGTTTCCCAGCCACAAATAATTATTACAACCTCCTCCCCATGTGCCGGCTCCAACCTCAGCTAGGTATGACACAGGGGTGGCCCTACCCTCTGGAATATACAAAACCTTACACAGACACAATGTGTACACCGGGGAACGGGGGCCACCCCAGCAGCCCGTGCCCTCGCCTGGTCCACAGTTAGCCCCACTGTCCTGCCTCTCTGAATAAGAAGGGAGCCCCCCTGAGGGAAAAGTTGCTATGGTGAGAGTAAGGGGGACATCAGGCCTCCTCCAAACAAACCAACTCCACCAGCCTCTGGCTCTTAAATAACAATCATCATCATCCAGAAATTTAGGGACTCAGCCCTGGTCAGGGTGGCAAAGGGTCTGTTTGTCTTTCCCCATTAGACAGAGGTCTTGTCCTGCTACCCTAATTGTAAAGGGGTGCCTGGGAAGGGGTGGTAGGGACATGGTGGCGGTGGAGACCCCAGCCCCACTTCTCCAGGCTTTGCTGACAGGGGCCTGCTTTTAATTTTTATTTTTATTCCATGACTTTTTAAAAAAGAATCCCGTAACTTCTTTTTCATAACTTTTTTGGTAACTTTTCATAATACTGTTTTCTACTTTGTTCCCACAAGTTTTTTTGCCACAACGTTTTTACATTTTTTATCCCATAACTTTTTCACCCCATAACTTTTTTAATCCCATAACTTTTAAAATCTTGTGTTCTTTTAAGAAACACTTGCATAGTTATATTACAACTTTGTAAAAATGAAACACATTATCTCATGCCAAGCATGCCCAGCATTTGCACAGTATCAATACCTTTAATACTATAGTTTTCAAGAAACGCAAAATAAAATTTTAAGACAAAAACAACACATTGAAACAACTTAATAATTTATTACATTACAGTGGCATCACACCAGCAGTCAATAAGGCCACTCTAGGGAAAAATCTTTCAGTATTTCCACGACACATTCTCTTTACAATAATTCATAAACTGGTAAAATTCATTCTAAGAAAACTTGGCAAATAAAACTTTGGACTGGAATTGGCATTTCTTTCTCTGCTTTTCGTTCCCACCATTTCTTTCTTTTATACTACAGTATTCATATTTTAAAATGTTTTAAATTATTTCAGAACATTAAGATAGCAGTTACATTTTTTAATAGTTATATTATTTTAAAATGACTCTTTAAAATAAAGTTTTAGAGAAACTATATTATGGATAGGGCTGATTTACATTTTCAAATTTTCTAAAATCAGCTTTGGTTTTAGAGCTGATTTTTTTTTTTCATTTCTGGAAAATTATCAGGTTGAATCAAATACTTTTAAAATGATTATTATATATTGCCATCTTTAAATAGGTGTTTTGATTCTTCCTACAGACATTAAAATGTATTCAGTGGAACTCACAGTTTAAAATTCTATGTTTCTGATGAACTCTAACATTCCAATGTTGCCTTCTAAGCAAACTGAAAGCTGCCTTATACTGAATGAGGAAGAGCACAAATACTCGGCTGAATGAGGTATCGCAAAAGACTGCATGCACTTTGGAGAAAGACTTGAGTTATTGTCATACAATTTCCATTCTTTTTAACTTTTTCTTAAATATATGACAAATACCTACACAAAGAGTGGTATTTCAGTCAATATAGTAAATTTATTTTCCAGACTGACCTTCAGCTTAAATATGCCAGTGTGTGATTTAATCCATAGGCACCTCATGAACACATTATTGTCAGATTGGTTACAGATGCTAAACGCTATCCGAAGGTCATTCCTAGTCACTGATATTTATCAGGGTAAAAGTGAAGTGATTTCAACGATAAAAGTACCTTTGCAATAATTTATCAATGTATTAGATAAACCCAGTTTCAGAATGATAAAAGAAAAAACGTTAGACCAAATAATGTGGCTGATTAACAGTGGTCCGATTTCTAGCCCGAGGGTTTAAAATGCTCTTAAAGTAACTGTCTTTAAACTGAACTCAAAGAATGCAAAAGCGGCAAGTTCAGAAAATAAAAGGCGAGAACAGGACTTTAAGTGCATTTTAAACCCACGGGCTACAAATCGTACCACTGTTAATTAGCTGCATTATTTGGTCTAAATTTTTTCTTTATCATTCTGAAACTGGGTTTATCTAATACATTGATACATTCATAAAATTTGGAAGAGTCAGTGGAAGTCACAAGGACCGAATATTTGCACTCTTTCAGTGAATGCCAGCAAATCTGTTATTCCATCGGTAAAATCGTATTGTTGCTCTCCTGTTAATGTCATATTTATAGAAGTATCATGAGGATGCCAAATGCTAAAAATGGAGATGATCTAGTAACTAGAAATCCCCACCGCAGGGAGCACACACACCTATCTCCCTGCATCCTAACAATGTGATGTGTTTTGGAACACAGACATTAGAACTTCATGAAGTTTTAACTGTTGAGTCTTTCCCAAGCATCATCAAGTTATGATTTAGGCAATATATAACTGAAATGTATTCATTCATCATGCATAGGCACAATCACATAAATATTGCACAAAATATGTCCCGAACAGAAACCCAGAGGTACAAAAACATATTTCACTTTGTAAAGAAGTCTGTGAGAAAATATAACTCTGTGATTGTATAGACACGTTTCCTGATAATACATTGACATTCACGAACAGTAGATTGCACTGCAGTTTGTACACATTTTAAGTTTCATAAACTTCTCCTTGATTTTCAAAGAGAGTACAATACCGTCTACTAAAACTCCTTTTTGTTTCAACTAAGTATCTCACATATATTAGTTTATAATAATGTTTCTATTATTTTTTAAAGTGTTTTCCATTCAAAGAAAAAGAAGTAAATTCCTATGTCAGAGTAACCAAGGTGGTTGAAGAATAGGTATTAGCCAAAGAGGTCTAGATGGTAAAATCAATCTTCAAGCCTCAAAGAATCTCCGTGAACAGAGAGGAATGCCAGGTGTCACACAGCTTTCCTTCACTCTAATTCATTCTTGACTAGAGCCTGTATGCCTGTTCCAGGAACGTTTGAACTCATAAAGGATTTCTTATGATCTTCACTAAATACATTAAGAAGAATGCCAACCAGTGCCCTTTTGTGTACTGGGACATGTAGTCATGTGATTAAAACAGGTAACATGAACTCTGACTTTAAAATGTATTGTAGATACAAATGCTCTAAGCTAGGAAAGGTTTCCCACATCCACAGTCAATGATGGGAACCTTTCATTCCTCAGAAATAAGCCCTTTTTAGGTCATCGAAAAAGAGTACAACTGCTGCAGCTCATGATGCAGTATCTTCATGAGCCCAGAGCACATACAAATCCTAAGGGAACCACCATAATACACTGCTAATTCCGGGCACCGGAACAGATGAAACACACTCTATCCTGCACGTACCTGCCAGAGGAGGCCACTTTCCTCTTCTGTGAGATTTAAAAAGCTCCCCCAAAAGGTTATCACTCCCATCACCAACACACAGAAAATGGAGGAAAGGCTGTTTCCAGTTCTTGGCCTTTAAACAACTCTAAATGTCAGTACTCATAGTGGCATATTACAAAGTAATAAACAGTGCACACTTGGGGGCAAACTACATATTGAGCTAATGAAGAGCTCACTGTGATTAAGATTAGATCAAACAACAGCAGAACATAGGCAAATTTTGTCTGAATTCTGTAGTGAATATACATGCTGCAATAACATTAAAAAAGCATGGCAGCCTATTCCAAACCAAAGAGAACAGTTTTGGGCAAAGAGTGGGTCTTTGTGTGTTTGAACTCCCACCACGTAAGGGCAAACTCGATATGCACGCTAATGACCTACAATTATGAAATTAAAAAAGAAAAATGCTAAAGGATGCCAGAGTGAACATCAGTGAGAGCCACAGACACCCACTCTCTTTTAACTTTTTACAAATAAACTTAAAACTATAAATTAGAAAAACAAATAATCATGAGTGACTCTAACATTCAAAGGAAGTAAATGAATTGTGTAGGAGATTAACCCCATAACTTGGTTTCTTATTTAAAAATTTCTTGAGCAGCTCTTTGAGGATGGTGATGTTTATCTCCTTCTTCTTGGCAGCCAAGCCCAGCACAAGAATGGCACACAGCAGTTGCTGCCCAAGCCTGGGTGCTCCTGGTGGTCCTGCACGATCGGCTGTGCAGTAGGCTTGTCAAGGAGAGGATCCTCCCTGGCCTCTCCTTGGGCAGAGGAGGTGAGGCTCACCTCACAAAGATCTTTGGAGAGAGGGAGGCAGGGATCTGAGCACAGTGGGAGCCCCCTCTTCCTGCCTGCCCACCCCACCTGAGGGCTCTACTCACGACCATGCTTGTCTGCAGCCCCAAGCTCCTGGGGGGCTGGGGCTCCTGGACCGGGCTCATCAGCAGAGTTGTGGGCAGCGGCCAGGAATTTTCTGTGCCCATTGTTGTAGTTGCTGTAAGCCGCAATACCATCTGCTGCAGCTCCAGCAGCTTCACCTGGAGGGAGGGGTGCTCAGCTGCCATGCCGCTGCCTGCGCCCACCCTCACACCCACCCCCACCCCCACCCCCACAGAAATGTTGCACACCCTACCTTCATCTCCTCCCTGAGCTCCAGCCTGATGGTGTCCTCCTCCCAGTGCCGCATCTTTGGCACGGCCCCCTGGTTCTGATAAAAGGTGATGGGTTTTCCTGCGGGAGGACAGGGCTCAGACGCTGGGGCCCCTCCGACGGCCCTGTAGCTCCCCCTGCCGTGCCCTGGCCTCCCACTCACTGATGGCATCTCTCTCGCCAGTGGTGGATGAAGCAGAGTTCTTTTTTCTTCACCAGCTCACTCAGGTCTGCCTTCTCCTCCAGGTGGTCCATAAAGCTGCTCTGGAGCCAAAATATTGCAGTCACATCTCGGCAGCGACCTGCCCTCAGGTGGCATTTTCAAGTCATGGAGAAGGTGGAGGTGAGTCCTGGCATGGGCCAGCTTCTCCGTGACTTCCTGCAGGGCCCAGTGGGTCTCCCCACTCACAGACTCGCCCCCAGGCCCTGGGGCTCCAGGGCCTCTGGCTGCCTCTGGCTCCTTCTGGGCCGAGGCCACCGGGTGAGCCAGGCGCTGGCAGGACACCCTCTGCTCTTTCACCTGCTCTTGTAACTGTGCCTGCTTCTCCTGGGCACTAGCTCCAGCGGACTTGAAAAATGCCACCTGAGGGCAAGATGTGAGCATTCTTCTAGGGGCATACACAGAAGAAATGGGGCAGAGAGGTGGAGCGCAACCCCTTCCCTTGGGGCCTCAGAGAGTGCACCTGTTGGCCACAGGTGAAATGGTGTCTGACCACTGGCTCTCGGAAGGGGTGAGGGTCCAGAGAAATCAGAAGGCAGGGAAACGAAGAGCATAAAGGGGTCTTGGAGGGACCACAGAGAAAGGTGGCAAAATGGGTGCAGGGGGAGTCAGGCTCACCATGGCCTCCCTGCTCTCCGGGTCCTCTGGGACACTCGGCATGGGCCGAGGTGCCTCCTCCCCCTCACTGTCCAGATGTTCTCCTCCGTGTCCTGTGGGGGGTGGTCAGACGGGTCTTCAGACAACCCAACAAGGGAGGTACTGTGGGCCCACCTCTACCTCCACCCTCACTGTGTAACCCTGAGCCTGCCCCTCCCCAGAGAGGAATGAGCTGTTGTTCTTTATTTTTACTTTTAAGAATCAAGATCTTGCTATTCCGCCCAGGCACACTCCCACTACTGGTCGATGTGGGAGTTCTGACCTGCTCCCTTTCTGACCTTGGCCAGTTCAGCCATCCTTAGGCAACTTGGTGACCCCCCGCTCACAGGAGGTCACCACACTGATGCCGAACTTAGTGCAGGCACCCGGTCGGCATAATGACCAGCTGTTCTAAAGGTCTCTTCCAACTCCTCAATCCTATGCTGCTAGCAGTCCCCCCTTCCTCCTGGGGCTCTCTCCTCTTCCTCTGAGCAGTCTCCCGTACCTTCCCCAGGGAGAGCCATGAGGCTCAGCTGGGCCGTTAGCTGCTGGTTCTGCTGGCTGGCAGCTTCCAGGTGCTCCTAAGGGGCCAGGACAGAGTGAGAAGGGGTGGAGTTTGCCAGGTCATCCCCCTCACAGCCCCATCCTCGGCAGCTCCCTCCCCTGGGTCTCCTGCAACTTTTGGCAGGCCATCTCAGCCACCGCTTTGCCCCAAGCTTCCTGCTGCTGCAGCTGGTTCATTAGCTGGGTCTGCTGCAGTCACTGCCTGTACAGCGCCTCCTTCTCACAGGTCAGCTGCTGATAGGCGGCCACCTGCTGCTGATAGGTGGCCACGTACTGCTGCAGGTGACCCAGGTAATGGTCTGGCTGCTGCTGCAGACTCTGAGCCTCTTGGCTCTTCAGCTCCACCTGCAGGAAGACCCTGGGTGTGAGGGCACGTGGTGGCTGGTTTCCAGATTCTGGGCCCATTAATAGGGTAGCGAGGGCACTGTGGGGCTCTGTCAGCTGCCCAGGCCCCTGTCCCCTTACTCCAGGCCTAAGTGACTGCCTCCCTTTCCTAGAACCCCATGCCTCCTTCCCCAGCCTCAAATCTCATACCCTCTTCTCATTTAATCCTCAGCACCTCTGTAAGGAAAATGCTAACTTCCCTTTGAAGTTAAAGAAACAGAGACTTAGAGATGCAAAGTACTTGAATGGTGACCAGTGGAACCGAGGCTGGAATCCAGTTTCAATCTAAGGAGTCTTTTTGTTTTGTTTTCAGACAAGAGTGTCACTCTGTGGCCCAGGCTGGAGTGCAGTGGTGCAATCTCAGCTCACTGCAACCTCCACCTCCTGGGTTGAAGCAATTCTCGTGCCTCAGCCTCCCGAGTAGGTGGAATTACAGGCATGCGCCACAATGTCCTGCTAATTTTTTTTTTTTTTTTTTTTTGTAATTTTAGTAGAGATGAGGTTTTACCACATTGGCCAGGCTGATCTCAAACTCCCGACCTCAAGTGATTCTCCTGCCTCAGCCTCCCAAAGTGCTGGGATTATAGGCATGAGCCACTGCACCTGGTATAAGGAGCCTGTTATAGCACTGTCTCTTCCCCTGTGATTGGGGGCTCCATGCCTCTAGCTGGGATGATGATGTCCAGACCTTAGAGGAGCCCAGGGCTACCCACCTTTAAAAGTCAGAGGCAGGAAGCAAGAAACAGTCACAGGACTGCCCTGGGGGGTGCTGTGGTCACCAGCCCCCAGGCTGGAAGCTGCCTCTGGCCTGGCACCTCCCCTCCCAAGAGGCTGCTGCCCGCCTCCCAGCCCTTCTTGGATGGGGTGGAGGTTTCCGTCTCCTTCACCTCGCCAAGCTTCTCCTGTAGCTCCTTTACTTGCTGCTCCAACTGCAGTGCGTTCTTGTTCTCATTGTTCTGGACAGAGAGAAGCAATCAGCAGCCACCCACTGCAGCTGGAGACCCCAGAACTTGGTGTCTGCCTCCCATGGCACTGGGAAGGCTGGAGGCAGGTTAGAAAAATCACCCCCTCTCTCCCACAGCCACCTGGCTCACAGGTGCCTTTAGAAGTAACATTTCATGTGAGGGCTACACTGCCCCATTTTAGAGGTGGGGAAACAAAGGCCCGGAGGTCTAGGGAGGAGGGCAAGCTCCCCAGTTTGGGCAACGCACCGGCTCCTTGAAGACGCTCTGTGGCTTGGCCAGCTGCTGAAGGCTCTTGTGCTGCTCCTGAATCCTCTCCTCCTGCTTCCGAAGCCTCTCTTCCTGCTCCCGAATCCTCTCTTCTTGTCGCTGGTTCAGGAGACTTATGCGCTGATTGTTTTTGACCTGGGCCTGGAGCTCTCCTGCCACTCTCTCTAGTTCCTTCCTCAGGTGCTGCAGCTCCACCTCAGAGGGCACTGCTGGGGGCTCCGGGGGCAAGGGTTCAGCTGACAAAGGAAGCAGATAATAAGGGCCTCTGGATTCTCGGAAAAGAAAAACCCTCCTCTTGGCGCACAGCTCCTCTCAGGCTCCTCAAACTTGGCCTCACTGCTAATGATTCCTCGCACCCAGATGGTAGCCAGTCTTCCAAAGCACTTTCAGAGAAAGAGCACTGCGGGTGGCTGACAATGGGCCCTCTTTGCTGATGGGGACACTGAGACACTGAGACTCATTGAGATGACAAGACTCGCCGTCTCCTGGCACAGATCTCTTTCCCTCTGCCTCAAAGCCCTTCCATCCACCCACCTCCCTGGGGCACTCTAAGCCACCCTCACAGCCCTCTGATGCCAGTCCTGCTCCCAGGTCATGCCAGCCCCATCTTACCCATCTGGTTTTTGAGTTTGGACAAGCTCCTCTCCAGCTTCTCTACCCGACGCATATCTTGCTGCTTCTCTTTCTTTAATGTGCAAATCTGCCCAAAGCACAAGGGGAAAGGGCCTTGGAGAGAGGGGCTGGAGGCTGGACAGGCTGCCCTCTCCCTCTCTGCCCCCACCTCCACAAAGCCCAGACCCATGACCACCTCTGGCTCTACTATTCCCATTTTACAGATGACCAGAAAGATCCAGTGACCTATCTAATGTGGGGGGGCTGAAGGGTCAGATCTCACCTCCTGCGACATTTTTCTCATCCTCTGCTGCCACCGGGCCCTCTCTCCTTTTAGATGTTCAGAATACTCATCTCTTTCTAATTGGACTTGTTGAAATGACTCCTTGAACTGCAAGAATGGGCACAGAACTTAGGAAGGGCTGTCACTGGTCCTCACCTGCTCCTGGCCACCTGGGGTCATCTTCCTTCCACATAACTCCCTCAGAAAACCTCACCTGTGTCAGCTGCACTTTCAGTAGTGCCTCCTCCCGCATGGACTGCTCTAACTTCCACTCCGTACGTGCTTTGCTGCGGCTGGACAACTGGATGGTGAAGAGTGAGAAGTTTCAATCTGGAGAGCCTGGGCATTTCCACACAGTGCCCCTTAAAAGGGCTAGGGCTAGGCCCAATATACAACTCGGTCAGTAAAGATCAAGGCATTTCCAAGCCCGTGGTCTGGTTTTTAAAAGAACTCAGTAAAGTTGGAACGGACAGGGAATGAGACTGAGTTTATAGCTGGCTAACAGAGGCCCAGAGAGATCAGATAATATTGCTATTGTTATTACTGTTATTATTACCACTGTTTGAACCTTTGTGGAATGCTTCACCAGGTACCGTGCTAACAATCCCATTTAATCCTCGCAACCACCATAGGAGACAGTTACTATGATTCCCTCTATTGTGGAGATGAAAAAACATGGAGTATTTGAGGTTAAGTGCTTGCCTAAGTTCACTTAGGCAGAGCTGGGATATAAACACCCAGGTCTATCCAATTCTCTAAGCCCGTTTTTCTTGCTGGGGATGGGGGCACAGATAGGAAGGGGAAAATTAATCTTTTGTTCACTTTTTGAAAGGATGATACATTTGCATAGTCCAAAACTCAGAAGGTACAGAAGGGAAGTATCTCCCGGCCATCTTGTTGCTCTCTCCTGAATTTTTTATGAACCCTTGCAGACATGTTTTATGTATATTATCACAGTATGCACACACACACACACACACACACACACGCACACACGTTTCCTCTTTCTACAGAAATGGTAACATACTAAAGGTACTCTTCTGTACCTTCACAGTACAAGTACCCAATACCCCACCTAGGACTAGGACTTGCCCAAGACCACAGACAGGTAAGGGCGGGGCAGGCACTTGGCCTCCAAGCTCTGCGTCCAGTGCTCACTCCACACAGTGACCCCCAACTCACCCACAGCAGCTGACTCAGCCCCAGGCTGCCATTAAAAACCATACAAAAAAGTAGCAAGAAATGGCCATGCTGCCTTCTGGGCAGGACACTCCATCCTGCAGAAGGGACCTTTAGGCTCACTCCTCCATCTGCAAAGCCAGGCTCCCAGGGGATGGGGCAGGTGGTTGGACTCACCTGGTTTGCCTTCTTCTTCTGTGTGGCCATGACATTAGAGAGAACACTCTCTAACTCTCCTTTACGCTGCAATGAATGTTGCAGGCGGACAGCCAGATCCTTGGACTTTTCTGTAATGAGAGAGTTGAGATGGGGCCCAAAGGACTCCCCCTGAAGACCTGTCAAAGTGCCAGGTTGAAGGATGACAGGGTGCCCAGATTCCCACCTTCAAAGTATCTGAGAGAACGTTTCATGTGGTACAGGTCCGTATTTAGTTCCTCTTTCTGTATGTTCAATGTCTGGATTTGAACCTTTGGGAGAAAAGCCAAGCAAGTGCTGAAAGAGAAGGAAAGAAACCTTCTCCGGAGGACAGGAGGAAACTGCACACCCTCCACTCACCTCTAGCACCCTTTTGGCTTTCTGTTTCTTGTTGTTTGCTTTCTTTTCCTGTAGGAAGAGGAAGACAGAGCTCTTACCAGGGGGAGGCAGAGATGGCACAGCAAGAGACATGCCCCCAGAATGCCACCAATGCCCCAGGACAGGCCCACCCATGGGACCAGGTTATCAGGGGCCCTGTGGGGATGGGGTGGAATCTGAAGGGTGAGCCTTCATCCCCAGGCTGGGAGTGGGTGAGACGAGACTGGGGCCTGTATGTCTGAGTGCCCCCCAAACCCAGCAGTCATGTTGCGAGGAAACGAAATCACGTTACTTCTTCCAGCTGATGTTCCACTTGTTTCTTCTGTTGTTTCTGTGGGGAGAGTCAAATAAGGTGATGGAGGGTGGCCCCCTCAACTCTATTCCCCAGACCAGGAAGCGGTAGGCAGGGGCCAGGAATGGATTTTAAAGGCAAAGTTCTCAGACATAATGGGAACACGAACCGGTAAACTCTCCTCAAGCTCCCAAGGACAGAGGATTTGGGTCTTTGTTGGCTTTTGCCCACAGCCACAGAACTCAAAGTCTGAATCTGGAATCTCTTGAGAGGACAGCAATATAAACCTCTAGAGATGGAGTTTCAGAAAGGCCCCTCCTTCTGGCAGCTTGTGATTTAGAGAAGTGGGTTCATTCAATAAACATTTACTGAGCATGTATGGGCCAGGTACGGTTCTTTACAGCAGATATAGGATGGAAAAGGACAGACAGGAGCCCTTAGCCCTGAGGTTTCCGTTCTAGGGGGCCTTTAAATCTCAGACTCGAGAGCTAACAGAGACCTTTGATACTCACTACCTCCTCTGGAAACACGAGCCCAAAAAGGAGAGGTGGCTTGTCCAGAATCAAAGAGCAAATTAGGGACTGAGTCATGGCAGAAATACGGGGCCCTTGACAACCAGTCAGGCTAGCACTTCCCCAAGAGGCAACAACCCCAGGGCGTGTGTAGCAAGGACTCGAGCAGGGGTGTCTGGAGAGGAGAGAGTCGGCAAAGAGGGCAGCAAAAGAAGAGCCATGCTGCATGCTCTGGGGTCCCTCCAGGTGAGGCCTGGGCACCCAAGCTCCCTATTTGTCCCAGGCACCAGGGACCCCCAGCCCCTTTCTTCAGGGCCCCAAGGGGAAACTGGAGCCCAGGATTGGCAGCGTGGAATCAGGGGACCCCAGTGGACTCTTACCAGAGATTTGATGGTGTTCTTCAGTTGACTGATTTCTACGGACCTTGAATCCAGGACTACTGCTCGTTCTTGGCACGGGCTCTGAGGTGCATGCAGAGAGGAGGAGGTGGAGCAGGAGTGGGGGGAGAGGTAGAGAGAACAATCATTAGGGCTGGGGTGTGTGGGCTGTCTCAGCTGGCAGAGGGGCACCCAGTCCCACCTGGAGGAGGAGGTTGGAGGGTTGACCCGAAGGGTCACTGCACCTCCGCCCAGAGCCTCTTACCTCCAGATCTTTCAGGGTAGCAGATGATGTAGGGCCTTCCCTGTGGAAACCTGTTGCTGACTACAAGAGATGAGAGTGCACATGGAGATGTTCTGTCCCCCACAGTGTCTGAGCCCTCTGACTTCCTTTCTTCCCCATCAACTGGCAACATTTTCTTTTCTGCCTATCTTGGACCTTTTGTCCCATAACTCCTTTGTGCCAACTTCTCTCATGGTTCTTATCTCCCCACCATCCCATCCTGGGGCCCCTTCAGTGACTCCTGATGGCAAGTGGCTGTTCTCATTGTCCTGGTTTCCCCCTGAGACTGGGGATGAGGAAAATCAAACCATATCCTGGGTGTCCTGAGTGTTTACAGCAGGCCATGTACTAGGGATTAACATAAAAACAACAATAACAAATCTCATTTAAACTTCACAAATGGAAGTGAAACAATAACACCTCTATTATACAGATGTGAAAAGAGAGGCCCGATGAGGTCTAGCAACTTGCCCTAAATCATATCCCTAGCAGAGCAGATGGAGAGGCAGGATTCAAACCCAGAATTCCTTTTTTTTTTTTTCTTTGAGACAGAGTCTTGCTCTGTCACCAGGCTGGAGTGCAGTGGCATAATCTTGGCTACTGCAAGCTCCACCTCCCAGGTTCACACCATTCTCTTGCCTCAGCCTTCTGAGTAGCTGGGACTACAGGCACACACCACCACGCTTGGCTAATGTTTTGTATTTTTAGTAGAGACAGGGTTTCACCGTGTTAACCAGGATGGTCTCGATCTCCTGACCTCATGATCCGCCTGCCTTGGCCTCCCAAAGTGCTAGGATTACAGGCGTGGGCCACCACACCCGGCTAAAGCCAGAATTCTTAACCAGTACCCAGCAGTCCATCCACAATCTTAACAATTACCCTCTACTGCCCCTTGGGCCCCCTGTCCCCAGAAGCCTGGTCAGCCAAGACTCACATCCCTAGGTGGCTGGCAACCACCAGAAGTGGCTTTCTCAGGGATACTGCCATTTGTTTTCCTGTTCCTGTTCGCTCCTGCTGGAACTCTAGGGCTGTTTTTCTGCCAATATTCTTTTAACTGTTGGAAAGAAGAGCAGTAATACTCATGAGAACCGTCAGCCCCTACAGCCACATCCTCCTTTACAGTTTTTACAAAATACACTTACACACCATCTGATTTAATGACACCAACAACTGTACAAGGTGTTGTCACACTCATTTAGTGACTGAGAAGGATTGATATCATGGCTAGAAAAAAAAAAAGAAAAAGGCAATACTGGAACTTTGAAACTCAGTCTTCTGACTCCAAGCTCTGAGGTTTTGCCAAGAATCAGCAGCTGCCAGGGACCAAAACCAGAGGCAGAGGTAGAAAAGTAAACATTAAGTAGGCAGGAACTGTATGCCATGTGGTTTAGAGTCATACATCCTCACACGTCTGTTAGTGTGAAGAAGTGCACCAGTACCTCTCAAACTCTTATATCAATGTGTCCTCATGGCAGAAGGCAGCCTTTCTCTTAAATCAGAATTTATCAGAAAGAGGACAACCCAAGCCTCATTTCAGAGAGAGGTCTGGTATACTCTTAGAAACCTATGTGACTGTCATCCCTAAGTACATTCATGTTTTTTCTCTTGATCTCAAGAGAATCAAGGGAAACTGATGCTTCAGAAAGATGTCCCACATTTATCCTGTGGCACTCAAAGTACCCAAGGTTGAGATAATATGAGGAAGATTCAAGGTGTCAAGTTCAGTTTCCCAAGATCTATTCCACAGAAGATGAGCAAATGTCACTTCAGAGACCACTGACTGAAGGAGAGTCTGGTCCCAGAACCATGGAGAATTAGAATATGAGGTGGAGAACTCAGAAAAAAATGTTAAAATCTCTCTGGAAAGTAGAAGCCTGGGAGAAAACCAAACCAAACGCATTCTCTCATTGCCACCCAGAGATACTGTCAACGTTTTGAGTTCATGGGGGAAGTGTAGGCTTTTCCCACCGTCAACATCTGTAAGGGAGTGAGGCAGCCTGGAACCTCTTGCTCCTAGGTCCCATAGTCTCCATTCCCCTTCCAGCTGGAAATTTGTGCTGTGACCAGAGGAACCAGAAACGGGGTGAGAACGCTTAGGGGACTGGGTCGTAAGATCAAAGGCCAGTCTTGCAGTAACAGCAGTTACTAGGTGGACTGTGACATCACAACATTCCACTCCTCCTGGTCGGGGGGAGGGACCATGTCAGCACCATGTCCAAGTCGCTGCTCCACGATGGGGGAGGGAAGCACAGGGTTGGGACCCAGCTCCTTGGAGACGCCAGCACAAAGAACCCAGGGAGGTCGACCTTGAGGCAGCAGGAGGGGAGGGCACAGTCTGCAGCAGGGAGTCCCAGGAGTCACCAGTCCAAAGTCACCCAGGGATGACTGGCGAGGGTGGGGCCTGGCTCCTTGGAGATGAGAGCCCAAAGAGCCCAGGGAGATCAAGCTTGGGGCGGCAGGAGATGAGGGCCCAGTAATGGAGCGGGAAGCCCCAGGACTCACCCACCCAAAGTCACCCTGGGGTGATTGGCGAGGGCAAGGACTGGGCTGCTTGCTGAAGGGGTGGGGCTGACTGACAAAACTTTGGTGGGGGTAGCCCAGAGGCACCGGGGTAGGGGGGACCAGTCCAGTGTGCCTCAGGAGTCGTATAGACTCTGGCAGGGGTCTTGTCATCAGAGGGGATCTGTGGCTGGGTTGAGGGGCTATGACCTAGTGCGTTTTTACCTTTTTCTTGGCTGCAGCCAATTTGTTGTGTTGAGTTTCTTCTGCCATCGCAGGGTGGGGAGGGAGGCAGGGTTGGGGTCACAGCAGCAAAATCTCAATGAGAACCGATCAAGGCCTCCAGTCACCTACCAGGCAGCTGTGTGACTGAGCCAGAGGAGGCGTAACCAGGGCCCCAGTAGAATGCGGAATAGGGGCGTGGCCTTAATGCTCCAAGCCCATTGGTCAATGAGAAAGATGAAAAGGAAAGGGGGCGTGGCCAGAAAGCAGTGTGTCCAGAGGGACCTGTGGCTCACAAGGAAAGCTGCCCATGGCAACTGCTCTCCCCACCCACTCTAAGAGAGGGGAGAGGCCTCCCACTCTGGAAGAGAAGAGGGGCCGGCTTTTGCTTTAAAAGCTTTAAAACTTTAAAAAATATATGTGTGTATACTTTATATATATGTGTGTCCGTGTGTGTGTATCTATGTTTTTCTCCATAGCTGTCTTCATTATCCAGCTTCTATGCAAGGTCCATGATTTTGGCCTATATTTTTCATCTTTGATTACAGTACAAAAATTACCAGTATTACCTTAACTGAGATACAGATCCTATAAAAATGGAAAATGCATAGCATGCTTGATGATTAATGAAGCAGACTATATTATCCAACATTCTAATAAGATAAAATAATCACAATGATTTCTCTTTTTTGGAAAAATGTTTCTCTTATTCTCCTACGTTTTCGTTAAGATTTTTTTTCTTAAACAAGAAACATGTCTAATATCTGTAAAAACACAAAGCTTTTTGGGCAGGGTGCAGTGGCTCATGCCTGTAATTCCAGGACTTTGAGAGCCCAAGGTGGGTGGATCATGAGGTCAGGAAATCGAGACCATCCTGGCTAACACGGTGAAACCCCATCTCTACTAAAAATACAAAAAAGGCCGGACATGGTGGCAGGCACCTGTAGTCTCAGCTACTTGGGAGGCTGAGGCAGGAGAATGACATGAACCTCTGAGGTGGAGCTTGCAGTGAGCCAAGATCATGCCGCTGCTCTCCAGCCTGGCTACAGAGCAAGACTCCATCTAATAATTAAATAAATAAATTAATTAATTAATAAAAATAAAAAATTAATAGTAAGAGCAATGTGAACAAAAGATGCAATAAAATAATTTAGAAAATACAAGCTATTAAAAAAAAGATTTTAAAACTTGTGCAACAAAGTCAAACAGCACCCAACGAAAATGTATACCCTTACATGTTTGTTTAAAAAGCAATTTAAATTACATTGATCCACTAAACTAGGAAAAGCAAAGCAAACAAAAAGGGGGAAATAATTAAGACCTAAGGAAAAAGGAAAAAGAAAAACCACTAGATTTAAAAAATAAAACTAAAGGAGGATTCTTTCAAAAGACTGAGATAATAAAACAGTCAAGCCTCTGATAAGTAATCAAGATAAAGAAAACTTTGAAGAGAAAAGGGCATATAGCCACATGTGAATATGATGCAAAAAGTGAAAACTTTACACATCTTTACAACACCTTAGAAGTATGGATGACATGTTCATTTTTTTTTTTTTTTTTTTTTGTTTGAGATGGAGTCTCGCTCTGTCACCCACGCTGGAGTGCAGTGGCGCGATCTTGGCTCACTGCAAGCTCCGCCTCCCGGGTTCACAACATTCTCCTGCCTCAACCTCCTGAGTAGCTGGGACTACAGGCGCCCGCCACCACGCCTGGCTAATTTTTTGTATTTTGGCTTAGTAGAGACAGGGTTTCACCATGTTAGCCAGGATGGTCTTTATCTCCTGATCTCGTGATCCACCTGCCTCGGCCTCCCAAAGTGCTGGGATTACAGGCATGAGCCATTGCACCCGGCCAAAGTTTTCATTTTTTTTTTTAAGATTCTACAGTCACAAAAACTAACTGAAGAAGTGGAAAATCTGGAGACCAATACGCAGAAGAAGGAAAAAGACAAAGACTCATCCTCCAAATTGGATATTTATTTAAACCAGAATTTGTCAGCCTCAGCAATACTGATATATTTGGCCAGATAATTCTTTGTGGAGGGTTCTCCTGGTGTGTTGTCGGACATTTAGTAACATTCCCTCTACCCACAGAATGCCAATAAGACCTCCCGACCTTGACCAGTTGTAACCACAAAAATGTCTCCAGATATTTCGAAACGTCCCATAGGAGGCAAAATACTCCTGCAGTTGAAAATTACTGTGTAAACCAGATCTACATCCTAGATCTTAGAAAAAAGATGTAAAGCTTCCCAACTCAGCCCTGCATACCCTTGATACTGAAATGAAATAACAGCCTTATTGGAAACAAACAAAACTATAATCTTATTTAATACAGAAGTAAAAATGCAAAAATAAAATATTACCACAGCCATTCTAACAGTGTTTATTATAGGAATGCAAAGATGATTCAAAATTAGGAAAAATTCATTAGGCAATTCACAAATTATATTTCTACATATAATTGAAGGCAAAATCATGAAAAGCAAAGTAGCTCTATATGCATTAAGTCCATGATCTATTCAGTGAAAAACACAAGTTGCAGATGTCTTACAGAAGGAAAACTTAACACTGAACACATATTCTTACCATCTGCTCTTTGTCCTGAGGCTCCAATAGAAATACAGTGAAGAATAAACATTGTATAAGCACACAATTACAAAAAAGGAATGGGGTTACCAACAGAAGAGAATTCATCTTCATTAGACAATGACAGTACATGGAAAATGGTTAATTCATGGAGCAAAGCAAACAAAGGTGGAGGTCAGGGGGATACTGAGAACAAGGAGGCTAATCTGTCCCACAGCAACCTGGAAAGGTTCTAGACCCAGACACGAGGTACCCCCGACAGTGGGACTGATAGGCAAGACTGAAAACAGAGATTAAGCAAAAGCCCGGATAGAGAACACATTTCACAGGCCCTGAAACACACTGCTGGCCCCATCTCCTTAAACAGAACCCAAGCAAACGTATCCACCTCAGGCAAGACAATGTAGATTTTACATCCAGAGGAATGGAGTAGTCATCCAGCCATCATTTATGATTGCACCAGGAGATAAGATAGAGGGATGGAGGATAACAATTAGGAATCAGCATACATTCCCCCTAAAAGCTATCAGTTGACAAGTCTTGGCCACAAAGAACTCCCAATCAATTTTGATTTATTTTTATTTTTATTTATTTATTTTTTTTGAGACAGGGTCTTGCTCTTTCGCCCAGGCTGGAATGCAGGAATGCAGTGGCATGATCAGAGCTCACTGCAGCCTCAACCTCCTGGGCTCAAGCAATCCTCCTGCCTCAGCCTCCCAAGTAGCTGGGACTGCAGATGGGTGTCACCACACCTAGCTATTTTTTTTTTTTTTGTAAAGATGGGGTCTCACTATGTTGCCCAAACTAGTCTTGAGCTCCTGGGCTCAAGTGATCCTCCCACTTCGGTCTCCCAAAGCACTGAGATTATAGGTGTGAGCCACCACACCCCGGCTCCCAGTCTTTTAGTACCTCTCTCAAATATGAATGAGCAAATAAAGGAATGAGAAAAAGACTACAGGTCAGGCGCGGTGGCTCATGTCTGTAATCCCAGCACTTTGGGAGGCCAAGGTGGGTGGATCACCTGAGGTTGAGAGTTCCAGACCAGACTGACCAACATGGAGAAATCCCATCTCTACTAAAAATACACAAATTAGCTGGGCGTGGTAGCACATGACTGTAATCCCAGCTACTTGGGAGGCTGAGGCAGGAGAACTGCTTGAACCTGGGAGGCAGAGGTTGTGATGAGCCGAGATCACATCATTGTACTCCAGCCTAGGCAACAAGAGCGAAACTGGGTCTCAAAAAAAAAAAAAAAAGACTACAAATGATAAGCAACATAGAATAGATATTTAAGGAAAGGCTTTAAAAAGAAAAATAAGACCAAAATAAACTAAGAAAAAAAATTATTAAAGAACAAAGAGATGCCAGGGAGAAGACAAAGAGTATCAAAATCACTTCATAAAGACACTTGTGAATATATTACATGTATAAAACAAAACAATATGAATAAGAAATAATCAGAGAAGAAAAAGTTCTTAGAACTCATGCTCCATCTTGGGAGTTGGTCTCCAATGAGCCATACCTCCTGTCATCATGTCCTTAGACAGGCCCATCCCATAGTCAATCTGGGTTGGCCCCAACACTCACTTTAACCTATAGCATGTGGTAGAAATGACACTGGACCTGTTCCAGGTCTAAGCCTTAAGAACCCCTGGCAGCTCCATTTCTGTGCTTCTGGAAGCCAAAAATAAGAATTGGCTACCCTCTTGGAGAAAGAAAAGCCACATGAAGAGATTCGAGAGGATGAGATGCTATGCAGAGAGAAAGGCCACATGAAGAAACACCAAAGCAGCAGACCTGTGGGTGAAGAAGCCGTCTCAGACATTCCACTGCAGCTGAGCATCCAGATGACCAGTCCCTAACACTGTCTGACCGCACAGTGAGAGCTGCCAAATAAGACCAGCAAGAAAACTGTCCAGCTAGCCCCAGTTAATCCATACAGTAGTGACAGATAGACATATGTGTAGTTTTACGCCATTAAGTTTTGGGATAATTGGTTAAGCAACAATAAATAACCAAAACAAAACTTAAAGTTATGATAGTCCAAATAAAATTTCCTGAAAGTCGAAAGATAAGAAAAATATTCCAGAACTTAAAATTTAAAAAAAATTTAGAAATAATGTGAGATACCAGACTCAAGACAAGAGGTCTAAAATCCAATTAACAGACACTTCAAAATGAACAAATAAAATGGAAAAGAGAAAGTTAACAACAAAAATATGACAAGATTCAAGACTCCAACTTTGAAAGAGCCTATCCATAGGCCTGTCCATTTGGTGTACCCAGCACAATGAATGAAAAAAGACCCACACTAAGTACACTGTTGTGCTATTTCAGCTCAACAAGGAAAAGACAAACTCCTAAAAGCTTCCAGGGAGAAAGTCATGCATAAATAAGTGAAACTCAGGATGGCATGAGGCTTCACCACCACGACTGGTTAGAAGACAACAGCACAGACTTTGAAATTTTAAGGTAAAATTATCCTCAACCTAGAAATATATAATCAACCAAACTATCAATCAAGTGTGAGGGTAGAATATGAGAGACGTGAATACTGATGGGGATGTGATATGCAGCAGGCACTGTTCTAAATGGTTTACATGTACCAGTTCAATAAATCCTCATAGCTCCCTAAAAACATAGGTACTACTACTATTACTGGTTCCCCCATTTTGCAAATGGAAAATTCATGCATAGGGCAATTAGGGAATCAGCCCAAGGACATACAGCTAATAAGTAGGAGAACCAAGATTCAAACCTATCTCGGACTGGCTCCAAAACTCAAACACTGGGTCATATTTTTTTGGAAGCTAGAGCTCAGAAAAGATACCACTGCATGCTTTCTTAGAGTTTTATTTGAGGATGTTGTCAGGGAAAATGAGAAAGGTTAAGCCAAGAAAGATGACATGGGATCCAGGAAACAATGGATCTACTCTAGGAGAGGAGATGTGAAAAACCTCAAGATGGCATCTGCACAGCCAACCGAAAGAACAACCTGCCAAGATGGGCTCAGAGGAGCCAAAGGCTTCAAAAGAGAAGGAGATCTCACAGAAAGGGCTACAACAGCATTTTTTTAAATTAAAAATTACTACTATGAGGAAGACCTGCAAAACAAAAAGCAGCGCCAAGAAAAGAAATATCCTATCCTAAATATTCTAGAAAACTTGGCTTTATTCTACAAAGTCCTAATGATAATTAGAGATTACTTATATGACTAAAGATAATATTTGAGGAAGGGGAAGTGGGTGGTATAAGAGCTAAATTCTCATGTATTTTAGTAAAAAGTAAATAACTGATGCCTAAATAGGTAAATCCAGGAAGAAGTTAGAGGTGGTGGTGAGCTAGTGGAGATTTCTGTTGCTTGCAGGAGATAACATTTGGGCGAGTCCTTAAGAAGCATAGACAGATGTAAGGAGATGGCATTTCTAGGTAAAGGTAATTGAATAAGCAAAGACAAAAAAAGAAAGAAGCAAAAACATTTATGGACACCAGGAATATTAACAACAAAAATGTGGTGGTATGGAGAAGGGCAATTGTTTGCCTGTCATAGTAAATATCAGCAGCTCCAAAGAATGAAAGATTATTTTTAGTACCTAAGACAGAACAAAACAATTCAACAGGAACAAAAAAACCTAATTTCTAAATAAGTTGAATAACAAAAAAAAATCATCCTAGTTTGACTTTTGCTTGAGACAATTTATTTTATCTCTTGAACACTACAGAATTTACTTTACCTGTAAATAATACATTATTATTATTATTATTATTATTATTATTATTATTATTATTATTATTGAGACAGAGTTTCACTCTTGTCACCCAGGCTGGAGTGCAATGGTGTGATCTTAGCTTGCTGCAGCCTCCACCTCCCAGCTTCAAGTGATTCTCCTGCCTCAGCCTCCCGAGTAGCTGGGATTACAGGCGCCCACCACCACGCCTGGCTAATTTTTGTATATTTAGTGGAGACAGGGTTTCACCATGTTGGTCAGGTTGGTCTCAAACTCCCGACCTCAGGTGATCCACCTGCCTGAGCCTCCTAAAGTGCTGGGATTACAGGCGTAAGTCACCGCTCCCAGCCTAATTATTTTTATTTGTCTACTTGACTTTTTTTTCTATCCTTACCTGCACCTCTTTCCTGGAGTAGGAAAATACAGGAATTCATGAGTCCATCCCAATATGGACTCCAAGATGCTCCAGGCTGTCTCTCTTACTCATCACGAGTCTATATTACACACCCAGCACAAAGTGGACAGCCAAACAAAGAAAATCTTGGAGTAAAAATGGCCTGCAACAAAACTATGGAAACAGTGAAAAGATCAGTCATTGCCAGGGGTTGAAGGGAGGGACGAATGAATAGGCAGAGCATAGAGGATTTGGGGGCAGTGAAACTACTCTCTATGATACAATAATTATAGACACATGTTATTATACTTTCAACCAAATCCGTAAAATATCCAACACACCAAGAGCGAACCCTAATGTTAACCATGGACTTTGGGCAATAATGGTGCATCAATATAGGTTCATTGATTGTAACAAATGGACCACTCTGGTGCCCATGTTGGTAGTGGGGAAGGCTGTGAATGTGTAGGGGCAGGAGCTATATGGGAACTGTCTGTACTTTCTGCTCAACTTTGCTGTGAACCTAAAACTGCTCTAAAAATGATCTATTTAAAAGAGAGAGGAGGCCAGGCGCGGTGGCTCACACCTGTAATCCCAGTACTTTGGGAGGTCGAGGCGGGAGGATCACGAGGTCAGGAGTTCAAGACCAGTCCGACCATCATGGTGAAACCCCGTCTCTACTAAAAATACAAAAATTAGCCAGGTGTGGTGGCGCACACCTGTAATGCCAGCTACTCAGGAGGCTGAGGCAGGAGAATCGCTTGAACCCAAGAGGCAAAGGCTGCAGTGAGCAGTAAGCCAAGATCGTGTCATTGCACTCCAGCCTGGGCTACAGAGGAAGACTTAGTCTCAAAAAAAAAAAAAAAAAGAGAGCGAGAGAGAAAGGAAATGGCCTAAGAAACTACAAAATACCACAAGATGGCACTCTTTCTCTCGGAAGCTTCAATGAGGGCTGCATTTCCAGAAATTGCTACTGCTGAAGAGTGTAGCAGGGATTGTGACTGCCCCCGGCCCCGTTATTCATGAAGCTAAAAGAGCTTCACAATGTTGTCCCAGCCCAACCCCAGGTTTATACTTTCCATGGCTGTTATTAAAGATAGGTATTATTATGATTCAGGTGTGATGAGGCCAACAGATCAGGAGATGACTGCTGCTGGAAAGAGAGTTTTTTACTGTTCCCAAGAGGAAGGGGCACCAGGTAGGTCAGGAGACAGAGCAGGAGGAAAACGAGGGCAAGAGCCTTTCTTGTGGTTTCCACGGGAAGGGACAGGTGAGGCAGGGTAAGCAGACTTAGCACTGACTGGTTTGAATAATTTCTGGGGCATGATTGACTGGGGCATACGGCTGTCCGTAGTATTCTGGTAGCTGGCCCTGGGGTGACTAGGGCAGGTGGATCCTGGCCCAGAGTATAGGAGTCTGAGAAAGGAGGGGGCTGGGGTATGAGCACTGGATTGCTTGATTTTTTTTTTTTTTTTTTTTTTTTTTTTTTTTTTGAGATGGAGTCCCGCTCTGTCGCCCAGGCTGGAGTGCAGTGGCGCGACCTTGGCTCACTGCAAGCTCCGCCTCCCAGGTTCAAGAGATTCTCCTGTCTCAGCTTCCCCAGTAGCTGGGATTACAGGCATGTACCACCATGTCCAGCTAATTTTTTGTATTTTTAGCAGAGACAGGGTTTTACCATGTTGGCCAGGCTGGTCTGTAATGGATTGGTTGATTTGTGTATGAAAGGCAGGCTTTCAGGCAAGTTCTTTGCTATCTCTAGGAACTGGCTAACCCTGGAAGACGCAGTCTCTCCAGGGTCACCAAGGCTCCAAAATGACAAAGCATCTGAACCACATGGTTAGTAAAATGGAGTATAGTGACACAAAGTTATACTCTCCAGTTCACAAACGAGCTCAGAAGCAATTCCAGGAAAATTATTTTCTTATGGTTACTATTGTCAGGCCACTCAAAGGAGTTTTGATTTCCTGAAAAGGAAATCTTCCACACAGATGCTATAGAAAAAGATCTAATTGCTTCTATAAACTGGCAAGAATATTTCCATAACTACAGAACTTTTTGCCAATTTCCCAACTGGAAAAAAGTAAGATGAATTTGAGCTCCTTTAAGTCACTCCTCTTTACCCGCATGGTCTTAAGGTGACTTTTAGAGAGAGGACACAGGCAATGTGAGTGGGAGAAGGGCCCAGGTGCCACACCTTACTTGTACTGGCAGATGGGGAGGAACAGCACAGACCGCACATCTGAGAGAAGAACTGGTTACCCGCAGACAGGGCCAGGAGTGTCCTGAGGTTACTCCAGGGCCTGAGAGCTTCCAGGCAGGTGTAAACATGAAGGCTGGCTTGGAGCAATCATATTATATCTGCACAATCCGAAGTGAGGCATTGTCTGTGGCAGCAGCCTCCCTGAGCCAGCAATAATCCCTTTTTCTAATCTGGTTTAATTAAATGGACACCAGGCATGGATCAGAAGAGAGGGGTCATTTATGGGATTGCATTATTTAACCAGGTGATCACTTAGAAGGTTTTGAGTTTCTAAAACAAAAAAAGAGACTGTGCTACTAAGAACTGGCATGCAGTAGACAGTTTAATAAAACTGAAATGCCGGCCGGGCAAGATGGCTCACGCCTGTAATCCCAGCACTTTGGGAGGTCAAGGTGGGTGGATCACCTGAGGTCAGGAGTTCGAGACCAGCCTGGCCAACATAGTGAAACCCCGTCTCTACTAATAATACAAAAATTAGCTGGCTGTGGCGGCATGCACCTGTAATCCCAGCTACTCGGGAGGCTGAGGCAGGAGAATCACTTGAACCCGGGAGGCGGAGTTTGCAGTGAGCCGAGATTGTCCCACTGCACTCCAGCCTGGGCAAAGAGCGAAACTCGGTCTCAAAAAACAAACAAACAACACACACACACACACACAAACCAACTTTTCTTTACTGTGTATAGCTTTACTGCAATTCCCTGCCTAACCCCGAACTACGTGGTGGGAAGTGTAGGGATAGGAGAGCAGCGCAGTTCCTGATAGGGCTTCCTGCCTTATGATGAGACCATTGAATACAGACTGTGAGCCTGTTATATTCAAAGTGTTGAAAGTCATCATTTGAGGGTGTGGGGAGCTGGGGAAATGATTATTTGGAGATAAAGGAGGGATTTACATTGATCAGGGGTTAGCCAGACTGCATCTCTTTTCGTCTTTTGAAGTTTACTGCGGCAAGGGGTTGATTAGTGCAGCACAATTGTCTTGGGACAGGACGGTCAGCATTGGGCAGCTCCTGGCTTTAATCTGAAGCCTCCCTTCCTCCCGCAGATCTGTAATAATTCCAGGTGGCAGTATGGTTTTGGTTGTAGGTGTCGGTGCGGTGTGGACATTGCCCACGGAGGGCACAGAGCAGCAAGACCCAGGAGGGAGATATTTCCCGAGTTCTCCACACACCAGGATGTTTGAGAGAAGAGCCAAGTCTTGGTTTTATGACAGTGAGACAAGAACACAGAGAGAAAAGGAGAAGAGGAACAAGTGGCTCTCGGATACTGATGAGTTATAAAGAGAAGATCCTGAAGGAATTCACTGTGAGTCAGGCGCTCCCGCACTTGGCGTCTGATGGCTGTTCTCCTTAAAGGAGTACCGAGAGATCCTCCCTCAGGATTGCTATCCCAAGAGAGTGGAGGCTTTTCTCCTGTAGCTCCTTTTCAAAGGTGCAAGTGCCTTCTGTGCTTTCTGCTCTCATCTGGAGGAATTCTGCCCTTACCTACTCACCTGTTTTTTTCTTTATTACAAAGGTAAGGACATAGTTTGCTCTAAAAAGTAGTAAGCTTAATTATGATCTAACCAAAATATCAGGTACCCAGCCACAGTATGTAATCATGAGTTTCAACCCTGCATTGATTTTTACTTTAATAAAAATACCCAATGCTTCTCTCTAAAATCTCGTGATATAGAAGTAAGCATCTGTGATGCCCAATAAAACCGTGCACAGCTCCTGACACAACCTGAGGGATGATTTCTAATCATCTTATAGAAATATTTATATCTTTCTTGTTTTAATGAGGATTTTTAAGTGCAAGACATAAAATATTAATAGGTTAAGGAAGCTGGACTTAGCTTTCATTCTGCACGTAGAGGCACAAAAATGATCATGGTTCTTCAAAATGCTAGAGTTGACGTATGATCTACCAACTCCATTCTTGGTTCCTAAACTCAAGATAAATGAAAATGTGTCCATGAAAAACTGGTCTAAGAAGGTTCATAGCAGCATTATTCATAATAGCCAAAAAGTAGAAACAACCCAATTGCCCATCAACCAGATGGATAAACAAAATATGGTCTCTCTGCACAACAGAATATTATTTTGTAAAAAGAAATGAATTACTGATGCATGCTACAACACAGATGAACCTTTAAAACTTTATGCTAAGAGAAAGAAGCCCATCACAAAACGTACATCTGTAGGTTTCCGTTCCTATGAAATGTCCATAATAGGAAAATCCACAGAGACAAAGTAGATTAGTGGTTGCCAGGAGCAGAAGTAGTGGGGGAATGGGAAGTGACTGCTGACAGATACAGTATTTCTTTTTGAGATAATGAAAATGTTCTGAGATTAGATTATGATGTTTGCACACAACTGTGAATATGCCAAAAACTACTGAACTAATATAAATATTTATATATAGTTATATATATTTAATATATTAAATATATGTTAATATTAAATATAAATGTTATATAATGTTATATAAATATAAATATGTTATATAATATGATATAAATATATATAATATAATATATTACATTATTATTATATAATAATATTATAATATAATATAATATAATATATAATAAAAATAAAAAATAAAAAAATAAAATAAAATAAAATAAAAATATAAAAATAAATTTAAAAAATAAAATAAAATAAAATAAAAATAAAAAATAAAAATAAAAAAATAAAAAATAAAAAATAAATAATAAAAATAATATAATATAATATTATATATAAATATATAATATAATTATTATATTATTATTATATATCATTATATAATATATTATTATAATAATTAGTATTATATTAATATATGATATATCATATATTATATAATATATGATATATCATATATTATATAATATATGATAATATAATATCATATATTAATATAATATATTGTATTAATATATTATAATATGTAATCATATATAATGATATATTAATATAATATATAGTATATATTTTATATTAATATATTATATATTATATATATTATAATAAATATATAATATATAATAAATATGTTATATAATATGCTATATAAATATAAATATGTTAATATTTAATATAGTAAATATTTTAAAATATATTAAATATGTTACATATATTTAAAAGGGTGATTTCTGTGGTATGCACATTACATCTCAATAAAGTTGTCATTTAAAAAAATTGGCATGGGGCAGGGTGAGGTGGCTGACGCCTGTAATCCCAGCACTTTGGGAGGCCGAGGCGGGTGGATCATTTGAGGTGAAACCCTGTCACTGCTAAAAATACAAAAAAATTATCTGGGTGTAGTGGCACATGCCTATAGCCCCAGCTACCTGGGAGGCTGAGGCAGTAGAATGGCTTGAGCCTGGGAGGCGGAGGTTGCAGTGAGCCAAGATGGTGCCACTGCACTCCAGCCTGGGCAACAGAGTGAGACTCCATCTCAAAAAAAAAAAAAAACTGGCATGGAAGTCTTCCCAACTGTTTCTCTTCTCCCAGCCTTCCAAAGAGAGACCTATAATTGCCTATTCTAATTTCCCAACCTCCTTCCTTCTCAAGAGAAAAGATTCTTTCTTGCTAGGAGAGGGTTTGGGTTGACCAATGTCATAAAGAAATGAAGAGTGGGGGAGGGAAAGAAGAGTGTGAGAAAGAAAAGGTGAACAGGGCTGGTCAGAAGAGAAGGGTTTGGGGAAGGTAACTGCAGCGGATGTTCTGGGAAAGTTGCAGGAGTAACGGGGACAGATGCAAGAACAGGGAATTCCTATTTTGTGATACGATGGCCTGTGTGCATGTGGACCTATTCAGGTTTTAGAGAATTGCAAGAAAAGGATTTGAACTATTTTGAAGCAGCATTTGGTTGCTGGTCTTCATTTGCCTACATTTCTCCAAGACAGAACCATAAGGGCCCAGGCTTATATTTTAAGCTTTTGTAATAAAGTTAAGCTTTTATATTTTACAATATATTGACATCATATATTTTAAGATTTGTCTCTGGAAAAATTGCCCTTGGCTTTTAGGATAGTTGTGGCAAATTGTGGGTTAATTACAAGCCCTTCCATTCCACAGCCCCCATAACATTGAATAAAATAATCAATCCCCTGAAAAAGTCAAGTTGGTGAAAATGAATACTTATGAATGGCTTCTTATGTTACTTTAGGCTGTCATGTAATACAATTTTTTTCTGAGAAGTATTTATTCATCTATGTAGCTGAATGAAAGCTACATGTTTTTGCAACTTCCATGAGAATCTAAAACTACTTAAAAGTTGTATTTTAAAAAAAGATATAGCAATTATATTACCAGAGTTTAACTGGAGAGATTGTTTTTGAGATTTTTTTTTTTTTTTTTGAAAAATAAAATTCTCAGCTGGGCGTGGTGGCTCACGCCTGTAATCCCAACACTCTGGGAGGCTGAGGCGGGCAGATCACCTGAGGTCAGGAGTTCGAGACCAGCCTGGCCAACATGGTGAAACCCCATCTCTACTAAAAATACAAAAATTAGCCAGGCATGGTGGCAGGTGCCTGTAATCCCAGCTAGTCGAGAGGCTGAGGCAGGAGAATCACTTGAACCCAGGAGGTGGAGGTTGCAGTGAGCCGAGATCATGCCATTGCACTCCAGCCTGAGTGATAAGAGCGAAGCTGTGTCTCAAAAATAATAATAATAATGTATTATTATTATAATACCTTATAATACCTGTGTCTCAAAAAAAAAGAAAAGAAAAGAAAGAAAGGAAGGAAGGAAGAAAAGAAAGAGAGAAAAAAGAAAATCTGAAAATGTTCAAGTTCTTTTGCTACCTGAATGTCATACCAGTGGTCAGAATGTAGACTTTCAGACTAATGTTTGTAAGTGATGCCCTGGGTAATAATCAATCCCAGGCTATAAAGCAAGTACTTTGCAAAGTCTCAAGTCCCTCTCAGCACTGGGTGATCCATCTGTGTTCAATGGGGCTCACCCTTTGTGGGTGCCCCCAAAGAGGGTGATTTATGATCGGTTATAACGACATCCAACTTCAGAAGGAAATCCATTTCCTCTCACTGTATGGGGTAGACTCAGCTCATATAAATTCTGAGGAAGCCTTATAGTTCTTGTGATACAAAAACAATCAGCTGCCGTGATTAGAAACACAGACTATTAAATAACTGCATCCTAGGGTAGCACAGCAAGAAAGCTCCAAGTGAGCAGTGTGGCTGCAGAGTGCTCCGTAGAAGGCAGGATTATCAATTCAGCACAAAGCTGAAGGCAAGAACCTGCGGTATTTCGCTATCATGGCTAGTGATATTCATGGGGCCTGGAAGTCCTATACTGTCTCTTCATGTTTTATATCCACATTTTAATGTTGTTTGTGGACAATACTGGTTGTTGCAACAGGTCACTTGTACCATAAAAAGAATGACTGGCACCTCTAATTACAGGGGAAGAGCCACCTCCCAGGGACTGGGGAGTAGGGGCAAGAGGCTCATCCCTACAGCATTTCCCACCTCTTAAAGTGGCCACCACATTTCTTTTGTTCCTGACCTTCTCCCATTGGGAAGATGAGCAAGAGCTAGAGCTAGAAGGGCAATTGAAGTGTGAACATACCAGGAAAGCTCAGGGAAAGTGGTTCCCGAAACCATCTTTCCCATAGCTTGTCTCTTGGGATGGGCTTTTCCACAGTGACGTGATTCAGTGTGATTGCATGCTTATGTGTTTACAACCAGCAGGCACAGGGCTGCCACTGACTACACGATGATGGGAGGATGGACGCCGCCTTCAGGAGCTGGAGGAGCAGAAGACGTGAACAAAGGTGGAGGGTGGTTTGGGCAGGGGTGGGTGAAGAGGTGCGTGGGGCGGGCTTTGAGAGTTAAAGGGGACCCACAGAAGGTTTCAATCCATGTGCTATCAGCTCTTTGCTGGGGACCATTGCCTCTTGGGCCTGATGGGAAGCAGGGTGGAAAGGCCTATGAGGGAACCAAGTGGCAGAAGCGTTCAACCAGGTGTGCTGTGAAGGTGCTGTCCAGGCAGAGGCAGAAATCATGGTCAGATCCCGAGGAAGAGCAAGACGAGTTCAACTGGTGAGTCTTAGAAGTCAGCCAGAACCCCCTCTGATTCTGGTTCCCAAGCTCAAGAGGGACCAAGCCCAAACCCAAGCCCAAGATGGGGAAGTCGTGCGCATCATCGGTCAGAGGCTCAGGAAGAAGCCATATTTGAAAGTGATTCTGGTGCCTCCTTTTCCTTCCTCCCCTGATTCCATGAAGCCCTTTTTTAAATATTGCAAAGAATGTGGGTATTTCCACCAGCAGTGTAAAAGTGTTCCTATTTCTCCACATCCTCTCCAGCACCTGTTGTTTTCTGACTTTTTAATGATTGCCATTCTAACTGGTATGAGATGGTATCTGATTGTGGTTTTGATTTGCATTTCTCTGATGGCCAGTGATGGTGAGCATTTTTTCATGTGTTTTTTGGCTGCATAAATGTCTTCTTTTGAGAAGTGTCTGTTCATGTCCTTTGTCCACTTTTTGATGGGGTTGTTTGGTTTTTTCTTGTAAATTTGTTTGAGTTCATTGTAGATTCTGGATATTAGCCCTTTGTCACATGAGTAGGTTGTGAAAATTTTCTCCCATTTTGTAGGTTGCCTGGTCACTCTGATGGTAGTTTCTTTTGCTGTGCAGAAGCTCTTTAGTTTGATTAGATCCCATTTGTCAATTTTGGCTTTTGTTGCCATTGCTTTTGGTGTTTTAGACATGAAGTCCTTGCCCATGCCTATGTCCTGAATGGTAATGCCTAGGTTTTCTTCTAGGGTTTTTATGGTTTTAGGTCTAACATTTAAGTCTTTAATCCATCTTGAATTAATTTTTGTATAAGGTGTAAGGAAGGGATCCAGCTTCAGCTTTCTACATATGGCTAGCCAGTTTTCCCAGCACCATTTATTAAATAGGGAATCCTTTCCCTATTGCTTGTTTTTCTCAGGTTTGTCAAAGATCAGATAGTTGTAGATATGCGGCATTATTTCTGAGGGCTCTGTTCTGTTCCATTGATCTATATCTCTATTTTGGTACCAGTACCATGCTGTTTTGGTTACTGTAGCCTTGTAGTATAGTTTGAAGTCAGGTAGTGTGATGCCTCCAGCTTTGTTCTTTTGGCTTAGGATTGATTTGGCGATGCGGGCTCTTTTTTGGTTCCATATGAACTTTAAAGTAGTTTTTTCCAATTCTGTGAAGAAAGTCACTGGTAGCTTGATGGGGATGGCATTGAATCTATAAATTACCTTGGGCAGTATGGCCATTTTCACGATATTGATTCTTCCTACCCATGAGCATGGAATGTTCTTCCATTTGTTTGTATCCTCTTTTATTTCATTGAGCAGTGGTTTGTAGTTCTCCTTGAAGAGGTCTTTCACGTCCCTTGTAAGTTGGATTCCTAGGTATTTTGTGGAAGACAGTGTGGCAATTCCTCAGGGATCTAGAACTAGAAATACCATTTGACCCAGCCATCCCATTACTGGGTATATACCCAAAGGACTATAAATCATGCTGCTATAAAGACACATGCACACGTATGTTCATTGCGGCACTATTCACAATAGCAAAGTCTTGGAACCAACCCAAATGTCCAACAATGATAGACTAGATTAAGAAAATGTGGCACATATACACCATGGAATACTATGCAGCCATAAAAAATGATGAGTTCATGTCCTTTGTAGGGACATGGATGAAATTGGAAATCGTCATTCTCAGTAAACTATCACAAGGACAAAAAACCAAACACCGCATGTTCTTACTCACAGGTGGGAATTGAACAATGAGAACACATGGACACAGGAAGGGGAACATCACACTCTGGGGACTGTTGTGGGGTGGGGGGAGGGGGGAGGGATAGCATTAGGAGATATACTTAATGCTAAATGACGAGTTAATGGGTGCAGTACAGCAGTATGGCACGTTTACATATGTAACTAACCTGCACATTGTGCACATGTACCCTAAAACTTAAAGTATAATAATAATAAAATAAAATTAAATTAAATTAAAAAAGAATGTGGGTATTTCCTCTCAAAGCCGCATGTTCAGAAAAATAGCAGCATGCACTTTTGAAAAAGGGCCACTCTATTCCTAGCCGAGACAAGCACTTATTTATTTTGAACAACTGGTAATGACTTATTTTTCAATGAATGAATGGATGTTTGTTTAGAGAAATGTAAACTGAATAATGTTTGTTCTTTTGTATACAATTTGGGATAGCTAAATCTCCAGCAACATATTGTTATAATTTTAAAAAAGAAAAGCAACCAGTGGGTGAGCTTGCCAGAAATGTGATACCCATTTGTGTTATAATGCAGAATAAACCCATAGGACCTTACAAAATGCATCTGCTGCAGAAGAAAAAGCAAGGGTTGGAACTCAACCCGATCGTAGCAGTGCTTTTGACACTGAAGATCAAGAACAAAGTCTCCAATTATGTAACAAGTATGTTAACATTCTCGGTGTGTTTGTAATCTTTAAAAAGGCCTGTCTTTTTACTTTTCATTTTCTTCCTCTCCTCATAGTTCTTGTTCCACTGCGTCCTTTGGCTACTTACACGTTGTTTTGCTGATGCTAATATTTTCTAGGACATACTTAGGCCACTGTGTGATTTTTTTGGTTGTTCCGCAGTATGAGAAGAATGGTATTTGACTGTGGGCACTTGACTCCATTTGACTGTGGGCACTTGATGCCGTTGAAGTGTGTGCCTGGTGTCTGTTCTTAGTTTTTGTTCTTTGCTGGAGCCTAAAACAAGATGATGCAACTCATTCCGAACATTCCAAATAACTCTGCCCTTCAGTAGTAAACCTCTAAAATATGAGTAAGAGGTTATAAATTAAGCGGTCATTCTCTAAAATGTGTGCTAATGCTTCTCCGAAAGGAAAACAAAAATAGTCTTAATTGCTGGTGAGACATTTTGAAGTTGCTCCAACATAAATGGCCTCCAGCTTCTCTTTTGGCTCATAAATTATGTGTTTTGTGGGCTAGAGTAACACTTGAACTGCGGTAAGCCTTCATGGCTATTCCTTGCAGGTACAGACTGTCTGATAGGAAGAATTTGCATAAAATGAGAACACAAAGCAACGATCCAAATGGTCCCTACTCCATGCAGTGTCCTTCCCACCTCTGGAGGCATGAATGGAGGCTGGGCATGGTGGCTCATGCTGTAATCCCAACACTTTGGGAGGCCAAGGCAGGCAGATCGGTTGAGGTCAGGAGTTCGAGATCAGCCTGGCCAACATGGTGAAACCCTATCTCTACTAAAAATACAAAAATTAGGTGGGTGTGGTGGTGGGAGTCTGTAATCCCAGCTACTTAGGAGGTGGAGGCAGGAGAATTGCTTGAACCTGAGAGGCAGAGGTTGCAATGAGCTGAGATTGCACCACTGCACTCCAGCCTGGGCAACACAGCAAGACTCTGTCTCAAAAAAAATAAAAATAAACAATAAAAAATAAAGGCATGAATGGAATGTCAATAGTTGGTATGTAAGCCATATGTTTTCTTTAACTTGCTTATGGCATATAAGCATCCAAGGCACAACCATGAGTAAGTATTGTAAAAAAATATAATATACAACTCAACATATACTATGTTTAAATAGCATATACAATTAATTTTACCTCTAATCAGGTTTGTTATTAGAAATATGTACTTTGGGCCCCCATTATCACAGTGTGTTCATTTAGAAAGCACACAGACTGCTTTCCAACTTTTCTTTTGCTGGATAGAGACCAATGTAATCGCAGGACAAAGCCCTCCAAGGTCCCTGAGCCTGACGTGGGTGGACTTGGGTTCCCTGTGATAGCAGGCTCCTGAAGAGCCAGGAGGCTTTTGCTGGCTGGGGCTGAGCTGGTGGTTCTGGGGTGGGCCCCCTCCATGGAGACATGAAGTCCTGACAGCCCCATCCAGGAGGTAAGGTTTGCCCCATCACCCACTGCCCTTCCTAATACAAGATTCTGGACTGCAAGTGCCTCTGGGATTTGACAAAAATGTGATTTCTGTTTCTTTTCCTCTTCTACTTCCTGCTTTCAGTATGGAGAGAGAGACAGAGCCTCATTTATATGTAACTGTAATATGCACACATGCTGAGAGAAAGAGATCTATTTTAAGGAATTGGCTCACACAACTATGGGGACTGGCAAGTCCAGAATCTGTAGGGAAAACTGACAGGCTGGAAATTCAGGTAAGAGTCAATGTTGCAGTCAGTCTTGAATCTGAATTCCATGGGGCAGGAGACTAGAAACTCAGGCAGAGTTTCCATGTGACAGTTTTAAAGAGAATTCCTTCTTCCTCAGGAAACCTCAGTCTTTGCTCTTAAGGCCTTCTACTGATTGGATGAGGCCCATGCACATTATGAAGGGAAATATGTATTACTCGAAGTCTACTGATATAAATGTTCATCACATCTGGCCAGGCATGACTCCTCACACCTGTAATCCCAGCACTTTGGGAGGCCGAGGCGGGTGGATCGCCTGAGGTCAGGAGTTTGAGAGCAGCCTGACCAACATGGTGAAACCCTGTTCCTACTAAAAATACAAAAAAATTAGCTGGGTGTGGTGGTGGGCACCTATGATCCTAGCTACTCGGAAGGCTAAGGCAGGAGAATCGCTTGAACTCAGGAGGCAGAGGTTGCAGTGAGCCAAGATCATGCCATTACAGTCCAGTGTGGGTCACAAGAGTGAAACTCTGTCTCAATAAAAAAAAAAAAAAAGTTCATCACATCTAAAAAAATACTTTCATAGCAACATGTAGGCTGATGTTTGACCAAACAACTGGGCACCACGGCTTGGCTAAGTTAAGACAAAATTAAGCATCACAAGTATTGTGCAGCCTTGGGCAAACTGCTAAACCTTTCTATGCCTTAGATTCTCATCTGGAAAATGAGGATAAAGAACAGCACCTGTCTCATAAATTTGTCGTAAGGATTAAATGCACAAAAACCTGTAACCTCCTCTGATCTGTTCTTCTGTGCCCCAAACTACTCTATGCCTGTCATATCTTTGGCACTCAAGTCATGCTAAGTGGTAACTGACTCAGCAGCTTGTAGACTGCATTTTTCTGCTTACCTCCTTTTTTACTCTGAAGACAACCATCAGGTCCAAGGCTTCCAGTACTTTATGCAACTAGTCCATGCGTACCAGGCCTGCTGACTAAGCTAATCCCACCACCGCTTCCGCACCTTCAGTTTGCCTGGGACTGGCCCCCCAACCAGCCCCCAGAAATACCTGAGGCACATGTACTGAATTAAACAGTGCTGCAGATCTTTCTAGATTTTTACTTTCTTTCTTGTGTTTTGTGGAAACACAGTATGCTGATTCTTATTCCTTGATACATCCTACCTATCCCTGGGTCCTAGCTCCTTCTTCCTTCTGTCTTTTCTTTTTTAGTCCTTTACCCAGGGACAGTGTTAAGATGGTGTGATAATTAATTTTATGTGTCAGTTTGGCCAGGTCAGTGCCCAGATCTTTGGTCAAACATTATTCTGGATGTTTCTTTTTTTTTTTTTGGATGAAATTAACATTTAAATTGGTGAACTTTGGGCTGGGCACGGTGGCTCACGCCTGTAATCCCAGCACTTTGGGAGACCGAGGCAGGTGGATCGCCTGAGGTCAGGAGTTCAAGGCCAGCCTGGCCAACATGGTGAAATCCCGTCTCTACTAAAAATACAAAAAAAAAATTATCCAGGTGTGGTGGCGCACGCCTGCAATCCCAGCTACTCAGGAGGCTGAGGCAGGGGAATCTCTTGAACCTGGGAGGTGGAGGTTGCAGTGAGCTGAGATCACGCCACTGCAATCCAGTCTGGGCGACAGGGCAAAACTCCATCTCAAATAAATAATTTAATAAATTAATTGGTGAACTTTGAGTAAAAGCAGATTACTATTCAAAATGTGGGGGATCTCATTCAATCAGTTAAAGACAATAGAACAGAGACTAACCCTTCCTGAGAAAGAAGGAATTCTGCCAACAGACTGCATTTGGAATCTAACTGTAACTCTTCCTTGGGTCTCCAGTCTGCTGGTCAACCCTGCATAGTTTGGATCTACTACTGCTTCACAGTCTCTTAAGCCAATTCATTAAAATACATTTCATCAAATTTTATATGTGTATATAAATATACACACATATATACTGAGATGTTTATCTCAATATCTTTGTGTGTGTGTGTGTGTGTGTGTGTGTTTGTATTCTGTTGGTTCTCTTTCTCTGGAGGAATTCTAACTAATACAGATGGAAAGAACAGTCCTCAAATCATAGCTCTATGTTGGCCCTGAGAGCTGAAGTCTGGGAGCCAAAGTAGCCCCCCTGCTATAGCTTTCTTTCTTTGAGTTTCTAAGGCTTTTGGTCTTCTGATTCCTGGGGAGGATCAGCACCTTCTCTTTTTCCAGCATTTTCAAGGTCCATGTCTGCTGCAAACCTTTCCCTCAGAGTCTGTTGATACAGGTGCCCATGGGGTAAGATATGTACTGGAGTAGTCTAGGAATAAAGACCTGAGTCCTTTCTGCCCCCATCCCCCAGCCTAAGTTCCAGAGCTATTTCCTCTTCTGGGTTTAAAACTAAGCCAACAATATTCCTACACTTCCATTTCCCAAGGAACTGTTATAGCCAACCCTGCCTGCATCCTTAGGTTGACCCCCCTCTCTGTAGCCGTGACCTGTGCTCTCACCAGCACAGGGAAGAATGGATGGCCCCTGGTCCATTCTTCCCTTTCTGCCCAGGCTAATCTCTCTGACTTCATTACCCTTTTCTGGTCTGAAAATCTAAATAGGGTATTCCCAACCCTGCTAGGAAACGTGGAAAACATGCCCTACTGGGGCCTTATTTGGACATTCTGTCTGTATTGGTTTATCTTTATATCACCACTCCCTGTGTGTTCACTGCTTATTGCTAACAATGTCTGCGTACTTCCCCGCATGCTCCCTACTATTAATATATCCCGCCATGAATTCAAGAGTAGAGTTCAAACTTCCCTACCTACTGAATAAATTACAATAATGTCGGTTAGGTTAACCTACAAGGTGCATAAAGTCGATTTTGTTTATTAAAAATAAACCTGCAACTTACAGATTTTTCTGCATCAGTGAAACTTTGGTCTAAAAATATAATATAATCATCTCATACTCTTTTGAAATATAGTCCTGTGGAAAATGCATGTTGTTATTTTATCACACTAGATATGATAGTATGGTATTATTAAACACCTAGAATGTCAGCTCTTTTTTTTTTTTTTTTTTGAGACAGTCTTTTTCTGTCACCCAGGCTGGAGTGCAGTGGTGAGATCTCGGCTCACTGCAACCTCCGCCTCCTGGGTTCAAGCAATTCTCCAGCCTCAGCTTCTCCAAGTAGCTGGGATTACAGGCACGCACCACCACACCCAGCCAATTTTTGTATTTGTAATAGAGACGGTGTTTCAGCATTTTGGCCAGGCTGGTCTCGAACTCCTGACCTCAGGTGATCTGCCCGCCTCAAATATGCCTCATGGGAAGAACAGGAATGTGGATAATGTCAAAAAACAATTTCTACTTGGGTTGTGAGTCAATGAATGGGGGAAAGTTTTTCTCCCTAATGGATTTTGCCATATTAACATCAAAATCAATTGTGACTCCGCTGGCTGTCGAGGACATGTGAACGGCACACACATCTGCTGTGGCGAAAGCCCTCCCTGTGACCTCGGGGTGGGACCATGTGCTTTCCCAAATCCTTGAGCTCAGCATTGGAGGACAAGGTGGGATGGAATACGACCGCTACCACACGACATGTCACAAAAGCCGGGCCGGAAGGAAGTTCCTCAGAGTGGCACGTTCCCACTCCGCAGTTGAGACTGATTTCAGAAAATGCACTCTGATTGCTCTGTGATTTTTCTGTCTCCATGCCATGAATGGCTAGAGAGAATGGAGTTAACTGGGAAACTGGGACACAGCAGACTTTTGCTTTTAAAACCTCCTTTTTCTGTTCATTCAGCTGTCAAAACAGACAACCTTACTCACTCACAGAAGTGGACGTTGAGGAGAAATACAACAGAGGAGATAGAAAAGCATAACTGATTTTGAGCTTCATCACGGGATAAACTCAATCTGTAAGTGCAGAGAATAACTCGGAAGAGCTTCTGCACCTCCCCACACGCATCACTGTGCATTCACCAAGGCGACAGTATCCAGGACCTCGGATCCACCAATGAGAAGCCCACAGCAGCAGCCTGGAGGACAGCTGGTGACTGCCGGAGACACAGGTGACACGCCATGTCTGGACAAGGCTGAAGCATGCAGAGAGAAGCGAAGCCCACGTTGTGCTTTGGCTCACAAACATTTAATCTGCTGAAAAGGGAATCGTGTGGGAGAAGTAGAAAGAAATGCTGGTCATGTATTATACCTAGAATTTTTCACTCCCTGGTATCATGAACCCCAGTTCCCCAAAATGGCAGGCTTGGAAACTGAGGTTCTGAGCTGAAGTGACTTGCTTCAGGCCCCGTGTTCTGTGCCCTTTCCAGAGCCTGTGGCCTACAATGACCTGGTGCATCTCACCCACAGGGTGCATGTGCCCAGACACAAACCCGAGATGGGCCGGCCTGGTTCTTAAGCTTCAGGATGGAAACACAGGCCTCCCACCTACCCCTGCCCACCGGGGCGTCCGCCTTGGATAGGAAACGGCCAAACTACCACCCACACGGGCATGGTCATCATGGCAACATCGTACGTATGGAGGGTCCTGGCTCTTTGGTTGATTAAATCCTTGGGCATTTTATTTTCAAACTCCCCTTGTCCTCCACTGAACAGACCTGGACAAATGGGATGGGAGCCTCCTCTGTTTCCATACACCCTTGCATTGGCCCCTGTTTACATGCTTATCAGAATGTATTGCCCATTTTTGTTTCATTCCTCACCTTCTTCCAGCAGCCCTCACCCTCCACCCCCTCCTACCCCGACATACACACAAAAGGGGAAGGAACCTTTTCAATCCACCTTTTAATTTCAGAGCCCAGCTCAGCCTGGGATGGAGCTCTCTGGTTGTCCTGCAGTGAGCAGAGGTGAAAGTCACACTGGCCTCAGACCGTGCTCTGCAGGGACCAATTCTCTGTCCCAAAGCCGGGGCCTCCAAGCGCTGGATTTGACTTCCTCACATCACATTCCTTCTTGAACCTATTCTGTACCCCACTCTTCCGTTAAGGTTGCCAGTGAGAACCTTCTTGGTTCTCATCTTTTGGCCTTTCATTAACATTTCTCTTGGGTTCTGAGGCTCACACTTCCCCCTGTTCCTCCTTGCTCTCTTGCCCAGCTTTTCCTCTCTTTTTCTGAATCCTGGATCCTGTATCCTTATATTGCTCCGGGGCCCCAGGTCTTCTTCATTGCACACTCTCCGAGTGTTTTCCTGATGATCTCATGGGCCTCTACCCTATAAGTACCATATTTGCCTCTCCAGCCTGACCCCTCCCTGAACCCCAGACCCTCCAATTCACTGCTTATTCACAGAAGCCACTTGCAGTCTAACAGGCAGCCCCAACAACACATGCAAAACCAGGCGGTGGCTCACGCCTGTAATCCCAGCACTTTGGGAGGCCGAGGAGGGTGGATCACCTGAGGTCAGGAGTTCAAGACCAGCCTGGCCAACATGGCGAAACCCCGTCTCTCCTAAAAAAATACAAAAAATTAGCCGGGTGTGGTGGTGGGCGCCTGTAATTCCAGCTATTTGGAAGGGTGAGGCAGGAGAATCGCTTGAACCGGGAAGGCGGAGGTTGCAGTGAGCAGAGATAGCGCCATCGCACTCCAGCCTGGGCAACAAGAGTGAGACACCGTCTTCAAAACAACAACAACAACAACAACAACAACTCAGAACTAGCGCCCCACCAAACCCATTACTTGCTCAGGTCTTAGCAAATGGCCATTCTGTCCAAAGACTTGAATCATTCTCCGCCCTTCTCTTTCCCTCACTCCACATCCCAGCCACCAGTATTCCTGCCAGCTCCACCTTCAAACTGTGTTCAGGATCTTACAACTGCTCACCATGTTGTCTTCCTCCGAGTCACTGCCCAGACCCTGGATTCCCTGCACCACCGTCACCCCATCACCCGCCTCTCAGCCCCCTGTAGACACATCAGCCTTCTCCTGGTTCTGGCTCAGGACTTCACACTCCCTGATGGTCACATATCGTTCAGAGAGACTTTTCTTTTCTTTTCTTTTTTTGAGACGGAGTCTGGCTCTGTCGCCCAGGCTGGAGTGCAGTGGTGCGATCTCGGCTCACTGCAACCTCCGCATGCCAGGTTCAAGCGATTTTCCTGCCTCAGCCTCCGGAGTAGCTGGGACTATAGGCTCGCGCCACCACGCCCGGCTAATTTTTTGTATTTTTAGTAAAGACGGGGTTTCGCCGTGTTAGCCAGAATGGTCTCATCTCCTGACCTTGTGATCCGCCCGCCTCGGCCTCCCAGAGTGCTGGGATTACAGGCGTGAGCCACCGCGCCCGGCCCAGAGGCTTTTCTTACCATCCCCTCTAAAACTGTACCAACCCCCACTCCAGCGCCCTCTATCTCTTATCCTGCTTTGTTTTCTTTATAGCATTGATCACTCTTGAGCATGTTTTTTGTTTTGTTTTGTTTTGTTGTTTTTGTTCTGCATGTGCTTGTTGTCTGTTTTCTCAGAATAGAATGCAACCACCATGACGATAGTGGCTTTGTGTTATTCACTGGTATGTTCCCAGTACTCCTAGTTCCTACAGCAGTGCCTGGAACATAAAGGTCTTTAGTAAATATTTTTAAATAAATGAATAAAATATTGGACTGAGGCTTAATAAAATATATCAAAATACCAATTTCCCCACTGATATAGAAATCAGATTTAGCAAAGTATGGCAGTGGACCAAATCCAACCTGCAGCCTGTTTTTGAAATAAAATTTTAACGGAACACAGCCACATCCATTCATTTACATATAGTCTGTGGTTTCTTCCATGCTAGCCACCAAGGTTGAGTAGTTGCAACAGACCGCATGGCCCCCAAAGACTAAAATATTTACTATCTTGCTCTCTACAGAAAAAAATTTGCCAACCCCTTATGTAGATAATACTTCCTACCTCTTCTTATGGTTTAAAAAGTAATAAAATAATGAATGCATTAAACAATCATTCCATTGTTAATCCACTCATACATACTTATTGAAAAAAGAGCCTGTAATCCCAGCACTTTGGGAGGCCGAGGCGGGCGGATCACGAGGTCAGGAGATCGAGACCATCCCGGCTAACACGGTGAAACCCTGTCTCTACTAAAAATACAAAAAATTAGCCGGGCGTGATGTCGGGCGCCTGTAGTCCCAGCTACTTGGGAGGCTGAGGCAGGAGAATGGCGTGAACCCGGGAGGCGGAGCTTGCAGTGAGCCGAGATCCCGCCACTGCACTCCAGCCTGGGCGACAGAGCGAGACTCCGTCTCAAAAAAAAAAAAAAAAAAAAAAAAAAAGAAAAAAGATAAAATTGTACAGAAGTGTGTAGGGTAAAAAGTGACAGCCCTCTTTCTCCAGCCACTAGGAGGTAGCCTGCTAGCATCTGGATTATTTCCAGGCCTTTTTGAAGCATTTCCATGCAAACCTCTGTACCCCTTGAGTGCAAATTTGTTTTGTTTTGACTTTATTTTTTTAATTGACAAATAAAAATTGTATATATTTGTGGTGTACAACATGATGTTTTGATATATGTAGACACTGTGGAATGGCTAAATCAAGCTAATTAACATATGCATTACTTCATATACTTATCGTTCAAATGAGTTTTGTTATCAAGATTTTGCTAGACTTGGAAGGAGAAGGAAAACTTTCCATCTGTTCCTGTGCTCTGACAGTTTGAATAACTGGAATCACATGCTCCTTGAAGGTTCACTAGCATCCCCCATAACACTACCTATATCTGCCGCCTGTTTCAGGGCCGGACCTCTGACTACCTTTTCCATTTCTTCAACAGAACCAGCAAGGATTTGGGTCTTCTGACTCTTTCGTTAATTGTGGTAGTTTACATTTTTATAAAAATATTCATTTCTTACACATTTTCCAATTTATTTCTATAGAGTTGATTACAAGTTTTAAATCTCTTCCCTATTTATAGTTATATTTCTTTTCTAATTCTTCCTTTTTTTTTTCTGGGTCAGGTCTGCCAGTAGTTTCACAGTTGTATTAGCTATTTTTCAAAGAACTCGATTTGGGGCTTAACAAATTTTGTTGTTTGCCCTGTTTGTTTGTTTCATTAATTTCTGCTTTTTTATTTTAAAATTTCTACTTTCTATGCTTTGTCTCCTAATATTTAGAGTTCATTTATTTTCCCTTGTCTTCTTACATTTTTTGGCCACATCCTGCTGGCTTTACTACACTGAGCCCTTGTCCCAGCATAAACTGTTGGCAATCGCAACCATGATTTCCTGGTTTACGCATAAATAACAGAAAGCCTCTCTGTTTTGCTTTGTTTTTATCTCCAAATACATATAACTTTTTCTTTCTTTTTCTTTTTTTTTTTTTGATTGGGGATATTCTTTTCTTTGTTATTTCTAATTTCTGGTTTTATTGCATGGTAGTTAGAAAATTAGCCTAAATGTTTTCCGCTTTTTGAAATTCATTGAGACTTTTTGGTTTATTACTATGTCAATTTTTGTAGATAGTATACGTGTACTTACAAAGAGTGTATATTCTATACTGAGTTCAAATTTCTGTATATTACTACAGAGTCAGCCTTGTGATCTCAAAATCTAAAACTGCTTTTTGTCTATTAAATCAGTTCTTTCCTGAGAAAGTTACTAAATCCTCTCATTTTGACTGTTAACTTATCAATTCATTTTTCTTTATATATTCTGATAGCATGTTGTTCAGGCATAAAGATTCATTGCTCTTCTAGTGTCTTCGTATTCTTATGTGTAAATATAAAATCTGTCCTATTGAATATTTTTGGCTTTAAATTCCATTTTTTTAATTTCACATTTCTCATCTTTCACAGATTTTGTAAATAAGTGACTACCTTTGTCATTTAATTTTCAACATTCCTGAATAATTTTATTTTAGAATACTTTTGTGAATGTTAGTGTGGTTGTATATTTTATTTACTTATTTATTTATGTTTTTAGTGACAGGGTCTCCACTCTGTTGTAGGTATTTATTTTTAGCATGTCTGATGGCCCATTAGTAATATTAATAGTGATAGGAACGTAGCTAAGCAGTATTGAGTCCTCTCAATTCAGGTATTCTACTGAGCACTTTACCCGCGTTATTTTATACAGTGCTCAGACCTAGCCTATAGGTAGTTCTTCTGGTTGTCCCCAGTTAACAGCTGAAGAAACTGAGGATTTGAGTGATTCCATGACCTACCCAAGATCAGAAAGGATTGGGCAGGATTTGAACCCAAGTACTCTATGAGCACTACACATTGGTCATATTAATTATAATTGCTGACTTATTCGGCTTTATCCCTGTCATCTTGTTTTGCACTGTATTCTAAGAGAATTCCTCTATTCAGTCTTTCAGCTCTCTGATAAGATCTTCGGTTAGGCCCATTCTTTGTGAAACAGTCATTCGATTTTTTATTTTAGAATGTGTTTTTAATTTTCTAGAACTGATTGCTTTTCTGACATAGCAACGAGTTGACCTGTGACTAGACAGACTGACATTTAGATTCTCCGAGTTGCTTGACTTCTTAGTAGGTATCCTCCTTGTCCCCACTCCATGCATCTGTTACCTGAGAGTACTGATTCTATTCTCCAGCCCCAACATCCTCTCTTTCTCTCTCTCTCTCTTTTTTTTTTTTGAGACAGTATCGCTCTGTCACCCAGACTGCAGTGCAGTGGTGCGATCTCAGCTCACTGCAACCTCCGCCTTCTCCTGCCTAAGCCTCCCGAGTAGCTGGGATTACAGGTGTGTGCCACCATACCCAGCTAATTGTGTGTGTGTGTGTGTGTGTGTGTGTGTGTGTGTGTGTGTATTTTTAGTAGAGATGGGGTTTCACCACATTGGACAGGCTTGTCTCAAACTCCTGATCTCTGGTGATCTGTCCACCTTGGCCTTCCAAAGTGCTGGGATTACAGGCGTGAGCCACCGCGCCCAGCCCTCTCTTTCTCTTTAGCACTACCTAAACCTTTAGTACAATTTCTTGTTTTATTTTGGAGCAATGCTAGCAGGTTTATTCTGCACCCAAATTCTAGAACTGCCACCAATCTGATTCCATCTACTTTATATCTTCAAGAATGTTTTGTCTCTTCTGATCTCTTAAAAACATCCCTTCCAAATATTTTTCCCATTCTGTAGGTTGTCGTTTTACTCTGCTGATTATTTCTTTTGCTGTGCAGAAGCCTTTTAGTTTAAGTCCTGTTTTTCTTTGTTCATTTTTGTTGCATTTGCTTTTGAGGTCTTAATCATAAATTCTTTGTGTAGGCCAATGTCCAGAAGAGTTTTTCTTAGGTTTTCTTCTAGGATTTTTATAGTTTCAGGTCTTACATTTAAGTTTTTAATCCTATCTTGAGTTAATTTTTGTATATTGGTCCAGTTTCATTCTTCTGCATATGACTGGCCAATTTTCTCAACACTATTTATTGAATAGGGTGTCCTTTCCCCACTGTATATTTTTGTTTATGTTGTTAAAGATCTGTTGGTTGTAGGTATGTGGCTTTATTTCTAGGTTCCCTATTCCATTCCATTGATCTATGTGTCTATTTTTTACTAGTACCATGCTGTTTTGGTTACTATAGACTTGTAGAGTAGTTTAAAGTCAGGTAATGTGATGCCTCCAGCTTTGTTCTTTTTGCTTAAGATTGCTTTGGCTATTCAGACTCTTTCCTGGTTCCATATCAATTTTAGGATTTTTTTTTAATTTTGTGAAAAATGACATTGGTAATTGATATTATTTGGATCTGTGTCCCCACCAAATCTCATGTGAAATTGTAATCCCCAGTGTTGGAGGTGGGGCCTCGTGGGAGGTGGTTGGATCATGAGGGCAGTTTCTCATGAATGGTTTAGTACCATGCCCTTTTGGTACTGTATAGTGAGTGAGTGCTCATGAGATCTGGTTGTTTAAAAGGGTGTAGCACCTTGCCGGTCTCTCTCTTGTTCCTGCTCCCACCATGTGAGACTCCTCACTCTCCCTTTGCCTTCCACTATGATTGTAAGTGTCCTGAGGCCTCCCCAGAAACTGAGAAGATGCCAGAGTCATGCCTCCTGTACAGCCAGCAGAACTGTGAGCCAATTAAACCTTTTTTGTTTAAAAATTACCCAGTTTCATGTATCTGTAGCAATTTGAGAACAGACTAACACAGTAGTTTGGTAGGAATTGCATTGAATCCATAGATTGCTTTGGGCAGTATGATCATTTTAACAGTATTGATTCTTCCAATCCAGGAGCATGGGATATTTTTCCATTTGTTTGTGTCATCTACAATTTCTTTCATCAGTGTTTTGTAGTTCTCCTTGTAGAGATCTTTCACTTCCTTGGTTAAATATTTTCCTAGGTATTTTTTTCATAGCTATTGTAAATGGGATTGAGTTCTTGGTTTGGTTCTCAGCTTGGTTGTTATAGGTGTATAGAAATGCTACTGATTTTTGTACCATTGATTTTGTATCCTGAAACTTTACTGAAGTAATTTATGAAGTCTAGGGAGAAAATATTTGCAGACTCTGCATCCAACAAAGGACTAATATTCAGAATGTACAAGGAACTCAAACAACTGTACAAGAAAAAAATAACCCCATTAAAAAGTGGGCAAAGGACATGAATAAACATTTTTCAAAAGGATATATACAAGTGACCAACGAACATATGAAAAAATGTTCAACATTACTAATCATCAGAGAAATGCAAACTAAAACCACAAAGAGATAAAATCTTGGCCGGGCGCGGTGGCTCACACCTGTAATCCCAGGACTTTGGGAGGCTGAGGCAGGCAGATCACAAGAAGATCGAGACCATCCTGGCTAACACGGTGAAACCCCGTCTCTACTAAAAATACAAAAAGAAAAGAGAAATTAGCCGGGCGTGGTGGTGGGCGCCTGTAGTCCCAGCTACTCGGGAGGCTGAGGTGGGAGAATGGAGTGAACCCGGGAGGCAGAACTTGCAGTGAGCTGAGATCACACCACTGCACTCCAGCACGGGCAACAGAGCAAGACTCCATCTCAAAAAAACAAACAAAAATCTTACACCAGTCAGAATGGCTATGAAAAGTCAAAAAAACAACAGATGTTGGCAAGGATGTGGAGAAAAGGAAACACTTATAGACTGTTGGTAGAAATATAAATTAGTACAATTTCTATGGAAAACGGTATGGAGATTTCTCAAAGAAATAAAAGTAGTACTACCATTTGATATAGGAATCTCACTCGTGGATATCTGCCCAAAGGAAAAGAAATCATTATATGAAAAAGATACCTGCACTTGTATGTTCATTGCAGCATTATTCACAATAGCAAAGTCATGGAATAAACGTAAGTGTCCATCAATGGATGACTGAATAAAGAAAATGTGGTGTATATATGTACATCATGGACTACTGCTCAGCCATTAAAAAAAATGAAACCATGTCTTTTGTAGCAACATGGATGGAACTGGAGGCCATTATCTTCAGTGAAATAACTCAGAAACAGAAAGTCAAATAGTGTATGTTCTCACTTATAAGTGGAGCTAAACAATGTGTACACATGGACATTGAGAATAAAACAATAGACATTGGAGACTCCAAAAGGTGGGAGGGTGAGAAGGGGCTCAGGGATGAGAAATTACCTAATGAGTGTCATGTACACTATTTGTGTGACAGTTGCAATAAAAGTCCCCGACTTCACCACTATGCAATATATCCATGTAACACAACTTCACTTGTACCCCCTAAATCTATTTTTAAAACACAAAAAGCACCTTTTCTAAATTTCCAATGCTGCTACAGAATTACTCTCCATTTTATATCCCTTTGGTCCCTGAAATAGGATTTAAACAGGGAGGAAGGGTAAATTCTCATGTTTAGTCAGTCATCTTCGACTGGAAATCTTTTCATTTTTTCTTACTCACTAATTATGGCTGTCATCAACTAAGATATCAAAAGGGAGTTGCTCTGTTTTCCTTTCTTTCCTCTGGACTATATCAGCTGAATGTCATCTTAGCAAATGGAAACCAAAACCCACATTCTTCTCATATGGTGGACAGGGACAGTGTCACTCCTCACAGCAATAGTGTCCCTAAAATTGCTAAGATAGACTAGACAGCAGAGTGGCACTCTCACACGTGTGGCCTATAAACTGACCACCCCAAGGGTTACATCACCAATGATGCTGAAAGGTAGGTTTCAAGTGCCCAAACTGTTCTCTTCACATTTTTTTTCTTTTTTTCTTTTTTTTTTTTTTTTTTTGAGACGGAGACTTACTCTGTTGCCCAGGCTGGAGTGCAGTGGCGCGATCTCAGCTCACTGCAAGCTCCACCTCCGGGGTTCAAGCAATTCTCCTACATCAGCCTCCCGAGTAGCTGGGATTACAGGCGCCCACCACCATGCCTGGCTAATTTTTGCATTTTTAGTAGAGACGGGGTTTCACCATGTTGGCCAGGCTAGTCTCAAACTCCTGACCTCAGATGTTCTGCCTGCCTTGGCCTCCCAAAGTGCTGGGATTACGGGCGTGAGCCACTGCACATTTTCTTTTTAAATTTTAACTATTTCTAATTTTTAGATAAGCAGTGTATTCACTTGGTCCCAAAATCAATGGGTTCAAAGTATCAATGGTGAAAATTCTCCCTTCCACCTTCTCTCCTATCCAGTCCCCTTCCCATGAACAGTCATGATTAACAGATTTTTGTACATACTTCATTCTAGAGATATTTTTTTCATGCAAAAGCTATACATATTTTCCTCATTTAAGAAAACCACAAATAGTAGTATAATGTAGACATACTCTACAACTCACTGTTTTCACTGAGCAATATGCAGTGGAGATGAATCCATGTCTGTTCATAAAGAGCTTCTTTATTCATTTTTAGAGCTACAGAATATTTCTTTGTGTGGCTGTACTGTTATTTATTTAAGCAATCCCCTGTTGACTACTGTTTAGCTTATCTCGTCTTTGCTGTTACAGTGTCACCATGAAGAGACTTGTGCACACATCATGTCACATATCTATAAATATAAATGAATTCCTAAAAGAGAATTGCTGGTTCAAAGGGTATTTGCATGCAAAATTTTCCTAGATGTTGTCAAATTGTGCCCTGTAAGGGTTACAAACAATTTAGACTCCCACAAGTAATTTGTGATTGTCCTTGTTTCCCTGTATCCTCAGTAATACAATGTGTTATCAAATTTTGAAGTATTTGTTGGTCTAGTGGGTGAAAAATTATATCCCATTGTAGTTTGTGTGAAATTACTTATTATGAGTGAGACTGAACATCATTTCATCTTTGAAGATCCATATGCATTTTCTTTTCTCTCTGTTCATATCCTTTTGAGAAAAAGAAAATCACTTTTATCTGAGAAATGCAAGTCTTTTTAATTATCAGGTCCAGAGAGACATTAAAATGAGACAAGGCCAGGTGCAGTGGCTCACATCTGTAATACTAGCAGTTTGGGAGGCCCAGGCAGGTGGATCGCTTGAGCCCAGGAGTTTGAGACCAGCCTGGGAAACATGGCAAAACCCCATCTCTGCAAAAAATACCAAAAAAAATTTGCTGGGTGTGGTGGCACATACCCTTGAAATTAAATTGCCATTGTAACATTATTAAGAGATGGGACCTTTAAGAGGTAATTAAGCCATGGGGGCTCTGCCCTCATGGGTGGGATTGATGTTATTATAAAAGAGTGAGTTCAGCCCCTTGCCCTCTCTCTTGCCCTCTGCCTTCCACCATGGGATGATGCAGCAAGAAGGTCCTTGTCAGACACTGACCTCTCAGGAATTCCCAGCCTCCAGAACTGTGGGTTAATACATTTCTATTTATTGCAAATTACCCATCTCAGGTTATGGCAGCACAAATGGACTAAAACATACAGCAATGAAATTATTCTTTATATGTGATTTGAGTTGCAAATGCTCGCCAGTTTACTGTTTGTCTTGTGACTTTGCCTGGGGAGGGTTTTTACATGTGGATTTTTTCTTTTTGATTTTAGAATAATTGAATCTATCAAACTCTTCTGTGATGGCTCCCCAGTTTTATGTTGTACCTAGAAATGCCCTCCCCAGCATTTGATTCAAAACAAGTATGATTGTTTATTCTAATATTTTATGGTATCTTTTTTTTACATTTAATTTTTTAATCAACTAGAATTTATCCTGGAGTCAGGTGTGAGATCCGAATTTAACTTTATATTTCCTTAGAGTTTTTCTTTCCACATTAACTTTAGAATCAGATTGTTTCGCTCTCCCTCAAAAAAGAAAATCCTGTTGGGATATTTATTGGAATTGCATCAACTTTATTATTAACACACTCTCCACTATGGTTACTGTTTTGGTGGTGAATCTTCCTTTCCAAGATTACAGATTTCCACCTCTTTGACTTTTCTTTGTATCCCTCAGGAGTGTTTTGAATTTTTTTTTTTTTTTTTTTTTTTTTGAGACAGAGTCTCGCTCTGTCGCCCAGGCTGGAGTGCAGTGGCACAATCTCAGCTCGCTGCAAGCTCCGCCTCCCGGGTTCACGCCATTCTCCTGCCTCAGCCTCCTGAGCAGCTGGGACTACAGGCGCCAGCCACCATGCCCGGCTAATTTTTTGTATTTTTAGTAGAGATGGGATTTCACTGTGTTAGCCAGATGGTCTCGATCTCCTGACCTCGTGATCCGCCTGCCTCGGCCTCCCAAAGTGCTGGGATTACATGAATTTTTCTTTATATGAACGATGCACCTAAGAATAATCTATTCCACTGAGATAACGTTGCAATTTTAAAATGAAGGAAAGAAAGAAACCCTAGCATCTCAGTAGGCCAGCCTAACAACGCTTCCTTCTTGTTCATGCAAAGGCAAGTTGGCAGGTGATCCCCTCCATCCTGTGATTCAGGTATCCAGGTTCTTTTCACCTTGAGATGTTGCTCTGAAACAAGGGGCCTCCAAAGCTCCTGCAGCAGGGGAAGAGAGCCTGGAGTAGCACCCAAGCTATTAATTCCCTGGGCCTGGAGGTCACACACTTCTTTTTTCATTTTATTGGCTACACTCATCACAAGACTACCTAACTGCAAAGATACTGTTAGTCCTTTGCAAAGGTAATCCCGTCATGTACCCAGGAAAGAAAGGAGGACAAGATATATGTAACACTGGCAGTCTCTTTCACACCAGCAAAACTATTAACCACAAGGGTAAACTAAAGAAACATTTTGGTCATACAAAGTCTCAAAACATTTCATTCCAAGGCAGCTTCTCTCAGGAAACTAGTAGAGTGGAGCCTCCACCAAAATAAGAGAGCAAATCAAAGAAGAGGAATATATGGGATAAGGAGACAAAGAACCCAACCCAAGATTGAGTCAAAGTGAATCCCCAGGATGGTGGTGAAGAACATCCCAGGAGGCAGCAAGACTCCAACTAAAAGCGTGTGCTGTTTTTGCCTCTGCAAAGGAGAAAGGAACCAACAGAAAGGAAGCTAACCAAGAGCCAAGGAGCAGCACCCAGACCAAATTAGGCAGATGAGCAGCCTGTATCCAGCTCTGTCTGAAGCTGGGTCTGTTCCTAGGGAGTTTAGTTACATGAGTCAGTGACTTACCTTTGTGCTTTGGCCAGTTGAGGGCTGGTTTTTACTTAATAACAAAACAATTCCAGTCTGAGACCAGGAGACCACAGAAATGGAAGAAATAAAGCTAGTTCTCAGGGAATTTTATTCTTTTTTGTGTGTTCTTTTAAAAAACATGTTTAGGACGGGCACTGTGGCTCATGTCTGTAATCCCAGCACTTTGGGAGGCCAAGGCAGGCAGATCACGAGGTCAGGAGATAGAGACCATCCTGGCTAACACGGTGAAACCCCGTGTCTACTGAAAATACAAAAAAAAATTAGCTGGGCGTGGTGGTGGGCGCCTGTAGTCCCAGCTACTCAGGAGGCTGAGGCAGGAGAATGGCGTGAACCCAGGAGGCGGAGCTTGCAGTGAGCGGAGATTGCGCCACTGCACTCCAGCCTGGGCAACAGAGCAAGACTCCGTCTCAAAAAAAAAAAGTGTTTATATTTGACATATAATAATTGTACACATTTATGGGGTACAGTGTGATGTTTCACTACATGTATACATTGTATAATGACCAAATCTGGGTAGTTAGCATATCATTCACCACAAAATTTACATTTATTTCTGGTGATAACTTTCAGGATCCTCTTTATTAGCTCACTTGAAATATACTCTACATTGTTATTAGCTGTAGTCATCGTACTATGGACGGGAACACCAGCATTTATTCTTCCTGTCTAACTGTAACTTTGTGCCCATTGACCAACCTCTTCCCATCCCTGTTTCCCCTCCCCAGGCTCTGGTAATCACTGTTTTGCTCTCTACTTCTATGTGATCAACCTTTTTGACGCTACATGAGAGAGATCATGTGGTATCTGCCTTTCTGTGCCTGGTTTATTTCACTTAGCCTTATGTCCTCCAGGCTCATCCATGTTGCTGTGAATGACAGGATTTCATTCTTTTCCCACGAGTTTTTAATCTTGTTAAGGACATTTTAACTGTCATTAACTACAGTGTATATTGTCTCTGCTTCTAGACTGTCATCTCCTCAAGGACTATGTGTTTTAGCTAAATTCCTTGCATGCAGTGGGCCTTAGAAGCTGGGCAATTTCAGAAATGAAAATCACACTGTGAAAGTTATTCACAGTTTAGTATTAAGTGAAAGAAGTTAAGTGGGAAGCTAATTTGCTCATTTTAAAAAATGGGGCTACTTGGGAAAATATTTTAAATGGCATTTTAAGTGTTGGGATTTCAGGTGAAATTTCTTATCTTATTTTTGTTTTTTGGTTTTCTTCATTTTCTGCCATGAATATTATTTGTTTTGTAATGAAAAGGTATATATAAAAAATTGATTGTGAGTTCAAACAATGCTATCTGTCAGCATTAAGCATGAAAGTACACTAAAGAAACATTTTGGTCTTGGTTTGGCTGCTATTTTACAAAAGCATTCACTAATTTTTTTTTTTTTTTGAATGAGAAAACATTTATTCCATCTCCAAACAGCATCCCAGGGCCGGGCATCTCCCCTACGACTTTATAATACACTCGGCACAGACAGAGTTTGGGAGCCATGGGACACCTCTGCCCTCCCCAGGCTTCCTAAGTAACAACTGCAGAATATTTACATAAAGCTGGGTGTTGTCAGGCAAAGCCATTCCCTGCTGCCAGGGGTGGGAGCAAGAAGGAAGTGCCATGAGCACCAGCCCCGCCTTCACACCGTGGGAGGCAGCCCAGAGGCCACCGGCACAGGGTGGTGGCCCCCAGATCATACAGCAGTGGACACAGGGGAAGCAAACCTGAGTGAGGACACAAGAGCCTGGTCCGGCTCCGCTGCACAGGGTAGGTGTGACGGCCCCCACGAGTCTTTGGCAGAGAACGCAGGTAACAGCGGCTCCCACGGCCGGACCCGGGCCGGGGGGAAGCTGAGGCACTTGTCAGTAGCACATGGGTGCCTGCTGGCTTCTAGCCACTCCAGGCGGGGATGGGGTCATTAAAAGCAAGGAAAAACACTAGCTAAAAACCCTTTCCTAAAAGTGCCCTGGAGGAGTGAGCGGCTGACTGAAGCCCTCTGGGCACAGGCACGTGGGGTGTGGCTCGGCCAGCCCCCGCCGGGCTGTAAGGCTCCTTAGCTGTGTGTCAGCTGCACAGGATGGAACAGGTGAAAGAGGGGGTTTGGCAGTTCCAGGAGGCTCATGGGAAAGTCCAGGGCAGAGGGGAGGGCCCTCTCTGTCCCCCTTCCCACCCTAACCGCCACTCAGTACACAGGGGGCGGCTGGTAGCCCTCGGTGGTCTCCGCATTCTGGGTGAAGGGTGGCTGTTGGTAGTTGTCCACAGATGCACCTGGGTAGGAGGCGTAGGCAGTGTTGGGGTCCGGACTGGGGTCGACGTAGTTCTGGATGAAGTCGTCCACGCCAGCCTTGTAGCGCTGGTAGGTCAGGGAGGCCAGCACACCCCAGGAGAAGATGGAAAAGAAGCTGAAGGTGATGGCTGCCCTCGCAGAGTCGGCCCCCACCAGCACGTCCTCCGGGTCGGTGACCGCCCACTGGTTGGTGAGGAAGCAGAAACCAACAAACCACAGGAAGGTCCAGAGAGCTGAAAAGAGCAGGTCACCAATGACGAGGTACTTGCGGTCAGTGGCGTTGCTGATCTGGGGGAAATACGCGTCGACCACCAAGAAGGCCGAGGCCAGGAAGGCCAGCACCCCGATGGCACTGCCATAGCGGCAGGCATCCTCGTTGTGGTTGAACACGCAGTACATCTGCTTAGACTTATGGGTGTTGCTGTAGCCCTCGCCATAGATGCAGGAGAACACGATCAAGGCGAAGACTGTGGAGGGCGGGAAGGCGGGGCCCGGGACGCTAAATGCCCGCCCCGCTCGCCGCCAGGGCCCGGACGCGGCCGCCTCCACCTGTCACGCTCGTGGGTTAGGGGTCCCGCCGGGCCTGGCGGCGGGGGGGGTCCTCGGGGTGCCCCCGGCCCGCCCTCCCCGGGCTCACCAAGCACAGGGCGCGCGCCACCACCTGCGGCTGCGTCAGGAAGGGCCGCAGGTCGAAGGAGCCGCCCGCCTCGGCCACGCCGTAGGCCCCGCTCTCCATGTCGCCGTCGCCGCCCAGCATTCACTATTTAAATACTGTAACATTTTCCCATCTTTTCTTTTTAAGAAAATTAAAATTGAGTGTGAGAATTTCTCTCACATTCAATAAATCATATCACTGTGGTATAAATATATCGCTATAATATATGAAGGTTTTCTTTAAAGATTTGTTAATTCAGTAAGCAAAACAGGACAGACACATTATGAATTTTAAAAAATAACTTAGGCCTAAATATTAATATTTATTCTTCAGACCCTTTATTGTTGAGATATGACATCTACTAGATATGATATCTACTAGATCAAACCTAGATTCTTAGGTTTACACAGGCCAAACAAATCAGTGTCCCTTCTGTAAAATAATACTTGAAGCAAGAAAAATATATAGAGATTCACATTGAATCTGGTTTATGCTTAAACTAGACTTAGTCCTGTAAATCTGAAAATGTGCTTATAATTACAAGTATTCTTAAAATGTGTGTAAGTGCCTTTTTATGTTTGAATTTGATCTAAAAGTGCCTACATTGCCCGTAACACTCTCAAGCTTTCATAGGAGCAATAGTTCCTTAAAAAATTTTTTTTCTCCACATTCCATAAATCTCACTAAAGACAATTGTTTTCCAATAACACGTACCATGTGAAAGGTATTTATTTTCCAGACCGCATTTACTGGAAGAAATGCACAAACCACAATTGTTCAGAATAGGAAAAATATAAAATAGTGCTTAGAATCTTACGGTAGTACCCAAAACTACCCAAATTGCTGTAATTATTGTGAAAAAAGTAATCACAGTATTTGTTCAATATTTAAAAACACAATTTATTGAGAATCCATATTGAACATGTCTGAGTTCTGGGAACATTTTAAAATTTAATATTGTCATATGAGCTACTAATACTTTGTTTACATTTTCTCTGTGAACTCACCCTTCTAACAGCTTACAGTTAAAGTGTTTGTAATAGACCACTGACCTGGCTTTGCTGGCTTCGGGCTACAGAAAACTACAGTCCTCACTTAACACAAGGGTAGAAATATAGCACCACTAGATGGTACTATGAGGTAATTATTAAATTCCACATTATTTCAACTGAGCATCGACAGTGATTTTTTTCTGCAAGGAATAAATCACTCTTACTAGTCTTACCATTCCCATTAGCACCATCTACTCCTAACTTTAATTTCCTAAATCACCCCAGTGGGAAGAACTGCCAGCCTTTGATTCATAACAAAATCTTTTACATAAAGTTTTTGAGGTTAAATAAAATGTGGCTTCTGGGAAGTGATATTAATTCCCCGTTTTCTTTCACAATTACCTTGAAGCTCAACAATATGTAAAGGAATGTAAACAAGAGTTTTCATAGCCAACTGAGCGATTAAAAGACAAAATAGCATTAACAAAAACCAGTTTTGCCATTCTTCATGGTATATATAGTTGACAGCTAAAGCTTTTGTTTATTTTCATTGTTAAGTCTTACATGAAAGAATGTTTTGGTAGATAGGGTGAATTTTGTCTTTATCGATATGGTTCAAACAGCCAGCCTGTGGTTAATACTCTGTTTAATCAAAGCATTGCAGTTCCCAGCAGCTTCTCCGATGGGCATTAGCCCTGGGCTCAGTCACCCAGGAAAACACAATGGTTTCACTTCAGAGAGTATTTGAAGCCAACTGCACCCTGTGCTGCTAAATGTTGCCATTTTCCACTGAAAAGAATTCCACACTAATCATGTGTGAAGGTCATTTTGATTCTGGTTTGTAATACGTAGATACTGTTCCTATCTGCTTTTGTGGTCAATTGGTAAGAATGGTAATTCTCCAAGGCCTAAGTCAGCTCAGCTCACAGTAGCTGCATTAGAAAAACTGTTTCCCCTTCAACCAACCCAGCGTCTGAAAGATTCACATCAGGTCAGAGAGCAAAAATAATATAGACAAAAATCTGTTCAATAGGAAATACGTTGACTTGGAAAATCCCCAAATTAAATAACTGAAAAGTTATGTTTAAGTTTATAAATCTTTTAGTATTTTCATTATGAAAGAACATGTTCCAGTAATGATTAATCATTTAGTTCAGTACTCTGAGAATTAAAGAATGCAGCCAATTTATAATAAGGAAATATTTCATTGTCTAAATAAAAATTTGAAAATTGAATGTTTATTGAACATCATAGTGCAAAGTGTTGTGGGGAATGCAAAAATGTAAAAGGTAATTCTTACCCTCAAGAACACATGTGCAGACATCCTCATTAAAGAAGACAAGCATGAATTGTTCAAAACAGTACAAGGCCCCATATACCTAGATAGCAGACTGTCAGTCAGCAATGTTTAGGGTGTTGGATAAAAGAAGGCTCTTTGTGAGCGAGCATGAAGAGAGACTTCCTGGAAGCAATGTGACTTGAGCAGCTCACAGATCGCTGGTTCTTGCCCTGGCTGTGTATTGGAATTGCATCTGGAACATCAAAATACACTGATGCCGAGCCCTGCCACAAGGGATTCTGATTTAGTTTATCTGGGTGCTCCCAGGTGAATCTAATAAATCATTGCCTTAGTGTTGGTCACATTTCTGGCTGATGGTTCAAGAATAGAGCCTGAGCCAGAATGTAAATCAACCACATCGCTTCGCCCAGTGTTTAGTTCTGCTGGCGATGGTCTCGTGACATGTTGTGAGCCATGAAAGAAGCAGTTGGATGACTTCCCTTCTGGTGCAGGGTTCTCTTCTTGGAGCCACATGTTGGGGCTGGCATGACTTTCCGTTTAGTCCACCTTTCCCCCTTTTCAATGCACTTTATGTTTGTAAGTAAAAAATCCATCTTGGCTGGGCGCGGTGGCTCACGCATGAAATCTCAGCACTTTGGGAGGCCGAGGCAGGCGGATCATGAGGTCAGGAAATCGAGACCATCCTGGCTAACACGGTGAAAACCACGTCACTACTAAAAATACAAAAAACTAGCTGGGCGCGGTGGCGGGCGCCTATAGTCCCAGCTACTCAGGAGGCTGAGGCAGGAGAATGGCATGAACCCAGAAGGCGGAGCTTGTAGTGAGCCGAGATTGTGCCACTGCATTCCAGCCTGGGCGACAGAGCAAGACTCCATCTCAAAAAAAAAAAAAAAAAAAAAAAATCTTCCAATCTTCAGGTTGAATAATGCTGTAATCCCAGTAACTTGGGTGGCTGAGGTGGGAGGGTCGCTTGAGCCCAAGAGTTCAAGACCAGCTTGAGCAACATAGCAAGACCCCATCTCTAAAAATAAATGTAAAAAAATAAATTCCATCTTCAGTTTTGTTCTTTCTGTATTCTGCAGCCTTGTCTGCCTGTGCATGCCCTTTAGCATAGGACATGGTGCAGAATATGTGCACCATAAAATTTTTTTTGACTCTTTATTGTGGAAATTTTCAAACATGTACAAAGTAAACAGAATAGCGTAATAAACCCCTATGCGGCAAATACCCAGCTTCGACATTCAGCATTCTGCCATTCCAGGGTCTTCTGTAGCTCACCCCACTCCCCTGCCCTTACTCAACCATTAATATTTTTACAGTTTTATTGAAGGTAAAATTGACATATATCAAAATGCCATAATGACAAAGTAACAAAAATTAAGTGTATATATATATATATATATATATATATATATATATATATATATACTGGGCTCACTGCAAGCTCAGCCTCCCGGGTTCACGCCATTTTCCTGCCTCAGCCTCCCGAGTAGCTGGGACTACAGGCACGCGCCACCTCACCCAGCTAATTTTTTTTGTATTTTTAGTAGAGACGGGGTTTCACCATGTTAGCCAGGATGGTCTCCATCTCCTGACCTCGTGATTCACCCACCTTGGCCTCCCAAAGTGCTGGGATTACAGGCATGAGCCACCGTGCCCAGCCGATTTTTTATTAATTTATTTATTTTTGAGATGGAGTCTCCCTGCGACACCCAGGCTAGAGTGCAGTGGCACCATCTCAGCTCACTGCAAACTCCACTTCCCAGGTTCAAGCGACTCTCCTGCCTCAGCCTCCCAAGTGGCTAGGATTACAGTCATGCACCACCAAGCCCGGCTAATTTTTGTATTTTTAGTAGAGATGGAGTTTCACCATATTGGCCAGGCTGGTCTCAAACTCCTGACCTCAAGTAATCCACCCACCTTGGCCTCCCAAAGTGCTGGGATTATAGGTGTGAGCCACCGCACCCGGCCTTATTTTAACAAACACACACCTCTGTAACTCACACCCCTATCACGATATAGAGCATTTCCATCACTCCAGAAAGCTCCCTCATGTCCCTTTCCAGGTAACTAACCAGGGCAACAAGTATGACCTTTATTTTATCCACTTTAGATGAATTTTGCCTATTCTAAAAAGTCATCTAAGTGGAGCATACAGTCTTTACTCTTCTGTGTCCAGATTCTTTTGTTCCACATAATTTCTACAAGGCTCATCCATTTATTAATAATAAATATTTTTGGCTGGGCACAGTGGCCTGTAATCCTAGCAGGCCACTTGGGAGGCTGAGGTGGGTGGATCACTTGAGGCCAGGAGTTTGAGACCAGCCTGGCCAACATGGTGAAACCCCATCTCTACTAAAAATAAAAAATTAGCCAGGCATGGTGGCAAACGGCTATAATTCCAGCTACTTGGGAGGCTGAGGCACAAGAATTGCTTGAACCTGGGAGGTAGAGGTTGCAGTGAGCTGACACCACACCACTGCACTCCACCCTGGGTGATGGAGTCAGACCCTGTCTCAAAAAAAAAAAAAAGAAGAATGAGAATGAGAAGGAAAGGAGAGGAAGAGGAAGAAGAGAAAGAAGAAGGAGAAGGAGAAGGAGGAGGAGAAGGAGGAGAAGAAGAAAGAGAAGAAGAAGGAGAAGAATTTTTTGACTTCCAGACTAGAAAGTGACAGTGAGAGCAGAGGGCTCACAGTAGAGAACACATTGGGCGAGCAGGTTGGCCTCAGTCTGTGGAAGTCCTTGGAAGTCAGGAAAAGCGACCTTTACTCTATTTTCCTGGTGCCAAGTTAACAGCCTTTTTCATAATTGCTGAGCAGGGCCTGGGAACTGATTCTCTGCCACCATGTCCTACTCCCCACTGCTTTCATGAGTCACCACTGTGCCACTGAGTAGCGGTGCCTATTGCCAACTCTACTTGGAGCTGGTGCATGCACATCCCCTTCTGAAGAGCTGGCATAACTCCAAGTCCCATCCCACACCCCCTGGAAGGATGGGAAGACCAAGCTCAGAACTTGGCACATGCCTCTGAAAGATCGTTCATGCCTCCTTGAGGTGGTGGAGCTGGAAAGGCAAAGGTCAGGAAGATCAGTCAGGAAGCCATGGGCCAGGGCTGGGTGCCAGGAGCAGTCAGGGCCCTGATTTGGTAACTTTGGACCTGGCCCTGTATTGCTAGGGAATGGAATCAAATTATCTTACAGGGCTGCCAAGGCTGTTTTGATTTGTGCGGGTGCAATGCAAGGTCAGGAATGCCACAATCCAACTATCAAATGCAAGAGCGATAAAAAATTTGCTGACCAGATCAGCTTAGACATGCAGCATTTAGGTTCTGGAATAGAAATCCAGGTCAGGGACACAGAAGACTACAGTCTGGACCCAAGCCAAGTTTGGGAGCACAGGAAGTCCAAGGTGAAAGAGTGAGTGGAGTGTTATTTCCCAGCAAAAAGCTAGAGCAGGATTAGACTGGAGAAGCAGTTGTCCAGCAGGAGAAAGGGTGCCTGGAGGCATGTACCAAACAATAGCTTCCTCCCTAAGTGGACCATTACCTTCTCTCAAATTCCAGAAAAGCATAAATTTTGAGGACTTGGAAGGGTGGGAAAACTTCTAGGTGCCTTATGGTAACTGATAGGATCAAAGAGTTGGAAACTGGGTGTATTAATTATCTGTTGCGGCATAACAAATCACACCAAAACTTAGTGGCTTGAAAAGCACGTTTATTATTTCATAGTTTCTGTGGGTCAGGTATCCAGCCACAGTTGAGTTGGATTATCCAACTCAAGACTTCTCACGAGGCCACTGTTCGTAAAGAATCAAGAACCTCATCCTAACATCTTGCAAAGAACTGAATCCTGCCAACAACCATGTGAGTGAGGTTGGAAGTAAATCCTTTTCTTGTTGAACCTTCAGATGAAACCACAGCCCTGTCTGACAGCCCTGTAGCAGACTCATTTGTTTTGCAGACATGTGCAATGAAGCTAAGAATACATGTCCTGAACATGGTCAAAACAGGATGCTTCCTAATCCATGTCCGTGGCTTGCCTTCTTTCTAGAGCTCTCCCATGGCTCAAATGGCTGTGGATTCTGGTTCTGATGCCATGCCATTAGCTCATACACCATGATTACAACTGAATTCATCATCTGGGTCCTAAATTATTTCCATCCTCCTGTCCTATTTTGGTCAAGAGTATTTCCACTTCTCCAGTCCCCTAGTATGGTAGGCAGCTTCCAGCATGGCTCCCAGCGACCCCTGTCTCCTTGTCTTCATGCCCATGTGTAGTTCCTTCTCCTTGTGTATATGGGCTGGACTCGTGACTTGGTTTTAATGAATAAACACAGCAAGGGTGATGGATGCCACTTTGGAAATCAGATTATAAAAGACAGTGACTTCCATCTTGTTCAGATTCTTTTCACGTGCTTGCTCTGACAAAGCAAACTGGAGAGATTCACGTGGCAAGAAACTGAGTCCTGGAACCAATACCCCCCAGATGCCAAGGGATGACTGTTTTGTTATTGTCATTATTGTTGCTTTAAACAATTGTTCATCGGAAGAGATCAAAGCTTCGGAGACCATTTTGGCTCTTTCCACTCCTGTTTCCAGTAGAGCTAATCCCTATATCGTCTTCTTTGTGACTGTGAGATTCTCATCTTCATCTCACTCTCCACACCCCTCCTGGGTTCAGGCCTTGCTGTCCTCAGGCCAGGGGCACATCCAGCCCTCATGCTTGTCTCCATGTGCCCCTTTGTTTACCAGATCTCCCTTCTAAAACACTTCTTGTCACCTCTGTATAAGGCACAGTTCAGGGTCACTCTTTGTGTAAGGCACAGAGCTCTCAACCCACCCTTGGGGGCTCCTACCGCCACCCCTTTGTCTTTCCTGACCAAGCCTCACCCAGCCAACCCCATGGTCCCTCTTCCATGCCCACTGCTCTGCTGATCTCTGCCTCTGTGTCCTTCTCCTCTCGTGTGCGTGGAAGCGGTGCCCAATTCCCCTGTCTCTGAGACCTCCCATCCACCAGGATCGTTGACTATTGACTTTCCGCAGCACTTTTGTACTTGATATTTCCACCCTCTCTTTCTGTCTTAAATATTGACTTGAAATCATTATCTAGTCATTTTTAAATCATAGATATCACTCACTGAAGATACAATTAATCTTCACAACTGCTGTGCAAAGTAGATGTGATGATCTCCATTTTATGACTGGGGAAACTGAAGTTCAAGGCCACACAGCTAATAAAAATCACTGCCAAAATCCAAGCCCAGGCCCATATACTCTTTCCCACCCAGGGCTCCACTGACTTCCCCTCCATTTGCCTGGGAAACACCTTGTTCCCCAAGTCTTCTGAATCCCTACAATAATTGGGGATTTTACTCTAGGGTAGAAAACAAAGTGATATGTGCAAATTTCTGACAGACACATACATTTCAACCACAATTTATTAAATATTGACCAAGTTAAATGGATAGCAAGGTTAATTTATATTTTGTAAAACAAAGTAATGAAAATGTTATATTTTTGGTAACACTGCATGTCCGTATCAAATATAAGTGTTGAAAATTTTCCATTTCTGGTCAGTTAAGTCTGACTCTGTTCCATTAAATATCTACATTAAATGAAGTACCATACTGTCTTAAGATTTATGCATTTATATGAATAGACTCCAGGGTGTAGCACTTTAATCTATAAAAAGTACTAACTAAAAGTAACCGTTGCCATGGCAACACACTGCATGCATTAGTAGCCTTCAAAGGCAAAGCACTTTTGGAAATGAGCATTTACTGATGCCCCAGACAAACCGAAACTCAATGGAATGGATTTTAAATCACCGTTAACACTTGGAACTTCATTCCTAGGTTTAAAGTAGATCACGGAGCTTCACAGCACATATATTATTTTTCACTTAAAAGAGAGTATTTCATTAGTGAGTGACTGCTGATTTTCTATACACATTTTGAGAAACTCAAAAAGATAGATTTTAAAGTGAATCTAGATGAGCAAGGTCCTAGAAGAGCTATGAACATTTGGCAACACAAGAGTGAGGGAGAATAGAGCACTCTCCCTGCGTGAAGTCGTTGCACAAAGTCAGAGTGATAAGACAATTTGGTCCTGGCAGAGGAAACATAAAGAGATGGATGCAGCCTGCAAGAGCCCAAAATTGCCCTCATGGACCTTGGATGGGCACAGGAAAGCAGTGGCACACAAGACCTGTGGGGAGACGATGGATGTGTAGATGAATCTGTTAACAGCAATGATGGGGAAAACCCCTCACTAGATGGAGAGCATAGGGTTGGATCCCTGCCTCACGCTGTGTAGCAAAGGCAAAGTCCTATTGGATTCACTACCCACATATGAAAAGGAAATCCACAACCCAGATACCAAAAGGTGAGGGGAAATATCTCTGAGACCTCAGGGAGGAGATTTCTTAAACAAGACTCCAAATGCACATATTACAGGGCAAAATATGATGAACACAACCATATAAAAACTAAACATTTAAGGTGTATTAGTCCATTGTCACACTGCTATAAAGAACTAACTGAGGCTAGGTAATTTATGAAGAAAAGAGATTTAATTGACTCATAGTCCTACAGGCTGTACAGGAAGCATGGTTCAGAGGCCTCAGGAAATTTACAATCATGGTGGAAAACGAAGGGGAAGCAGGCACGTGTTACCATGGTGGAGCAGGAGAGACAGCAAAGGGGGAAGTGCCACACACTTTTAAACCATCAGATCTCGTGAGAACTCGTGAGCTGAGGTAGGAAGACTGGCAACACAGTGAAACACCATCTCTACAAAATTTTTAAATTGACCAGGCATTGTGGTGCATGCCTATACTTCTAGCTACTTGGGAGGCTGAAGCAAGAGGATTGCTTGAGCCCAGGAATTCAAGGTTACAGTAAGCTATGGTTGTACCACTGCACTACAGCCTGGGCAACAGAGCAAGACCCTGTCTCAAAAAAGCCTAAACATTTCTGTTCAGTGAAGACATCTTAATCAAAGTTAGCAGAGAACAATTTTCTCGAAGAAGATATTTGAAATGAATAAAATTGACAAGGGATTAATATACAGACCAACACTATCCAAGAGAATTGGCTGTGATGATGGAAATGGTGTAGGTCTATGCTGGCCACTGGATAGTTGTGGTTACTGAGCACTTGAAATGGGAGGAGGGTGACTGAGGAGCTAAATTTTTAATTCTATTTAACTTTAATAATAATTATTATTATTGTTTTAGATAGGGTCTCTGTCACACAGGCTGGAGTGCAGTGGTGTGATTACAGCTCACTGCAGCCTTTACCTCCTGGGCTCAGGTGATTCTCCCACCTCAGCCTCCTAAGTAGCTGGAATTACAGGTGTGCCACCACACCTGGCTAATTTTTGTATTTTTAGTAGAGATGGGGTCTTGCCATGTCTCCCACGCTGGTCGTGAACTCCTGAGCTCAAGTGATCCACCTACCTTGGCCTCCCAAAGTGCTGGGATTACAGGTGTGAGCCACCACTCCCAGCCTAATTAATTTCAATAGCCACATAGGACTGGTGGCTAACGTATTAGCACAGATCTAGAATATACAAGTAACTCCTACAAATCAATAAGAAAAGAGAAAACTCAAAATATGAATAGGCAAAAAGAAACAAATGACTTCATCTTAATTTCTTACCTTAATTCTCCTCTTCTTCCTCCACTTCTTTGCTTATTTTATTTTTATTTTGTCGTATGTATTTCTTTCTTTATTTTTATCTATTTATTTATTTATTTTTTTTGAGACAGAGTCTTGCTCTGTCACTAGGCTGGAGTGCTGTGGCGTGATCTCGGCTCACTGCAACTTCCACCTCCCAGGTTCAAGCAATTCTCCTGCCTCAGCCTTCCCAGTAGCTGGGATTACAGGCACGCGCCACCACACCCAGCTAGTTTTTGTATTTTTAGTAGAGATGGGGTTTCACCATGTTAGCCAGGATGGTGTTGATCTCCTAACCTTGTGATCCACCCACCTGGCTCTCCCAAAGTGCTGGGATTACAGGCATGAGCCACCGCGCCCGGCCCCTGTTGTATGCATTTCTATAATCCACCCCAAATCCCTCTTTGGCAGTGAGATGGAGCATAAATATATATAACAACAACCCCCACTCATGGATGGGCTGATCTGACTGAGGCTGGTCTCACTGGATCTTTGAGCTTTTATGAGTCGGGCCGGCACTGGCTGTGGGGAGGAAAGGGGGTCCACATCCTCACATCATGTGCAGAGGCCCTGTCATCATGACAAACTCTTTATGCAAGTCTGTGGATCAACAGAAATCCCAAAGACTCCTAAGACAGTGAACAAAGGACTCCACTGTTTTTTCAGCCCCACACAGGCTGACACTTAGAGGACATGCTGCATTCTTCTGTGATTTTTACACAACTGAGAAGAAATTTTAACTTTGTTTAAAGCTAATACATCTTTTACCGGGCGTGGTGGCTCACACCTGTAAACCTAGCACTTTGGGAGGCCGAGGCGAGAGGATCACTGAAGCTCAGGAGTTCAAGGCCAGCCTGGGCAACATATTGAGACATTGTCTCTATTTAAAAAATAATAATAAAGCTAATACATCTTTAGTCAAAGAGAAAATGGAAGAAATGACAATTTATTACTTAACTGAACAAGAACAAAATTTCATTTTATTCTTGTCATTGCACCCTCAGAGAAACATAATTGAGGTGGAAGGATCCAGAAGAAAGGAACCAGTGATGATGAGGACAGAGGGCTCTCCACGGGAAGGTGGGAGAGAATTTAGTTCTCTGTGCCGTGAAGATGGGATTGGAGCCATACATGTGAGTGCGTCACACATGTGACTGAGATGTGCAAGTCCCTGAATGATACAAGTGAATGAAGGGGAAATGCAGATAAAACAAATACTGTTTTGTTCAGACAAATGCTTTCAGGAAGAAACTTTGTTTCCTCTATTGGACAACAATAGGTAGTTTCTACTCCAAAGGTATTAAATTTAAGGACATGAAATTGTCAGTTTTGCAGGACAAAAACAGCCAACAAAAATGGCGATTTCACCTGGTTCAACACGGTCCTTAACTAGAAAAGGCATCATAGCCTGCCTGAGACATGAGAAAAGAGGTCACAGTCTCTCATTACAGTGAGGTCTCAGGACCCCGGCCTGGAAAGAAAGGGAATTGGTTAGCACCCAGATCCAGAGTCCACGTTTCAGGGAACCAACAGGCAAGCCTCAAGTCCAAAAGGGTGTAAACAGAGTGGCCAGAACCCAACCTTCAGCACAGCGTCTGCAGTGGAAGGCAGCCACACAGTGAGGAGTACTGAGCAAAGAGCCTTCAGGTGTCTATACCATAAAAGAAAAAAAAATGAGCTAGGAAACCCCCAAACCATCCAGACAATAGACAATAGAGTCCATTGATCTTTAAAACTCCAAGTCCAGTTTTGAGGTTTACATGTACTTTTGTTGAATTGCTTCATCTTTAGACTAAGTGAAGGCAGTTAGGAGAACATGCCCCAGTGTTTTTAGGTAACTCCACAGAAGACAATGCATCTTCCTCAGAGATGTTCCCACACTGACCGTGCAGTAGCTCCATCCAGATGGGTCATAGTGCTCAGAGGTGAGGTGTGGGTGCTCAGAGCTCAGGTTGTGGGTGATCAGAGGTGAGGCAGAAGCCTTGCAGAGGAAGGCAGCTTTGAAAGAAGTGTAGGGGAAAGTGCAGGAGGATCCAATTCTAAACTCCCGTTTGATTGGCTGTGAAATTTCTTCTGTTTTATATTTTGTAATGCAAAATAATGGTGTCTGTTTTTCTTTCAATAAAAATGCATCATAGGCCAGGTACGGTGGCTCAGCCTGTAATCCCAACACTTTAGGAGGCCAAGGCAGGGAGATTGCTTGAGCCCAGGAGTTCAAGACCAGCCTGGGCAACATAGCAAGACCCCCATCTCTATAAAAAATTTTTAAAAAAATTAACTGGACATGGTGGCAAGTGCCTGTAGTCCCAGCTACTTGGGAGGCTGAGGTGGGAGGACGACTTAAGCCCAGAAGTTCAAAGCTGAAGTGGGCCGTGTTTGAGCCGTTGCACTCTAGCCAGGTGACAGAGTGGGACCCTGTCTCAAAAAAAAAAAAAAAAAAAATCATAAAGGCATCCAAACCAGAAAGGAAGAAGTAAAATTATGTCTGTTCACAGACATGATCTTATATGTAGAAACCCCTAAAGATTCCACAAACTATTAGAACTAATAAACAAATTCAGCAAAGATGCAGAATATACAGAATATAAAATCAACATATAAAAATCAGTTGCATTATCATACACTAAAATGAACAGTCAGAAGAGGAAACTAAGAAAACAATTCCATTTCTAATAGAATCAAAAAGAATAAAATACTCAGAATTAACCAAGAGGCAAAAGACTTGTACACTGAAAACTACAAAGTGTTTCTGAAAGAAATTAAAGAAGATACAAATAAATGGAAATACAGTACATGTTCTTATATTTAAAGACTGAATATAGTTAAGAAGTCCATACTAACCAGAGCAATCTACACATTTTGTGCAATCCTTGTCAAAATCTCATGGATGTTTCACAGAAATTAAAAAAAAAATTCATCCTAAAATTCGTATGGTATTTCAAAGGATCTTGAATAGCCAAAACAGTCTTGAAAAAGAATAACAAAGTTGGAGGTCTCATATTTCTTGATTTCCAAATTTATTACAAAGCCATAGTACCTTTATGGCATAAAGACACACATATGAATCAGTGGAATTGAATAGAGAGCCCAGAAATAAACCCTCCCTCCCATATATGGTTAAATGATTTTCAACAAGAGTGCCAAGATCATTCAAAGGGGGAGAACAGTCTTTTCCACAAATGATGCTAGGAAAACTGGATAGCCACATGCAAAAAATAATGAATTGGATGCTTTCCTTATACTATATACAAAAATTAACACAAAATCGATCAAAGACCCAAATGTAAGAGCCAAAACTATATAAGCCTGAGAAGAAAACATAGAGGAAAATCTTCTTGATACTGAGTTTGGCAATGATTTCTTGGCTATGACACCAAAAGCACAGGCAACAAAAGTAAAAATAGATAAATTATATCAAAATTAAAAACTTTTGTCTGTCAAAAGACAAAAGTCAACAGAATGAAACAGTCAACAGAATGAAAAGGCAACCTATGGAATGGGAGATAATATTTGCAAATCATACATCTGACAAAGGGTTAGTATCCGGAATATATAATGACCTCCTACAACTCAACAACAACAAAAAGATAACCCAGCTTAGAAATGGGCAATGGACTTGAACAGACAGCTATCCAAATAATGTATGTAAGTGTACAACAAGCATAGTCAAAGATGCTCAACATCACTGATCAATAAAGAAATGCAAATTAAAACCACCGTGAGATACCACCTCATACCCATTAGAATAACTGCTTGCAAAAAAAACCCAGAAAATAGCAAGTGTTGTAGAGAATGCAGAGAAATTCAATTTTTTGTGCCCTGTTGTTGGCAATGTAAAATGGTGCAGCAGTTTTGAACAACGCTATGGCAGCTTCTTAAAAAATTAAATACAGAATTACCATATGATACAGCAACTCCACTTCTGGGTATATAACCAAATAATTGAAAAGATTGCAAAGAGATATTTGTACAATCATGTTCATAGCAGCAATGTTCACAATCGCCAAAAGATGGCAACAACTCACCTGTCTATCGACAGAAGAATGGCTAAGCAAAATGTGGTCTATGCATACAACGGAATATTATTCAGCCTTAAAAAGGAGGACAATTCTGACACGTGCTACAACGTGGATGAACCTTAAGGACATTATGCTAAGTGAAATACGCCAATCCAAAAGGACAAATACCGAATGATCCCATTCATATGACCTCTCTAGAGTAGTCAGCTATAGAAACAGAAGGTGGAATTGTGTTTGCCAGAAGCTGGGGAGAAGGGAAAATGAGGGGTTGTTGTTTAATAGGTATAGTTTCAGTTTTATGAGATAAGTCCTAGAGACTGGTTACCCATTAATGTGGATATACTTAACACTAGAGAACTGTACACTTAAAATTGTTAAAATGGTAAAGTTTTGTCATGTGTATTTTACCGCAATTAAAACTTTTTAAAGCATATATCATGAAGAAATATCCTATTTAGTTCTCAAACATCTTCAAGTGATTTAATAATTGTTTATGGTAACACATGATTTAAATGTTTAACATGAGACTACATTTATATAAAACTTGTACAGTCATTTGACTGAATTTGCCAATCAAGTTAGGTGAACTACTCAATGATTTTCTTGTAGAAACTGCAAAAATCGCCCCCTTGATTTAGACATCCTCATGGTATAATTTACAGATTTGAGTTAGTTGGTGGGAATGTAAATTAATACAGCCACTATGGGGAAAAGTATGGAGGTTCCTCAAAAAAGACTAAAAACAGAACTACCATATGATCCAGCAATCCCACTGCCAGTATATACCCCAAAGAAAGGAAATCAGTATATTGAAGATATATCTGCATTCTCATTTATTGAAGTGTTATTCACAATAGCCAAGATTTGGAAGCAACCTAAGTGTCCATCAACAGACAAATGGATAAAGAAAATGTCGTACACATACACAGTGGAGTACTCTATTCAGCCATAAAAAAGAGTGAGATTCTGTCATTTGCAACACTGTGGATGAAACTGGAGGTCATTATGTTAAATGAAACAAGCCAGGCACAGAAAGACAAACTTGACCTGCTCTCACTCATTTGTGGGAGCTAAAAATTAAAACAATTAAATTCATGGAGATAGTAGAATGATGGTTACCAGAGGCTGGGAAGGAGGAGAGGGAAGATGGTTAATAGCTACAAAAATATGGTTAGATAGAATTAATAAGATCGCATATTTGATAGCACAACAGGGTGACTATAGTTAACAATCATTTATTGTACATATAAAAATATCTAAAGTAGTATTATTGGAATTTTTGTACCACAAAGCAATGATAAATGCTTGACATAATGGCTATGTCATGTTCCCTGATGTGATTATTATGGATTGCATGCCTGTATCAGAATATCTCATGTACCCCATATATATATACACCTACTATGTACCAACAAAAATAAAAAATAAAATACAGTAAAAATATTTGAGGCCAGGTGCAGTGGCTCACACCTGTCATCCCAGCACTTTGGGAGGCCAAGGCAGGTGGATCACTTGAGCTCAGGAGTTCACAACCAGCCTGGGCAATATGGTAAAACTTCATCTGTACAAGAAATACAAAAATTAGCCAGGGGTGGTGGTGCATGCCTGTGGTTCCAACTACTTAGGAGGCTGAGGTGGGAAGATGGCTTGAGCCCTGGAGGAAGAGGTTTTAATGAGCCATGATCACGCCATTGCACTCCAGCCTAAGGAATAGAGTGAGACCCTGTCTAAAATAAATAAAGATTTGTGTTAGAATAAAATTCAAACCAGCTTCAGCCACCAAACTGTGGTTTTCAGCAAGTCTCTTCACGTCCATAAATCTCAGTTTCCTCATCTGTAGTGTGGATTGCTTTGAAAATTGAGTGAAAATATGAGTGTCTGTTTTCTTCTTACATCAGATTCATCCACTTTCCCCTCCCTTTCTTATGCTTGCTCAGGATATTGGGTTCCATGATGTAATCCCAAAGTACAGAGGAAAAAGTGAGCCAGACTCTTCATCATAGGCCCATTCCTGAGCACAAAGCAATTCTGATAGAATCTTCCAGAGGAGAAGCAAAGAAGTGAGGCCAAGAGCAGGCAGGTGGGGCAGCAACCGCAGGGCCTTCCCTGGCCCTGCAGCCCACTGGGACCCCAGCCAGCCACTTCTGGTGGGCTCTGTTCAAGGTTCTCCACCTTCCTCCAGATCTGGGTTGTAATAGTAATTATGGTGACCTTCATTTTCAAAGCCTGAGCTACAAGGCCCTGGAGGTCATGGCAAGGTGAGAAAGGGAAAGTCTTGCCCCTCTTTCCAGGTCTTTCCTGAAACTCAAGGGGAGAATTATGCTTTAAAGTTACTTTAGAGCAGTAGTTTTAATGTGCTTAGTTTTCCTTTGCCTATGGGAAGCAAATTTCTTCTAAGAAATCTTGAAATATTTTTGCTCATCTTGGTATTTTTGAATACAATGATTTTCTTTGTTTTGCTTTTTTTTTTTTTTCTTTCTTTCTTTTTTAGATGGAGTTTCATTCTTGTTGCCCAGGCTGGACTGCAATGGCACGATCTTAGCTCACTACCACCTCCACCTCCCGGCTTCAAGCGATTCTCCTGTCTCAGCCTCTGGAGTAGCTGGGATTACAGGTGTGCGCCACCATGCCTGGCTAATTTTTGTATTTTTTTTTTTTTTTTCAGTAAAGACAGGGTTTCACCATGTTGGCCAGGCTGGTCTTGAACTCCTGACCTCAGGTGATCTGCTCACCTCAGTCTCCCAAAATATTGCGATTATAGGCATGAGCCACTGTGCCCAGCCTGGATACAATGATTTTCTTTAGCATACAATGCAGTGTAATGACATAGAGGTTGTTGATGCTCAGAGATTCAATAACCCACTCATAATGTAGTAACTTTCCCCAGCCGCCTGTTATTTGCCTGGAGATAAAAATAGGTAGAGATTTCAACGTCAGAGCAAAGAGCCACTTATTGTATCTATTTAGTGTGTTATAATTAAAACTGTTGTGAATTCTGCAGCTTCATTTTGCAGAGGTTGAGAAAACCTTTTTTCAGTTTGGTTCAAGTAAATTCACACTCCCGAATCCCGTTTTGTGTTTTAGGATCTATAAAAAATGAACCTAACATTAAAAACAAAATGCAACCACACCATTGTGATATGCCTGGCCCTGTGTAGAAACTGAAGGGGTGTGTGCGAAGCCCAGCAAATATCCAAATGACACATTCATAAGCTCAGCTGAAGCTTTGTAAGTAAATTCTAAACCAAGGATGTTGTTATTCACACATGCTTTTCTTCTCAACTTTCGATTGAGGTCAGCTCCCTGACCCCATCATCAACTCTACTCTCACCTTTGAGATTGAGTTCTTTTTTGATCAATTCAACTATTGTAAGAAAAAAGAGAAAAAAAACATTGCCAGTGAGAGAGGTCACTAAAGGGGATTCAGTCTATTTACCACCCAGAGTGTTTGGAGCTGGCTGGAGCCTTAGAGACGATGGGGACATTTGCCCTTGGGGTGCCCTAGAAGAGCAGCTCAATCTCCATCTTGAGGAATCTTCCATTGGGCAACAGGGAGGACCTCCTTTTCTCTCTTCCCCAGTGTAGTCCAGAGGTCAGCCCATTTGCTCCGAGGCACTGACTCTTGAGGACATGCTAAAAGGAACTGGGCACAGTCGGAGGTCATATGGCTGTAGCAGTCTCGGCCACCACAGTAGGTCCTGCGGGGGCTCTTCCTGCCTCTCTCCTGTGTCCTGACCTCCCAGAGCTTCCTGGTCCTGCTGCTCCTGAGGGTAGAGTCAACACTTGGCATGCATCTGTGGGTATGAATGCCTCCAGCCAGAGTATCTGGTGGTTTGGGAGAAAATAACCTTGATGTTTAAATAAAACCAATGCAATTGTCCCATAGACAGTTTTTTTTTCTTTTGATAAACATAGAAATTCACCCTTCTAGTCTTAAAGCTTGAAACTTATATTTGTTTTATCCGAGTTCCTTCCTCAGGAAAGGAGCTTCAGATCTCAAAAAAAGTACCAAAGAACTGAAATTCACCAGACCGTCACATCAGACAATAAGATGTGGGACCCCTCATTCACCATGATTGCTTCCTTGCCCCTCCCTAGTTCCCGTTTTCTTACACACGGTTACATTGCTTCCCTGCCATATAAACCCCTAGTTTTAGTTAGTCAGGGAGATGCATTTGAGACTGAGTTCCCATCTCCTCTGCTGCAGAACCCGACTAAAGCCTTCGTCCTTGGCAATACTCATCGTCTCAGTCATTGGCTTTCTGTTCTGTGAGCCGCAGGACCCAGACCAAACTCCCGGTGTTTCGGTAACAGAAACAAACTTGGGGTTGGATTCCAGTTCTGCCTCTTACAGGATATGTGTCCTTAAACAAGACTTTCCCCTCCATGTCTCCTTTTCCTCATCTGTGCAGTGGGCACAGAGGCCTTGCCTGGCGTATTTACTCTCAATGAAACCTGAATGTGGGAGCACCGTTTGTACTGTAAAATGCTACACATCGGAGAACTGATTTTACCGTTGTAAACCAAAAGCCTTCAAGCCACACCAGACTTGGATTTGAAATGGCTTCACTGACTTGTCACCTCACCCTAGACTGCTAATAGTGACATCACCCATCTTTCCTCTGCCTGAAAGGACAGCAGTCGTGCAGACTTCAGGATTGGCTTAATCCAGGCGCTCCAGTTTCTTCCGGGCCATCCCTCAAGTGTCTGCCCCATCTTTACTTCTCCCCATAGTGGTGTCCAGAGGAGGCAAAAGAGACTTCTTCCACAGCTCTCTCAGGAGAAAAAAAAAAATTCCCTGGAAAGCCCAGCAAAATTCTCAGCATGTCCATTGGCCTGAGTTGGGTTTCATGCCCCTTTCTGAACTGACCTCTGGCAAAGAGAATGGGTCACCCTTTGACCAGCTACTCCCAGATCTGGGGGTGGAATCCACTTCCCCTGAGTCACATGGATTCCATGAAGTGTGTTTGTGGGTAGGTAGGGGAAAGGGTATGGTGCTGAAGAACTGCACAAAATCGGAGTTCTCTTAGAAAGGAAGCAGTGGTGAAGAGATAACATATGCACATAGAAGAGTCTGGGTGAACACATGTATGTTCAGTGTATGACCTGTTTTTGTTAAAAAAGGGGGGGATGAGATAGGGAAATATACAAATATACAAGGGAAATATACAAATATGTTATAAATACAAATATACATATTTGTGTATGCAAAAAATATATTTGGAAGGATAAACAAAGAACCTGTTCATGTGGCTTTCTCATGGGCAGGACCCAGATATCTGGAGACAGGGATGAGAGAGAAACTTTTCACTCTACACTCATTTATATTGCTTCAATTTTGAACCATGGGAATATATTGCTAATTCAAAATAATTAATAAGTCAATTTTTTTTTTTGAGATGGAGTCTTGCTCTGTCACCCAGGCTGGAGTGCAGTGATGCAATCTCGGCTCACTGCAACCTCCGCCTCCTGGGTTCAAGCTATTCTCCTGCGTCAGCCTCCCGAGTAGCTGGGATTACCGCCCCGACTAGCTAATTTTTGTATTTGTAGTAGAGATGGGGTTTCACCATATTAGCCAGGCTGGTCTCGAACTCCTGACCTTGTGATCTGCCCACCTTGGCCTCCCAAAGTGCTGGGATTATAGGTGTGAGCCACCGCACCTGGCCAATAAGTCTATTTTTTTTAAGTGGAATTCAGAAGCATGAAAGTGTGATGGAACATAATCTGGACCCTCTTAAGGACTTTGTCGAGAATAAGGTGAAGCTATGCTTCCTTATTCATCCTAGGGCCCAGTGGATAACTGTTAACCGTAATATTTACACACACACACACACACACACACACACACACACACACACCCCAAACATTAATTTTCAAAGGCAATGCAGTCTGAATTCATGCTTAAGAAGGGAAATCATCTAACTGGTTCATAATCTGAACTACAGTCTCTGCTTCCAACGGGAGAATCATTTTTTTTTTTCATTCCAAACCTCTAAAACCCAGTGATCCTCAACCAAGGGTGATTTCACTCCCAAGGGACATTTGACAATATCTGAAAACACTTTTGGTTGTCAGAACTTGGGGCATTTAGTGGATCAAGATCAGGAATGCTGCTAAACATCCTACAATGGACAGCACAGCCCCCTCAACAAAGAATTATCCAGCCCAAAATGTCAATAGTGCCAGTGTTGAGAAATCCTGCTTTAAGACAAAAAGTACCAGAAAACAGCACAGGAATCAAGCTTTCAGTGGCCACCATTTAGTAAAATGCCTGTCTTTGAAATGGTCACTTGCCTTACTCTCCGCTAGCTAAAATTCTTATGCATGAAAAAGGAAGAAACGTGGAAAGTGATGCTATCCTGGAACATGAGATGCCCCAGGACTTAATGAAGTAAAGACATCAGCCTCCCAGTCAGAGAGAGGTTTGCTTCATTCACTTTCAGGGAACGTGGCAGCCATCCAACTATGAGGCCAAGCTCTTCCTTCTTAGCACTCTACTCGTGAGCAGTTGGATGTTTTCTTTAGATTAATGTTCCAAAGTGCCAAGCATTTCTCTAAAGTGTATAAATATATCAGATCCTCACACCAGCATTTTGAGGTAAAAACATACTTATCTCCACTTCCCAGGTAAGGCTCTTAGCTTGCCACAGTCACATACCTCAGAAGTTGCTGAGCTATTATCTGATCCCTGGCATCGGGCTCCATACTCCGAGGGCTCTACAGCCTCCATATACTCAAGCCATAATACACCTCCATGTACTTTGGTGAGAACAATAAATTACTAAGTGTAGATATTGCAAAATTGTCCTCCAACAGGATTACTCTGATATATTTTCCAATGAATGATCCATGGGAGTGACTGTTTTACACATCCTCATCAACATTGTGTATCACCAGTTTTTAAATCTTGTAGTCAGCCATTAGTTCTGTTTTTCATTTCCTCAGAATGAGGTTGTGCATGTTTTCATGTGTTTATTTGCTCTTAGTATTTCTTTTTTCCGTGAGATGCTTATCCTATTTTTTACTGCTGTTGATTGTTTCAGATTGATGACTTCTTTGTTTACTAGGAACACTTAACCATTGTTCATCATGTATCACAAATATTTTGCTCAAATTATTTTTTATTTTTTTATTGTACTTTTCTTTTTCTGAGTAAAGGATCTTAATTTTTACATCTTCAGATTTATCAGTCTTTTCCTACTTGGCTTCTTGAGTCTGATGTCATCTTCAGAAAGTTTTTTCCTATAAAAGATAATAGAGAGATTTGGCAAGATGGCTGAATAGGAATAGCTGAGGTACCCACTTCATCTCATTGAGACTGTTTAGGCAGTGGGTGCAGCCCACAGAGGGTGAGCAGAATCAGGGTGGGGCATCACCTCCCCCAGGAAGTGCAAGCAGCCGGGGACCTCCCTCCCCAGCCAAGGGAAGCTGTGAGGGACTGTGCTATCCAGCCCAGGTACTATGCTTTTCCCACGGTCTTTGCAATCCACAGAACAGGAGATTCCCTCATGTGCCTACACTACCAGGGCCCTGGGTTTCAAGCACAAAACTGGATGGTTGTTAGGGCAGACACAGAGCTAGCTGCAGGAGTTTTTTTGTTGTTGTTGTTTTCCATACCCCAGTGGTGCCTGGAACCCCAGAGAGACAGAACCGTTCACTCCTCCAGAAAGGGGCCTGAAGCTAGGAAGCCAAGAGGTCTTGCTCAGCAGCTCCCACCCCCACGGACCCCAGCAAGCTAAGAACCACTGGCTTGAAATTCTTGCTGCCAGCACAGCAGTCTGAAGTTGACCTGGGATGATTGAGCTTGGTAGAGGGTGGGGCATCCACCATTACTGAGGTTTGAGTAGGCAGTTTTCCCCTGACAGTGCTAAGGAGGCCAGGAAGTTTGGACTGGGCAGAACTCACCACAGTATGGCAAAGCAGCTGTGGCCAGACTGCTTCTCTAGATTCCTCCTCACTGGGCAGGGCATCTCTGAAAGAAAGGCAGCAGCCCCAGCCAGGGGGCTATAGATAAAGCTCCCATCTCCCTGGTACAGAGCACCTGGGGGAAGGGGCGGCTGTCAGGGGCACAGCTTCAGTGGACTTAAACGTTCCTGCCTGCTGGCTCTGATGAGAGCAGCAGATCCTGACAAGGAGGATTCTCCCAGCACAGTGCTCAAGCTCTACTAAAGAACAGACTGCCTCCTCAAGTGGGTCCCTGACCCCTGTGTATTCTGACTGGGAGACACCTCCCAGTAGAGGCTGACAGACACCACATACAGGAGAGCTCCGGCTGGCATCAGGCTGGTGCCCCTCTGGGACGAAGCTTCCAGAGGAAGGAGCAGGCAGCAATCTTTGCTGTTCTGCAGCCTCCACTGGTGATACCCAGGCAAACAGGGTCTGGAGTAGACCTCCAGCAAACTGCAGCAGACCTGCAGAAGAGGGGCCTGTTAGAAGAGAAAAACTAACAATCAGAAAGCAACAACATCAACATCAACAAAAAGAAGCTGCACACAGAAACCCCATCCAAAGGTCATCAGCCTCAAAGATTAAAGACTATCATTTTTTTATTGTGTCTACTTGATTTTTCTCTCTTTTCTTCTTTATTAGTCTAGCTAGTGGTCCATCTATTTTGTTAATCTTTTCAAAAAATCAGCTCCTGGAGTAATTGATTTTTTGAAGGGTTTTTCATGTCTCTATTTCTTTAGCTCTGCTCTGATCTTAGTTATTTCTTGTCTTTTGCTAGCTTTTGAATTTGTTTGCTCTTGCCTCTCTAGTTCTTTTAATTGTGATGTTAGGGTGTCAGTTTTAGATCTTTCCAGCTTTCTCTTGTGGGCATTTAGTGGTATAAATTTCTCTCTTAATACTGCTTTAGCTGTGTCCCAGAGATTCTGGTACTTTGTCTCTTTGTTCCCATTGGTTTCAAAGAACTTCTTTACTTCTCCCTTAACTTAATTATTTACCCAGTAGTCATTCAGGAGCAGGTTGTTCAATTTCCATGTAGTTGTGCCATTTTGAGTGAGTTTCTTAATTCTGAATTCTAATTTGATTGCATTGTGGTATGAGAGACTGTTTGTTATGATTTCCATTCTTTTGCATTTGCTGAGGAGTGTTTTACTTCCAATTATGTAGTCGATTTTAGAAAACATGTTATGTGCAGCTGAGAAAATTTATACTCTGTTGATTTGGGGTGGAGAGTTCTGTAGATGTTGATTAGGTCTGCTTGGTCCAGATCTGAGTTCAAGTCCTGAATATCCTTGTTAATTTTCTGTCTCATTGATCTGTCTAATATTGACAGTGGGGTGTTAAAGTCTCCCACTATTACTATTTGGGGGTCTAAGTCTCTTTATAGGTCTTTAGGAACTTGTTTTATGAATCTGGGTGCTCCTATATTGAGCACACATATATTTAGGATAGTAAGCTCTTCTTGTTGCATTGATCCTTTTACCATTATGTAATGCCCTTCTTTGTCTTTTTTTATCTTGGTTGGTTTAAAGTCTGTTTTATCAGAGACTAGGATTGCAACCCCTGCTTTTTTTTTCCTTTCCATTTGCTTGGTAAATATTCCCCCATCCCTTTATTTTGAACCTATGCGTGTCTTTGCATGTGAAATGGGTCTCCTGAATACAGCACACCGATGGGTCTTGACTCTTTATCCAGCTTGCCAGTCTGTGTCTTTTAATTGGGACATTTAGCCCATTTACATTTAAGGTTAATATTGTTATGTGTGCATTTGATCCTGTCATTATGATGCTAGCTGGTTATTTCACACATTAGTTGATGCAGTTTCTTCATAGTGTCATTGGTTTTATATTTGGTGTGTTTTTGCAGTGGCTGGTACTAGTTTTTCCTTTCTATATTTAGTGCTTCCTTCAGGAGCTCTTGTAAGGCAGGCCTGGTGGTGACAAAATCCCTCAGCATTTGCTTGTCTGTAAAGGATTTTATTTCTCCTTCACTTATGAAGCTTAGTTTGGCTGACTATTAAATTAAATGCTGGGTTGAAAATTCTTTTCTTTAAGAGTGTTGAATATTGGCCCCCACTCTTTTCTGGCTTGTAGGGTTTCTGCAGAAAGATCCACTGTTAGTCTGATGGGCTTAACTTTGTAGGTAACTTGACCTTTCTTTCTGGCTGCCCTTAACATTTTTTCCTTAGTTTGAACCTTGGAGAACCTGATGATTATGTGTCTTGGGGTTGCACTTCTTGAGGAGTATCCTCAATACTTCTCTGTATTTCCTGAATTTAAATGTTGGCCTGTCTTGCTAGGTTGGGTAAGTTCTCCTGAAGTGTGTTTTCCAATGTGGTTCCATTCTCCCCATCACTTTCAGGGACCCCCAATCAATACTAGTCTATTCGGTCTTTTCACATTGTCCCATATTTCTTGGAGGCTTTGTTCATTCCTTTTCATTCTTCATTCTCTAATCTTGTCTTCATGACTATTTCACTAAGTTGATCTTTGATTTCTGAATCCTTTCTTCTGCTTGATCAATTTGGCTATTGATATTTGTGTATGCTTCATGAAGTTCTTGTGCTGTGTTTTTCGGCTCCATCAGGTCATTTATCCTCCTCTCTAAACTGGCTATTCTAGTTAGCAGTTCCTGTAGCCTTTTGTCAAGGTTCTCAGCTTCCTTGCATTGGGTTAGAACATGCTCCTTTAGCTCAGAGGTGTTTGTTATTACCCACCTTCTGAAGCCTACTTCTGTCAATTCATCAATGTCATTCTCCATCCAGTTTTGTGCCCTTGTTGGAGAGGAGTTGCAGTCATTTGGAGGAGAAGAGGCATTCTGGTTTTTGGAATTTTCAGCTTTTTTGTGCTGTTTTTCCCTCATCTTCATGGATTTATCTATAAATTTTATTGTGTCAAATAGACACAATAAAAAATGATAAAGAGGATATCACTACTGATCCCACAAAAATACAAACTATCATCAGAGAATACTATAAACACTTCTACACAAATAAACTAGAAAATCTAGAAGAAATGGATAAATTCCTGGACACATACACCCTCCCAAGACTAAACCAGGAAGAAGTCGAATCCCTGAATAAACCAATAACAAGTTCTGAAATTGAAGCAGTACTTAATAGCCTACCAACCAAAAAAAGCCCAGGAGATGGATTCACTGCCGAATTCTACCAGAGGTACAAAGAGGAGCTAGTACCATTCCTTCTGAAACTATTCCAAACAATCAAAAAAGAGGGAATCCTCCTAACTTATTTTATGAGGCCAGCATCATCCTGATACCAAACGCTGTCAGAAACACAACAAAAAAAACAAAATTTCAGGCCAATATCCCTGATGAACATCAATGAGAAAATCCTTAATAAAACACTGGCAAAAAAATCCAACAGCACATCAAAAATCTTATCCACCACAATCAAGTCAGCTTCATCCCTGGGATGCAAGGCTGGTTCAACATATGCAAATTCTTACAACTTATACAAAAATTAACTCAAGATGGATTAAAGACTTAAATGTAAAACCCCAAACCATAAAAACCCTAGAAGAAAACCTAGGCAATACCATTCAGGACATAGGCATGGGCAAAGACTTCATGACTAAAACACCAAAAGCAATTGCACAAAAGCCAAAATTGACAAATGGGATCTAATCAAACTAAAGAGTTTCTGCACAGTGAAAGAAACTATCATCAGAGTGAACAGGCAACCTACAGAATGGGAGAAAATTTTTGCAAACTACCCATCTGACAAAGGTCCAATACCCAGAATCTACAAGGAATTTAAACAAATGTATAAGAAAAAAACAAACAATCCCATCAAAAAGTAAGCAAAGGATATGTACAGACAGTTCTCTAAAGAAGAAGACATTTATGCAGCTAACAAACATATGAAAAAAACTCATCATCACTAGTCATTAGAGAAATGCAAATCTTTTGCTATCATCAAGTTTTGATGCAAATCTTTTTGATACCATCAAATTTGATGCCACAATGAGATACCATCTCATGCCAGTTAGAATGGTGATTATTAAAAATTCAGGAAACAACAGATGCTGGAGAGGATGTGGAGAAATAGGAAACCTTTTGCACTGTTGGTGAGAGTGTAAATTAGTTCAACCACTGTGGAAGACAGTGTGGCAATTCCATGAGGATCTAGAACGAGAAATACCATTTGACCCAGCAGTCACATTACTGGATATTTACCCAAAGGAATATAAATCATTCTACTATAAAGACACATGCACACGTATGTTTATTGCAGCACTATTTACAATTGCAAAGACATGGAACCAACCCAAATGCCCATCAATGATAGACTGGATAAAGAAAATCTGGCACATACACACCATGGACTATCATGCAGCCATGAAGAAGAATGAGTTCATGTCCTTTGCAGGTACATGCATGCAGCTGGAAACCATCATTCTCAGCAAACTAGCACAGGAACAGAAAACCAAACACTGCATGTTCTCACTCATAAATGGGAGTTGAACAATGAGAACACATGGACAGAGGGAAGGGAGCATCACACACCGGGACCTGTCGGGGGCGGCGGGGAAGAGGAGAGAGAGCATTAGGAGAAATACCTAATGCATGCGGGGCCTAAAACTTAGATGAGGGGTTGATAGGTGCAGCAAACTACCATGGCACATGCGTACCTATGTAACAAATCTGCACGTTCTCCACATGTATCTGAGAACTTAAATAAATTTTTAAAAAATTCCCAAAACTCACTAGAAAGGTTAACATTAGAATTCAGGAAATGCACAGAATTCCTGTGAGATAGTATACAAGTCAATCATCCCCAAATCACATAGTCAACAGATTCTCCAAGATCAATATGAAAGAAAAAATATTAAAAGCAGCTAGAGAAAAGGGGCAGGACACCTGCAAAGGGAACCCCATCAGGTTGACAGTGGGCCTTTCAGCAGAAACCCTTAAGCCAGAAGAGATTGGGGTCCTATATTTGGCATTCTTAAAGAAAAGAAGTTCCAACGAAGAATTTCATATCCAGCCAGACTAAGCTTCATGAGTGAAGGAGAAATAAGATCCTTTGTAGACAAGCAAATGCTAAGGGAATTCATTGCCACCAGACCTGCCTTACAAGAGGCCCTTAAGGGAGTGCGAAACATGGAAATGAAACACTGTTACTGGCCACCACAAAAACACACTTAAGTACATAGACCATTGATGCTATAAAACAACTATACAATCAACCAGCTAACAACACAACAGCAGGATCAAATCGCACATATCAATATTAACCTTGAATGTAAATAGGCTAAATCCTCCACTTAAAAGACACAGAGTGGCAAAATGGATAAAGAAACAAGACCTAACTTTATGCTGTCTTCAGAGGATCCACCTCACATGCAATGAGACCCATAGGCTTAAAGTAAAGGGATAGAGAAAAACCTACCAAGTAAATGGAAAGAAAAAAGAGCAGGGGTTCCTTTTCTAATTTTAGACAACACAGATTTTAAATCAATAACAATAAAATAAGACAAAGATAGGCATTACTTAATGATAAAGGGTTTAATTTCCACAAGACTTTACTATCCTAAATACACATGCATCCAACACTGGAGCACTGGATTCATAAAACAAGCTCTTAGAGACCTATTTTGTTAGATAACCTCACAAAAATAGTGGAAGACTTCAACACTCCACTGACAGTATTAGATCATCAAGGCAGAAAACTGACAAAGATTTTCAAGACCTGAACTCGACACTTGACCAAATGGGCCTAACAGACATCTACGGAACACTCCAGCCAACAACAGACTATACATTACATTCTTCTCATCTGCAGGTGGCACATACTGAAAAACCAACCACACGCTCGACCATAAAACAATGCTCAACAAATTCATAAAACACAAAATCATACCAACCACACTCTCAGACCACAGCACAATAAAAATAGAAATCAATACTTAGAAGATTGCTCAAAACTATACAATTACATGGAAATTAAACAATCTACTCCTGAATGACTTTGGGTAAACAATGAAATTAAGGCAGAAATCAAGAAATTCTTGGAAACGAATGAAGACAGAGATACAACATACTAGAATCTCTGGGAAACAGCTAATGCAGTGTGAAGAAGAAACTTTATAGTGCTAAGTGCCCACATCAAAAAGTTAGAAAGACCTCAAATGAACAACTTAACACACCTAGAGGAACTAGAAAAACAAGAGCAAACTAACCGTAAAGCTAGCAGAAGAAAAGAAAACAAAAATCAAAGCCAAACTGAAAGAAATTGAGACACAATAAAACACACAAAAGGTCAACGATACCAAAAGTTGGTTTTTTTGCAAGAATAAATAAGATCGATAGACCACTAGCCTAAACTAATAAAGGAAAGAAGAGAAAAGATCCAAATAAACACAGTCAGAAATGACAAAGGGGACATTACCACACAAACTAGAAAACCTAGAAAAATGGATAAATTTCTCGGAAACAACTTCCCAAGATTTAATCCAGAAGAAATTAAAACCAGAACAGATCAGTAACAAGTTCTGAAACTGAATCAGTAATAAAAAGCCTACCAACCAGAGAGGGTCCTGGGCCAGAAAGATTCTACCAGATGTATAAAGAAGAGCTGGTACCAATTCTACTAAAACTATTCCAAAAAATTGAGGAGGAGAGACACCTCCTTAGCTCATTCTATGAAGCTGGCATCATTCCGATACCAAAACCTGGTGGAGGCACAACAAAAAGGGGAAACTTCAGGCCAATATCCCTGATGAACATAGATGCAAAATCCCTCAATAAAATAATGGTAAACTGAATTCAGCAGCACATCAAAAAACAAATCCAGCACTATAAAGTAGGCTTTATCCCTGGGATGCAAGTTTGGTTCAACATACACAAATCAATAAATGTAATTCATTACATAAACAGAACTAAAGACAAAAACCACATGATCATCTCAATAGATGCAGAAAAGTCTTTTGACAAAATTAAACCTCCCTTCATGTTAAAAGCCCTCAACAAACTAGGCATTGAAGGAACATACCTCAAAATAGTAAGAGCTGTCTATGACAAACCCACAGCCAACATCATACTGAATGGGCCAAAGCTGCAAGCCTTCCCCTTGGGAACCAGAACGAGACAAGGATGCCCACTCCCACCACTCCTATTCAACATAGTACTGAAATTCCTAGCCAGAGCAATCAGGCAAGAGAAAGAAATAAAAAGCATCCATACAGCAAAAGAGGTAGTCAAACCATCTCTCCTTGCAAACAATATGATTTTATACTTAGCAAACCCCATAGTCTTCGCCCCAAAGCTCCCAGAACTGATAAACTACTTCACCAAAGTTTAAGGATATAAAATCAATGTATAAATATCAGTAGCATTTCTTTACACCAGTAACACCAAATCAAGAATGCAATGCCATTTACAATAGACACACAAAAAGTAAAATACCTCAGAATACAGCTAACCACAGAGGTGAAAGGTCTCTACAATAATAATTACTGAATTACTGAATAATTGCTGAAAGAAATCAGAGATGACACAAACAAATAGAAAAACATGCCATGCTCAAGGATAGGAAGAATAAATATTGTCAAAATTGTCATATTGCCCAAAGCAATTTGCAGACTCAATGCTATTCCTATCAAACTACCAATGACATTATTCACAGAATTATACAAAACTATTTAAAAACTCATATGGAACCAAAATGAGCCCGAATAGCCAAAGCAATCCTAAGCAAAAAGAACAAAGCTGGAGGCATCCTATTACCTGACTTCACACTTTACTACAAGGTTGTAGAAACCAAAACACCATGATACTGGTACAAAAATAGACTCGAAGAAAAAAAGAGCAGAACAAAGGACCCAGAGATAAAGCGGCACAGCTACAACCGTCTGATCTTTAACAAAATTAGCAAAAACAAGTAATAGGGAAAGGACTCCCTATTCAATAAATGATGCTGGGATAACTGGTTAGGCATAGGCAAAAGATTGAAACTGGACTCCTTCCTTTCACCATACACAAAAATCAACTCAAGATGAATTAAAAATTTGAATGAAAAACCTAAAAATATAAAATCCCTGGAAGAAAACCTGAGATATACCATTGTGGACATAGGCCCTGGCTAAGATTTCATGACAAAGATGCCAAAAGCAATTGAAACAAAACCAAAAATAGACAAATGGGGACCTAATTAAACTAAAGAGCATCCTGCAGCAAAAGAAACTATCAACAGAGTAAATAGTGGGAGAAAATATTTGCAAATTATGCATCTGGGAAAGGTCTAATATCCAGATTCTGTAGGGAACTTAAATTAGGCAGAAAACAAAAAACTCCGTTAAAAAATTGGCAAAGGACATGAATAGACATTTCTCAAAAGAAGATATCTATGTGGCCAACTAGTATATTAAAAAAAGAAGACAATCCTAATTATAATGGCACCAAAAAGATAAAATATTAGGAATAACCCTAACCAAAGAGGTGAAAGACTGCACACTGAAATCTATGAAGCAATGATTAAAGAAATTAAGACAGATACAAATAAATGGGAAGACATCTCTTGTTCATGGATTAGAAGACTTAATATTGGTAAGATGTCCATACTACTCAAAGCAATCTACAGATTCAGTGCAAGCCCTATCAAAATACGGTAAACATTTTTTTACAGAAAGAGGAAAAAAATCTCAAAAAATATAGAACCACAAGAAATCCCAAATAGCTGAAGCAATATTAAGCAAGAAGAACACAGCTGGAGGCATCGTACTTACTGATTTCAAAATATATTATAAAGCTACAGTAATCAGTGTTGTACTGGAATAAAAATCAGGCAGACAGACCAATGGAACAGAATAGAGAGCCTAGAAATAAATCCACACATCTATGGTCAACTGATCTTTGACAAGTGTGCCAAGAACCCACAATGCAGAAAAAGATAGTCTCCTCAATAAGTGGTACCAGGAAAAGTGAATAGCAACATGCAGAATAATGAAATTGGACCTTATCTCACACCATATATGAGAATCAACTCAAAATAGATTAAAGATTTAAACGTAAGACCTGAAACTGTAAAACTACTAGAATAAACCCAAGGAAAAGCTTTTGGACATTGTTCAGGGCAATAATCTTCTTGGATATGACATCAAAAGCACAAGCAACAAAAGCAAAAATAGAAAAGTTTGATTACATCAAACTAAACAGCTTTTTCACAGCAAAGGAGACAATCCGCGGGGTGAAAAGCAACCCCGCAGAATGGGAGAAAATATTTATGCATTCCTGTGTTCACTGCAGCATTATTTACAATAGCCAAGATGTAGAAACAACCCAAATGTTCATAGACAGCTGAATGGATAAAGAAAATGTGACATAGACATACAACACAACGTTACTCAACCTTTAAAAAGAAGGAAATCTTACCATTTGTCACAACGTGGAAGGACCCGGAAGACATGACGCTAAGTGAAATAATTCAGTCACAGAGAGAGAAATACTAATGATTCCTCTAATATGAGCATCTAAAATAGTCAAAGGTGTTGAATTAGACAACAGAACGAGGGTTACCTGGGGATGGCATGAAGGAGAAAAAAGGAGTTGTTATCCAGTGGGTATAAAGTTATAGTTAAACAAGATCGGTGAGTTCCAGAGATCTGCTGTACAATAGACTGTCCATAGCTAACAACAAGATATTGTGTCGTAAAAACAATTGTTAACAGGGTAGATCTCATGTTAAGTGTTCTTATGAAGAAAAAAAAGAGGGGACACGGGGAAAGTTGCAGATACGTGTATTACCTGGATTACAGCAATAGCAACATGAATATATACATATGTCCAGAATCATCAAATTGTATGCATAAATTTATATGCAGTTTTTTGGGGGAGATTTTTGTTTTGGATTTTTTTGTTTTTAGAGACAGTGTCTCTCTCTGTCACCTAGGCTGGACTGCAGTGGTTTGATCATAGCTTACTGCAGCCTCAAATGCCTGGTCTCAAGCAATCTTCCTGCCTCAATCTCCTCAGTAGCTGGGACTACAGGCGCGTGCCATCACACCCAGCTAATTTATCTTGAAATTTTTTTAATAAAGACAGGATCTCACTATGCTACCCACACTGGTCACAAACTCCAAGCCTCAAGCAATCCTCCTGCCTCGGCCTCCCAAATTGCTGGGATTACAGGCATGAGCCCTCATGCCAGGCCATATGCAGTTTTTTTAATGCCAATTATATCTCAACAAAGTTGGAAAAACAACAACAACAAATAACCTTCAAATCAGTAAGCGCCAAGCCCAGATGGGTTCGTTAGTGAATTCTATCAAACATTTAAGGAATAAATATACCAATTCATTACAATCTCTTCTAGAAAATAGAAACAGAGGGAATAGTTCCTAAATCATTCCATGTGGCCAGCATAACCCTAGTATAAAAACCAGACACAGGCATTACAAAAAATCAAAATCACACACCAATGTTTTTCACAGACATAAACACAAAAATTCTCAACAGTCTGGGTGTGGTGGCTCACACCTGTAATCCTAGCACTTTGGGAGGCCGAGGCAGGCAAGTCACTTGAGCCTAGAAGTTTGAGACCAGCCTGGACAACATGGCGACACCTCATCTCTGCAAAAAATACAAAAATTAGCCAGGCATGGTGGCCTGTGCCTATAGGCCCCAATGTCCTCTCTTTCTCTCTCTCTCTCTTTTTTTTTTCTCTTGAGACAGAGTCTCGCTCTGTCACCCAGACTGCAGTGCAGTGGTGCGATCTCAGTCACTGCAACCTCTGCCTCCTGGGTTCAAGCCATCCTCCTGCCTCAGCCTCCCCAGTAGCTGGGATTACAGGCATGCACCACCACACCCAGCTAATTTTCGTATTTTTAATAGAGATGGGGTTTCACCATATTGGCCAGGCTGGTCTCGAACTCCTGACCTTGTGATCTGCCCACCTCGGCCTCCCAAAGTGCTGGGATTACAGGTGTGAGCCACCACACCGGGCCATCTTTTTAACAAAAGGTGCTTAACAACTACACATCCAAATGCAAAAAAAAGTGCATCTAGACACGGACTTTATATCCTTCACAAAAATTACCCCAAAGTGAATCATAGGCCTAAATGTAAAATGCAAAACTTAGGAGCAGACCTAGGTGACCTTCGGAATGGTAATAACTCTTTGGTTAGAACACAAAGGCATGATCCATGAAGGAACAAATTAATAAACTGGACTTCACTAAAATTACAAACTTCTACTCTGTGAAAGACACTGTCAAGAGAATGAGAAACTGGGATAAAATATTTACAAAAGACATATTGAATAAAGGACTGTATCTAAAATATACAAAGAACTCTTAAAACTCAACAATAAGAAAATGAACAACCTAATTTTTAAATAGACAAAAGATCTAAACAGACGCCTCACCTAAGAAGATATACAGACAGCAAATAAGCAATGAAAAGATGCTCGACATAATATGTCATAAGACAACTGCAAATTAAAACAACAATGAGCTACCACTACACACCTATTAGAATGCCCAAAATCCAAAACACTAACAACATCAAATGATAGCAAGTATGTGGAACAATGGGAACTCTCTTTCGTTGCTGGTGGGAATGTAAAATGGTACAGCTATTTTGGAAGACAGTTTGACAGTTTCTTACAAACGCTAACATACTCTTACCATATGATCCAGCCATCATGCTACTTGGTATTTACCCAAATGAACTGAAAACATATGCCTACACCAAAACCTGCACACAAATGTTTATAGCAGCTTTATTCATAATTGCCAAAACTTGGAAACAACCAAGATGTCCTTCAACAAGTGAATGGATAAAAACTGTGGTATATTCATATAATGGAATATTATTCAGTGATAAAGATAAATGAGCTGTCAATAGCTATTACGAAAACATGAAGGAACCTTAAATGTATATTGCTAAGTAAAAGAAGCCAGTCTGAAAAGGCAACAATACTGTTTGACAGTCTGGAAAACGCAAAATCATAGACAGTGAAAAAGATCAGTGGTTGCCAGAAGCTCAGGGACTGGGGAACGGGAAGAATGAATAGTTGTACCAGAAGGCATTTGGGGCATGGTAAAACGACTGTGTACAGTACTGTAATGGTGGATACATGACACTATGCACTTGCCAAAACCCATAGTACTGCGCACCACAAAGATTGATTTCCTAATCTAAACTATGCACTTAAATTTTTTTTAAATTAAGTAATTCCTTTGTGTTTAAATTTTCTCTGATATTAGTACAGCCACTTTGGCTCTCCCAAAGTTAATGCTTGCATGAGATATCTTTACCATCCTTTTATCTCGAAACTCTTTGAATCAAAGTCACGTCTCTTTTAAAGAGCACATACTAGGTGGGTCTTGTTTTTTGATTTTTTTTTTTTTTTTTTTGAGACGGAGTCTTGCTCTGTCATCCAGGCCGAAGTGCAGTGGCTCCATCTGGGCTCACTGCAAGCTCCGCCTCCCGGGTTCACGCCATTCTCCTGCCTCAGCCTCCAGAGTAGCTGGGACCACAGGCGCCCGCCACCACACCCGGCTAATTTTTTTAGTAGAGACGGGGTTTCACCGTGTTAGCCAGGATGGTCTCGATCTCCTGACCTCGTGATCCACCCTCTTTGGCCTCGCAAAGTGCTGGAACTACAGGCGTGAGCCACCACACCCGGCCTTTTTTTTTTTTTGGAGACAGAGCCTTGCTCTGTCGCCCAGCCTGGAGTGCAGTGGTGCGATCCTAGCTCACTGCAACTTCCACCTCTAGGGTTCAAGTGATTCTCCTGCCTCAGCCTCCCAAGTAGCTGGAACTACAGGCGCCCGCCGCCATGCCGGGCTAATTTTTTGTATTTTATTAGAGATGGGGTTTCACCGTGTTGCCCAGGCTGGTCTCGAAGTCCTGAGCTCAGGCAATCCACCCGCCTCGGCCTTCCAAAGTGCTAGGATGACAGGCGTGAGCCACCACACCCTGCTAGGTGGGTCTTGTTTTAAAAAATCCAGCCTTGGCCAGACGCGGTGGCTCACGCCGGTAATCCCAGCACTTTGGGGGGCCGAGGCGGGTGGATCACGAGGTCAGGAGTTCAAGACCAGCCTGGCCAAGATGGTGAAACTCTGTCTCTACTAAAAATACAAAAGATTAGCCGGGCGTGGTGGTGGGGCGCCTATAATCCCAGCTACTCAGGAGGCTGAGGCAGAGAATTGCTTGAACTCGGGAGGCAGAGCTGGCAGTGAGCCGAGATCGCACCACTGCACTCCAGCCTGGGCGACAGAGCAAGATTCCATCTCAAAAAAAAAAAAAAAAATCCAGTCTTAACAATCTCTGTCGTTTGATTGGGGTGTCTAATCCATTCACATTTAATGTTATTATTTGTATGGTTGAAATTATATCTGCCATTTCAATATTTATTTGTCATGCTCATGACTTCATTTTGTTAGTCTCGTGACTATTCCTTTTCATTGCTTTCTTTTGTAATAAATAGATACTTTCTACTCTATTATTTTAATTCTTGTAATTTTTGATAGTTTTAATTCTAGTTCTTTTCTTAGGAGTTGCTTCATATCTGAAGCACTTAGGGAGGCAGAGCTGCTATCAAAGCAACCAGTTACCTTGTGGATGAAAACTGCTGTCTGCTCTCTCCCACCTGCTGGAGCCACTGGTTTCTGCTCCAATCTTCCTTTTCAGGGACTGATTTTGCCTAGAGGACCTCCTAAGTCCCAATTTGGCCTGTCGCTCAGGTTCCTGGTTTCAATCTGAGCCTGATGGGCTTAGACTTCTTGACCTGGGGCCCTTTATGCATCACCAGCTATGACCCCAAGCCTTCCTGATCTTTGAGAAGTCCTACTCATCTACCAGAAGCCAGTGACTAAGCTTCTTTTTAGATACAGAAGGCAGAAGCCTGAATCCAATAGATTGGAAAGGTTATTTCAAATGCTATTATTCTCTTATTGCTTTAAAATAGTACTGGAAACAAATGTCTCAGCCCCTACTGCTCCCATACATCATCTCATTAAATCTCTACAAAGTATTAGTTGTGTGCTTTAAATACCCTTGTGCCTGATTTAAGATAAATTATTACAGAAATTGAAACCCTGTTATGATGTGATTATTTAGTGTTAGATTTTTGTGCTATAAAACTACAGAATATCTTAAATATGTTTTCTGATAGATCTAGGGCAGCAAATCCCTTCTGGATATGTTTCTCTGAAATTACACTGAAAGAAATAAACAGCTGTCAGGAGTATGAAGGCTAAACCTTTAGACTGCTGACTCAGTGCTCTGGAAGTTACTATATGTCCTAGAATGAAAGTCACATGCCTTGACATTCAAGTACTCATTTTCTTTTTTGAGGGTCAACATAAATTAGCTGTGTGAGGTTGAAAGGAGGAAGACACACAACTGGCAAATACAAATGCATGTACAATCGCCAGCCTTCTAGTTGTCCAGGAATAGTCAAATATATAGTTAATATTCAAAATTTGGTTAATGCCTCATTTTATAATTGAGAAAACCTATTCTTTTAATGGTTCTCTTTATCTATTGCAGCTACTGAATTATATAATTATTTGTTGCTTTGTCTTGTTTTCTCCTCAAGACTCTATAGAACAGTGGTAATGGAAAGAATAGTCTACAAATATTTAACCAGTGCCTTTTGTCCTTATGCCACATTTCCTTCTAGCCTCTTTCATCTCAAAATCAAGTCAAGGGGTTTATTGCCTGGGGCCGAGAGCAGGTATGTTCTCTCTTGTCAAGAGGCTAGGCTTGAAATCCGTGCTTTGTGGATTTGGTGGATTCTTTCAGCTGCTATTTGAATGGTCTAGGTATGCCTTGCAGCTTAAACCATTTCTTACAGTGGAGATGAAGAGAGTCCTTCCATCCATCTGCTGGACCTGCTGGGCCTCAGGGCTTTCTCTGAAGTGGTAGGGGGAAGATGTCACAGAGGAAATGTAAAGAAAAGTCTACCTCGGCAGTCTACAGCGTGGTGGATAAAAAAAGAGCAGGAAGAGTCTGGCGAGGCGATCAGCCTGATGTAGGTGCTGAGTGTCCCTCACAAAGTCCCAGCATGAAAGGGGTGGCTGAGAGCCGCTGGGTGGGCCCCAAGTCCATGGTGCTAGAGCGAGGTCAGGCTGAGGCAGGGCTGGAGGTGGTTGCATGGATGGCACTACAGGCACTTAGAGGGGTCTAATCTGGGTCCATTGGGGGCTATGCCCCACAAGAGTGGTTCCTGTGCCCACGGGTCCCACCATGAACCCCCCAGCCCCAGGCCTGAGCTCATAAGTAAGCAGGGAGTCCAGAAGCCAAGCAGCCAAGGGCGTCCCTGACACCCAAAGCAATGCCACCACATACAAGGATAGCCAGACGGATCCAAGCTGAGGGCTGGACAGTGCCCACGGAGCCATTTAAAGTCTTGTGTATGTCTTTTTTTCCTCGTTTTTAATTTCATTTGACACTTATGTACAATAAAGTATTGTGTATGTCTAAAGCTTAAATCAGGTGGGCCATTTCCATTTTCCTGGGTTCTGTTGGTTTGTTTGCTTTGTTTTCCTGCTGGTAATAGGTAGTACCTGAGGAAGGCAAGAAAGGATATAAAGAAAATAAGAAACAACACTTTCTCTGCACATCCAAATTGTGGCAAGGATTTTTGCAGGTAAGTTCCAGGTGGACAGGAAGTACATTCATACACACACGTGCACACATCCATCTGCTGGCAGCCTCTGATTTGTGTAGTCGAGGTACAGAACTTAAGAGAAGTGAGAGTCGAAGTAGGGCAAGAGAACATTCACAAATGTCCAACCAGCTCCTGGTCTTTTTTGTTTTTTGTTTTTGTTTTTGACAGATGGTATGGCCCACAAGACCCTAAGATACTTATTATCTGGCACTTAACAGAAAATGTGCCAACCAATTTCAGAAATAATACATCATCATTATCAACTGTATATGCAGAAATGTTCATAATCATATCTTAATAGTTTTGAAGAAATGATCCTAAACATGATTTGCTCTTTCATTATACAGACCAGCACAAGATATACAAGATATTCAAAAAGACTCAATGTATATAACTATCCCGGCATGTACAAAAAAAAAAAAAGGATTTTTAACATATTCACAATCAAGCATGACCTCGAGGAAGGGGGCTGGGAGGTTAACAGTTGCAGCAACACAAGCATTCTCCAAACTAAAAGAAAAAAAAATTTACCTCAGTAAATAGTCTATATATACTACAGGCTCTGGCGAAATCCGCTCTAAAAATTCTTCACCTTCATCTCCTTTTGATTTCAAATATTCACAAAGGGCACACCAATACAAAGCAATTTCAGGAGTTAACGTTTCCACTAGAATCAATTTCCTTCACTTAAAAGAAAGAGTGTAAGAGAAAGCATGATCTTTATATCATTACAAATTGAAGAGAACATAAATAAGAATAAGAAGATTTGCTTTAAAACCACTATCCTTTTAATTAGAGTCATTAACACAGAAAGGAATGAAGGAACTTAGAACAAAAAAGAACCAAATAAGCAAACATATACTAGGGGTGCATGTTGCTGGATTTTCTCATGGTAGGCTAATTCAAAAATCAAAGTAAGAAACCGAGGGGTAGAAAACCACAGCTAAAGTAGATAGTCTAAGATAAAGTAATGAGTTCTTACACCAGGAGGGGAAAAAAGAAGGGAAAGAAGATATTCATCAGACTAAAAGAAAACAAAAGGGAGGTAAGATTAAAGATATTAATATAATCTTAAGCTATGGGGAGGAAAAAAAACAAATTAATTGTAGAAGTTAATCAGTATTACATTTCAAAGAATGAATCCTTTATGTACCTGCCATCATTGTTTTTACAGATTGCCACCAGTTCACTGAGAGGAGTCATTGAAAACATGGCATTGAGGACAGAGACTGCCACTTCAGAATTTTCTACATCCAACTGCTGAAGCCACTCGAAGATATTTCCCTCAGAGAACCATAACCAGCTTTGGAGAAGATGCTTCCACATAGCTTGTTTCACAGCATCTCATCTCTCATTAAAACCTTGTTGAGGGAGCATTACTGTCTGAGCAATGGACATAGCTCTCATACGAACCTTTTCAGCTAACACCGGATAAGCCAGCTTTCTGACAGCCTCTTTCACATCCTTGGTGCACCCTACAATTTTTGGCAAAGTCTTTGCTGATGGTGCAATACATGATAACACTGCCTGTCTAAGTTCTGGATTCAAATCAATCATTTTCGATCAAAGTAGCATATGCATTAACCACTGGGCATTCATCATCCTTTGGATCCTGAAGTCGTGAAAGCGCCAGAACTGCCTGTATTCTCACATTTGGAATCTTATCTTTCAGTCTAATAAGCATGGCTTCATTAATTTTGTCAAACACACCATCATCAATCTGAGCTTCTTCTGGCATACTTCTCAAAAGCTTGTTTATGCAGCTCCTGGTTCTTGAACTAACGTAGGCATCAGCACAGCTGATTCTCATTCAGGAGAAGACAGTGCTGTGCCCAGGGGCCCCTGAGCCATTGCCCAGCTTTCCAGCTTTCCAGGAAGTCTGCACTGGAGAAGCATTCAACCTCCTCTGAGCTAACATTTTCATGTGCACACGTGATTATGAGTGTGATACAGACATTATTTTACTTGTGTAACTAATTTTTAAATCAGACTAATAAAAAAAGTTATCAGTCTAAATTTTTGCCTGTCTTTTGGACTGTTGGAATGTAGTGAGACAGTGGGATCAGTGACAGAACATCTCCCATGGGGCACTGCATCATGGTGAGGGGGCACATGAAGTCATGGCACAGAGTAATTGCTCTCCTGGAGTGCCAGAGACATTTCCCATCTTCCTAGCAGCCCTGAGACCAAGCACAAACAAACCCTTTCCAGACGGAATCACTATGACCCTGCCAAACCCTTTTCAGAATTTCCTAACTCTTGAACTTCATGGAGTCTCAAGAAGCTAAAGAATATTTTCCTTATATTGTATTGAATGTATTTCTCACAATATGTATTATTTTTGTCTTTTACTCACAAGTTTCTCAGACAACAATGATGAAGCCCTCTTTTCTGCAACATTAGGTTAATGTGGGTTTTCGTTATCTTCAGGTTTCTTACTACGTCATCCTTCTCTAACATTGTCTTAACTCATTCCTTTCATCCCTATTTTATTTCTCATATCTGTGTCTTTGTTTTTAGAGATGTGGTCTTGCTCTGTTGACCAAGCTGGAGTGCAGTGGCGGGATCACAGCTCATTGCACTCCTCCAACTTCTGGGACCAAGCAATCCTCCCGCCTCAGCCTCTCGAGTAGTTGGGATTACAGGCACGTGGAAACACACACAGCTAATTAAAAAAAAAAATTTTTTTTTTTTAGAGACAGGGTCTTGCTATGCTGCCCAGGCTGGTCTTAAACTCCTGGCCTCAAGTAATCCTTCCACCTCAGCCTCCCAACACGCTGGGATTACAGGTGTGAGCCACCATGCCCAGCCCCTGTATCTATTTTTACCTCAACTCAGTCTCCAGCAGAATTTCTAACATCCTCATTGTAATGTTCAACACTGTGTTGGGATCAGAGGTCAGAGTTTGTTTGACATGATGGCCAGCAAATCTAGCGCTGTGGGATTCTTTCTTTTGTGGAAAAGAACGCAGTGGAAGTTTGATAGGCCCAGATGCCTTGGAGCTGTTGTCGTTGGCACTAGGCAAGCTGGTCACAGCCCCGTTTAGGAGTTTAGGAGGTGAGCACCAGCAGCACTTGAGGGTATCGTCTCAAGGGGAACACTGGATGTTCCCTTTTCTGATTTTTGATTCAAAATGTTGATGAATCCAAATTCCGTAGGGCTTCCTGAAGCCTTTCCTGTCGATCTCATCCTTTGCTGAGAGAATACATCAAGCTATGGAACCACATGTGGTACACTAGACAGAGGCCACTCTTCCCACTGGAGAATTCCAAGGGCAGTCAAAGTTCTAAAGAGATGAGCTACAATACATGGGCAGGATCTTCTATTCCAGATGACACACTCAAGGAGATGGCCATAGAATTGATTGGCTGAGGTCTCAGGTATGGGTGCAGCCTCCATCTCCACTGGTGTAGCTCGGGTACCTGAATGGGGCGGGGCAGGGGGGCTCTCTTGGCGTTTTGAGTGGGACAATTATTTGTGCAGAACTCTTCCACACATTACCAGACATTTAGTGCCCTGGGCCCCCAGGCACCAAATACCAGTAGCCACCCTCTACGTTTCTAAATGATCCACTGGAGATGGTGCCTCCTCCAGTTGAGACACAGTAGCTCTAGCTACCCAGTGTGAATGACTGATTTCACAGCACTTTGTTTAGTTAGAATGTCCTGTTTGTTTCTTTACAGAAAAGCTACATTTTAAAACTTTCAGTAAATTAGCAGCAATACTAGACCTAACTGAAATGATGCTAGTTTCCCCCTAGCTAGCTCTCACTTCCTGACAGCCTTGCAACTTGAAGTGTGGTCCTCAGACCTGCAGCATCAGTACTCCCTGAAACCTTGTTAGAAATGCAAAATTTTCGGCCGGGCGTGGTGGTTCACGCCTGTAATCCCAGCACTTTGGGAGGCCAAGGCGGGCGGATCACGATGTCAGGAGATCGAGACCATCCTGGCTAACACTGTAAAACCCCGTCTCTACTAAAAATACACAAAATTAGCCAGATGTGGTGGCGGGCGCCTGTAGTCCCAGCTACTTGGGAGGCTGAGGCAGGAGAATGGCGTGAACCCAGGAGGCAGAGCTTGCAGTGAGCCAAGATTGTTCCACTGCACTCCAGCCTGGGCGACAGAGCGAGACTCCATCTCAAAGATAAAAAATAAAATAAAAATAAAAATAAAAAAAAGAAATGCAAAATCTTCAAAATCAGAAACTGTATTTTGACAAGATCCCCATTTGAATCCGCATGCACATTAAAGTTTCAGATGCAGGGGCCATGCATGATGGCTCACGCCTGGAATCCCAACACTTTGGGAGGCCAAGACCAGCAGATCACTTGAGATCAGGAGTTCGAGACTAGCCTGGACAACATGGTGAAACCGCGTCTCTAATAAAAATACAAAAAATTAGCCAGGCGTGGTGGCACACGTCTGTAATCCCAGCTGCTCGGGAGGCTGAGGCAGGGGAATCACCTGAACCTGGGAGGCGGAGGCTGCAGTGAGCCGAGATGGAACCACTGCACTCCAGCCTGGGTAACAGAGTGAGAGTCTGCCTCAAAAAAGGAAAAGTTTTGGATTTAGGGCTTTAGAGAACACCCTGGACAATCTCAAGATAACTTGTTGTAGTTGGACCTTTTCCCCCTTGGTGGAACAAATGTTTTGGATCCTAACCCCAAATGGTACAAACCCTTCTGATTTGCACTTTCCATTTGTAATGAAAGTAGAGACTTTTCTATCAAAGAACCATCATGTTCCAACAACATCAACTAGGCTGCACTGTAATTATGAAAAGGCCAGAATATCAGGTAATCTTAATAGTTCCTAGTAGTTATTCCTATCAGCCAATGAGACAGTCAAGGCCTGGAGTTGTGCCCAGTTGCTTATGTTTTAGGGTAAAAGCTGGAAGCATTTGCTCAGGAGCTGTACTGCCTGAGGTTGCCCACCTTTCCTATTTGTCACTATTGTTATTTTATTTTTAACCAGTTGTTCTTCCTAGTCTACTGAAAACCCTGCTCGTAACACCCACCGACACCCATTTCCCATTATCTGCAGCAACAAAAATCCCAAAGGCCCCAAGAATACAAATGTGCAAAGGGAACACATAAAGGAGGGATTGTGCCTCAGCACTGCTGGCAGGATTCTCACCAGCATAAAGGGCTGCTTGTGCCGGCTGTGCTCATGGTCAGCTGACTGCTGGACAGCAAAGCATCAGAAACTCTTGAACCTGCCTGCTCCTGTCTGCAACTGGAGCAACAGTGAACTCAGACCAATTTAAGGTCCAAAAGCTCCCAGCACATAGGCCTGCCTGGGCCCGAGTGAACGTCACTTCTTTGTTGATTGTGCTGACTGAACTCTCATCTGCCCAGAAGTTAGCAAACCATTTGCCAGTTGTCAGCAAAGAAAAGGTGGGCAATCTTAACAAATTCAACTTGGGGTTATCCTTTTTTACTTCAAATCCCAGATTTTAGGTTCCCTGCAAAGTACATTTTCAGGCATATTTAGGTGAACTATGGGTGTTTTTTGTTGGTTTGTTTGTTTTGAAAGGTTATTTTTGGTCAGGTGTGGTGGCTCACACCTGTAATCCCAGCACTTTGGGAGGCAGAGGCGGGCAGATCATAAGGTCAGGAGTTCAAGACTAGCCTGGCCAACATGGTGAAACCCCGACTCTACTAAAAAAATACAAAAATAAACCGGGCATGGTGGTGTGTGCCTGTAATCCCAGGTACTGGGGAGGCTAAGGCAGGAGAATCACTTGAACCTGGGAGGCAAAGGTTGCAGTGAGCTGAGATCGTGCCACTGCACTCCAGCCTGGGCGACAGAGCAAGACTCCATCTCAAATAAAAAAAAAAAGAAAAAAAAAAAAAAGAAAGGTTTTTTTTGTTGTGGTGGTAAAATATACATAACATAAAATTTACCACTTTAACCATTTTAAGTGTACAATCCAGAGACATTTAGTACACGCACATTGTCGCACCACCATCACTATCTAGTTTCAGTATACCATTTGCTCACTAAAGATGAGAAAGTAATGTAGGGAAATATCTGGAACTATCTTCAAACTAAATATAGTCAAAAGACTATTGTGTTAGGCCATTTTCATTGCTATAAAGGAATACCTGAGGGTGGGTAATTTCTAAAGAAAAGAGGTTTTTTTGGTTCAGTTTCTGCAGGCTGTACAAGCACAGCACCAGCATCTGCTCAGCTTCTGGTGAGGCCTCAGGAAGCTTTAAATCAGGGCACGCAGGGTCACGCGGTGAGAGAGAGAGTGAGAGAGAGAGAGAAGGGGGAGGTCCCAGACTCTTTTAAACAACCAGATCTCACGTGAACCAACTGAACAAGAACTCACTCATTATCAAGGGGATGGCACTAAGTCATTCACGAGGGATCTGCTCCCACGATCCAACACATCCCACCAGGTCCCACCTCCAGTATGGGGGATTACAGTTCAACATGAGATTTGGAGGGGATAAACATCCAAAACATATCCACTTCTTTCTTTCTTCCTTCCTTCCCTCCTCCCTCCCTCCCTTCCTCCCTTCCTCCCTTCCTCCCTTCCTTCCTTCTTTCTTTCCTTCCTTCCTTCCCTCCTTCCCTCCCTCCTTCTCTCTCTCTCTTTCTTTCCCTTTCTTTCTTTCTTTCTTTCTTTCTTTCCTTTCTTTCTTTCTCTCTCTCTCTCTCTCTTTCTTTCTTTTTTTCATTCTTTCTTTCTGAGACAGGATTTCACTCTGTTACCCAGGCTGGAGTGCAGTGGTACAATCAAGGCTCACTACAGCCTCAACCTCTTGGGCTCAAGGGATCCTCCCACTTCAGCCTCCCAAGTAGCTGGGACCACAGGTGTGCGCCACCACCCCCAGATAATTTTTTTACTTTAATTTTGTGTAGAGACAGGGTATCACTATGCTAACCAGACTGGTCTCGAACTGCTTGGCTCAAGTGATCCTCCTGCCTTGGCCTTCCAAAGTACTGGGATTACAGGCATAAGCCACCACACCTGGCCAAAAGGACTATTTTCTATTCACTAACAATCCACGTTATTTCTTTATTATTACATATACACATTGTTTTCTACTATCAATAGCTTTCTTACTAAGCCTGAACCATCTAAGCAAGTATAATACAAATAGAAAAGTCATTAATTATATGTGTTATTCTTCATAAATTCAAAGCAATCGTTCCACTTATTTTAATGTTTTAAAAATCACTATCCAACAATGAATGTTTTTAAAATTCTTAACTGTGTGGTGAGATAAATACTTTGCTCCTTTCATATATCCTCAAATGTATGTCTATTTATAGAACTTAAACACATACATTTTAGAGCTGTCTGACTTTATCAAAAGGCTAGTCTTTGGAAGCAAAAGACCAAAATATTGGCACCAAAAAATTGCTGCCCGGAAAATTTGGGGTTGTTATCTTAATAACATAAGTCATAATTAAGGCTATTTGTGGACCCCTGGTTGTGGGTCGATAAGGCTGTGATTAAGTTCTCATTTTTTTTAATTGGTCATAGCTTTTCATTATTCTTATCTTTTTATAGCCACCTTCCCCAACCAATAAAAGCCTCACTCTAGTTTTGGGTCTAAGGCACCTTCTTCCATAAGCACCATTCACAGGAGAAATGGTCTTTCAACCAGTCATAGTTGCTTCAGCACTTTGCTCCCATCAGCCATAGTTGAAGAACCACTTCTCCTTCTGGATGGTGCTTATGGAAGAAGGTGCCTCAGGATGCAAAGGCATAAGAATGATACATTGGACTTTGGGGACTCAGGGACAAAGTGTGGAAAGGGGGTGAGGGATAAAAGACTACACGCTGGGCGCAGTATATACTGCTCAGATGATGGGTGCACCAAAAGCTCACAAATCACCACTAAAGAATTTACTCATGTACTCAAATATCACTTGTTCCCCAAAAACCTATGCAAATAAAAATTTTTTTTTTTTTAAAAAGAAGGTGCCTCAGACCCATAGTTTTCATTCTGGCACACACACATCAAACAGAGAGTCTGTTGTATCTGGGCATTTTTTGTCATTTGTAAGAATAAACTTTGCTTTCAGCTTTTCTCAGGATTTATGTATTTCTTTTCCCCATCACCCAGTGAATACTAACCAACCATAAAGGACACTACATTTAGACAATTATTCAGGTAAACAGTGACTATGTTATGAAAAAGTTAGGACAAGATAAGTTCCAAGCACTGGATTTCCACAAGATCAAACTGAATGGTTAAGCCAGATAAATGTTTAACTCACTCATTGTACCACCAGATATTTTGAAACTTTCAATAATCTATTACATACTTTTCTTTCCTCTTAAACATACTATTCTGGGCAAATTTTATTCTATGGATTGTATGTGTTATACATAAACACATGTTTCTGGGAAATAATGACTTAACATGATAGACAGGTAAAGAAGTTAGGAAGTCTTGAGTCAAGAAAAGTGTCTGAAAATATTTAGATTTAAATGAATGCCATATTGAGGAGGGAGTAGCCTTTCTTTCAGTGGCCTTGGAGGGCAGATATCTGACCATGGGAGGAGTCACAGAAAGGCAATGTTGAACTTTGCAAATGGAAGATTGTTATAGACTTTAGAATTATTCAATTGTGGAACAGGTCTCCTTTGGAGGCAGTTTGTCTCTCAAAATGCTCGAGCAAAGACCAAACCACTATAGATGAGAATCTTGTAACAGCAGCCTTGTATCAATTCGTTGTTGCTTGAACTCCTTTCTGACCTCAGTTTGCTTACATAGCCAGAGAGCAGAGCTTGAACTTCTGGTTTATTGCTAGACTATAAAATAGAGATTGTCTCAGAGAGTATTTCAGTTCATGAATTTTTGCCTCTTTCTGAGAGGTAGGTCCTTTCTAAAAATGGTCACCCCAATCCATCCTATCCTGCATGCTGTTTTGTGATGTATCATTCCCAGCAAAGAAATGAAATATCTTTCCCCTTCCCTTGAATATAGATTGGCTTCATGACTTGATCTAACCAACAGAAAGCTCTGGAAGTGGCATTGTGACTTCTGGGCCTAGGCCATAAGAGGCCTAGCAGTTTCTGTTTCTGCCTTCTTGGAAGCCAGCTGGTGTGTAAAGAAGTCCAGCGTGTCCTGTTGGAGACGCTACATGGAAAGGAACAGGGTCTGGATGATGAGAGGCCACAGACAGGAGAATCAAGGTGCCCGAGCCGGCCGACAGCTTGGATCTTTCCCAGTTAGCCCCACTGGAGCTGAGATGAGCTGTTGCCATCAGCCCTCACCCAAATTCCTGACCCACAGAATTGTGAGCAATAAAATGGATATTGATTTAAGCCACTAAATGCTGGGCGGGTTTATGACACAGCAGTAGATAATTGAAACAGAAATTGCTATCTGGAAGTGGGATACTGCCATAACCAAACCCTAAAACATTTGTCATTGGCTCTGATATTGGGAGGCAGCAGAGGCTAGAAGGGCAGTGAGGAAATTGTTAGGAAGCCTGCAATAGCAGTGAGAAAATTGCTTTTGGAAGCGTGACAAAAGATGTTACATAGTAGTGAGATTTTTGGCCACATTGTCACCTGTAATGTCATGAAAGACAGAAATAAAATATAGCTAATGAACTTGATCTGAATAAGGAGATTTTTAGGTAAAATATTGAAAGTACAATTGGCTTCTTTTACCTGTGTTAAAAGTGCAGGAAGAAAGAGATGAATGGAGAGTGCAGGAAGTGCAGGAAGAAAGTGATGAAGTGCAGGAAGAAAGTTACAAAGTGCAGGAAGAAAGTGCAGAATAAAGTGCAGGAAGAAAGAGATGAATGGAAAGAAAGAACTCTTTAGGTTTTAGTAAAGTGCAGGAAGATAAAGTGCAGGAAGAAAGAGATGAATGGAAAGAAAGAACTCTTTAGGTTTTAGTAAAGTGCAGGAAGATAAAGTGCAGGAAGAAAGAGATGAATGGAAAGAAAGAACTCTTTAGGTTTTAGTAAAGTGCAGGAAGATAAAGTGCAGGAAGAAAGAGATGAATGGAAAGAAAGAACTCTTTAGGTTTTAGGCAGCAGTAAGAAGAAACAGAGGGCCCAGGACAGCATCTCCGGCCAGCAAAACATTCTCAAAGTAAGAAATGGCCAAGGTAAGTAAACATTAAAAAAAAGGTTTGTCTATAAGCTCCCTTATGATTACTATTTTAATAAGGTAAAATGCCCATCTTTTTTTTTTTTTTTTTTGAGATGGAGTCTCACTCTGTTGCCCAGGCTGGAGTGCAGTGGCATGAACTTGGCTCACTGAAAACTTTGCCTCCTGGGTTCAAGCGATTCTCCTGCCTCAGTTTCCTGAGTCCTGGGATTATAGGCATGTGCCACCATGCCCAGCTAATTTTTGTATTTTTAGTAGACACGGGGTTTCGCCATGTTGGCCAGGCTGGTTTCGAACCCCTGACCTCAGGTGATCCACCCGCCTCGGCCTCCCAAAGTGTTGGGATCACAGGTGTGAGCCACTGTGCCCAGCCAAGATCCCTTATTAAAACTTCTATAAGATTTAAGGCAGCACCTAGTAGACTTTCTCAACTAGACAGTTGGACTTCTAAGAATCTTAAGAGCATTTACCATAGCAGCCTCACATGTGGCCCAAAGTACAGAAAAGCGCATCTTAGAAAGAATTATGGATGTAGTCCTTCTGCTATGGTGTGATCCTCAATAAGACTCAACAAGAACTCAGAACTTTTTTTTAAATTTTTAAAATGTGTATATATTTATGTGGTACAATTTTGTTAGATGAATACATTGTGTAGTGGTGGAGTCGGAGCTTTTAGGTTACCCATCACCCAAATAACATAGGTTGTACCACCAAGTGATTTATCATTCTCTCTCCCTATCTCACCACCCTTCCTAATCTCCACTGTCTATCATCCATACTCAATATCCATGTTTACCCACCGGTTAGCTCCCACTTATGAGAGAAAACATGCAGTACTTGACTTTCTGTTTCTGAGTTGTTTCACTTAAGATCATAGCCTCCAGTTCCATCCACGTTGCTGCAAAAGACATCATTTCATTCTTTTTTATGGCTGAATAGCATTCCATTGTGTATATAGACAAATATTTTCTTTTACCTATCATTTGTTGATGGACACTTAGGCTGATATCTATGCTATTGTGAAGAGTGCTGTGATATACATGAGTACAGGTATCTTTTTTTATAAAATGATTTCTTTACTCTGTGTAGATACCCAGTAGCGAAACTGCTGGATCGAATTGTAGTTCTATTTTTATTTCTTTGAGAAATCTCCATGATGTTTTCCATAGAGGTTGTACTAATTAACATTTCTGCCAGCAATGTGTAAGCCATTCCCTTTTCTCCACATCCTCACCAACATCTGCCACTTTTTGTCTTTTTAATAATAGCCATTCTGGGCTGGGCGCCATGGCTCACACCTGTAATCCTAGCACTTTGGGAGGCCGAGGCTGGTGGATCACAAGGTCAGGAGTTCAAGACCAGCCTGGCCAGCATGGTGAAACCCCGTCTCTACTAAAAATACAAAAATTAGCCAGGCGTGGTGGGGCACTCCTGTAATCTCAGCTACTAGGGAGGCTGAAGGAGGGGATTTGCTTGAACCGGGGAGGCGTGGGTTGCAGTGAGCTGAGATTGCACCATTGCACTCCAGCCTGGGCAACAGAGCAAGACTCCATCTCAAAATAATAATAATAATAGCCATTTTGATTGGTGTAAGATGATATCTCATTTGGTTTTAATTTGCATTTCTCTGATAACTAGTGATGTTAAGCATGTTTTCATATGCTTGTTGGTCATTTGTGTGTCTTCTTTTGAAAAATGTCTATTTGGCCGGCCACGATGGCTCACTCCTGTAATCCCAGCACTTTAGGCCGAGGCGGGTGGACCACTTAACTAGGAGTTCGAGATCAGCCTGGCCAATACAGCGGAACCCCATCTCTAACTAAGAAGAAAATACAAAAATTAGCCAAGCGTGGTGGCACACACCTCTGGTCCCAGCTACATGGGAGGCTGAGGCAGGAGAATTGCTTGAGTCCGGGAGGCAGAGGTTGCAGTGAGCCAAGATCACCCGACTGCACTCCAGCCTGGGTGACAGAGTGAGACTCTGTCTCAAAAGCAAACAAACAAAAAAGAAAGTAAAAATGTCTATTCATGTCCTTTGCCCACTTTTTAATGGAATTATTGGTTTGTTGTTGTCGTTGAGTCATTTGAATTCCTTCTAAATTCTGGATATTAGTCCCCTGCTGCATACTTGCTAAAGCCAGCTCTAACTAAATGGAGCAGGGACATTATTTCAAAATGAAATGAACTCTCTGGGTCCCCAGTTTTTAGGGGCAAGCAGCAGATTGTGAAAGCTACTTCTAATGAAAATGAAGGACAACTTGGAGGGCAGAGCCAAGAGCACAGAGGATGAACTAAAGAGCCTCAAAAAAAGAGTGGATCGGGGAATTACTTCCAGTGAGCAGTACTAGACCCTGACTAAGGAACATTTTCTATCTCGGGTAAATACGCGCCTGGCTGGACTTTAGAACTGTAATGGACCAGTGGCTGCTATGTGCTTCCCATTCTTTGTCTTAGTTTGTATAACTCAGATGTCAGGAGGTTCAGATAAAATTTTCTGAGCCCTTTGCTGTGGGTGGTGGAAGACACACTCCTTAAAGTCCTTGAGGAGCGTGAAGCAGTCCAGTTCCTATTTGCTCTGATCACCTTCACTGCTGAATCGGGTCAGGGGAAGGAATTTCTCACTGCCCCACATGCGCCGCTCCTGTTGCACCCTGCGTCGCATAAAATACGTTTCTTTTTCTCAAAAGCAGCTTTCACACAAGGTGTGTGTTTATGAAGCACATTATAAGAAAGATCTGAAGTAATAGTGAAGATGGAGTCACCTCAAGTCTCCAGTCTTTGTTCTTAAAAAGTCTTCTGACCCTATCTACCAGCTCAGCTTCCAGCCTCCCGCCAAACTATTTAGCCCTCTCTCCCCCGCACCTCCAAATCTCTGTACATTCTTTTGGAGAATTCAGCTCTGGGACACAATTTGAATTTCCAAAGGCCCTGATAGACAGGAATCTCAAGCTCTTCTCTTTCTCCCACTAATCTCTCTGTTATGGGGTGAAAAAAGTCCATAGAGAGGTTTTTCCTCCACTGAAAAAGAATCACGTTGCCTTTCTCAGAAAGCAGAGGCAGTTATGGATAATTCGGACTCTATTTTTTTTCCCTTTTTCATTATGGTTAGATAGCACTCAGTGAAAACAACAATTGAGATAAGAGTTTACCTAATAACATTGAGGGCTAGAGTGGAAATCGCTAAGGAAGATAAGGTGCTGAGAATCTGAAGTTTCTTTCCACATGAAATTTAGTACTATTTTAAACTGTTAAGATTGTAGTTATAAAGAAAATAATAAAATTTTAAACTGAGATAAATATCTGCTATTAAGGACAAAAATAGGATGAAATGAAAGAAGAGGCTGAGCTGCTGCAAGGTCACCACCCACAAGCGTCAGATAATTGCTTCATATGCTGGCCATTGATTTCAATAGCTCAAGAGCTAAATCAGTACCAAACTGGAGTGAAACTCTTTTTTAAACTATTGGCTTGCATGCTTAGTTTAATTATACAGTTTTAATTACAATATTTAAGGCTAGTTACAGATGTATAATTTAGGCATATTTATAATTTTGACATTTGTATATGTACATATGAAATGCATTGTGCCATATAAGCTAAGCTGTTGAAAAATTACCAAAAGGTACTTGATATTTCAAAACCTAAGCACCAACTATAAAGGAGAAGACTAATAAACTGAACGAGATTAAAATATAAAACTTCTACTGATCAAAAGACATACTAAAAAAAAAAAAGAAAAGTAAAAAATCTGCATAAACTAGGAGAAGCTATTTGCAACACATCTAACTCTCCTAAGGGACTAATCCAGAATATATATGTATAAGAAAAAGACAACATAAAAATTATCATAAAAGACAAATGGAAATTTCACTAATAATCAGGAAAAGTCAAGTTAAAACCATCATAAGATATCATTTTATTTATTTATTTTTTGTTTTAGATGGAGTCTTGCTCTGTTGCCCAGGCTAGAGTGCAGTGGCGTGATCTCAGCTCACTGCAACCTCCGCCTCCCAGGTTCAAGCAATTCTCCTGCCTCAGCCCCCTCAAGTAGCTCAGATTACAGGAATGAACCACCATGCCTGGCTAATTTTTGTATTTTTAGTAGAGACGGGGTTTTGCCATGTTGGCCAGGCTGGTCGCGAACTCCTGACCTCAGGTGATCCACCCACCTCGGCCTTCCAAAGTGCTGGGATTACAGGCATGAGCCACCGCGCCTGGTCGAGATATCATTTTATAGTCGTCAGGTTGGGAACAAGCAGAGAGCCTCACACCATCAAGTGTTGGCAGACTATGGAATAATGTGTGGTGGGGTTGCAGTGGGAGTGTTGGAGAACAATTCAGAACTTTCCATCCAAGCTGGAGCCATACACATATGACCCAGCAATTATGCTCTTAAATCTAGAGCTAAGGCTCTTTTTAACCTGATAAAATTCATACTTCAGTAAAATTTTTTTTAAAGTATAATCATTAACTTTTTGTGTTTTTTTTTTGAGGTGGAGTTTCATTCTTGTTGCCCAGGCTGCAGTACAATGGCGCTATCTCAGCTAACTGCAAACTCTGCCTCCCAGGTTCAAGCGATTCTTCTGCCACAGCCTCCCGAGTGCCTGGGATTACAGTCTTGCGCCACCAAGCCCAGCTAATTTTTGTATTTTTAGTAGAGATGGGGTTTCACTATGTTGGCCAGGCCGGTCTCGAACTCTTGACCTCAGGTGATCCGCCAACCTTGGCCTCCCAAAGTGCTGGGATTACAGGAGTGATGTTTCTTTTTTTTGTTTTTTTGAGACGGAGTCTCATTCTGTCGCCCAGGCTGGAGTGCAGTGGCGCGATCTCGGCTCACTGCAACCTCCGCCTCCTGGGTTCACGCCATTCTCCTGCCTCAGCCTCCCGAGTAGCTGGGACTACAGGTGCCCGTCACCACGCCTGGCTAATTTTTTGCATTTTTAGTAGAGACGGGGTTTCACCGTGTTAGTCAGGATGGTCTCAATCTCCTGACCTTGTGATCCACCCGCCTCAGCCTCCCAAAGTGCTGGGATTACAGGTGTGAGCCACCGCACCTGGCCAGGAGTAATGTTTCATGTTAAACATCATTTGCATATTTAACCAATCAAATTCCCTTGGCTATTTGAAAGTTTTATTTTAATATAACTCCCCCTCTCAAACATTCGAAATATACAAAGGGAGAGTTACAAATGTAAGAAACCTTCCTCTTAACAATCTACTACATCAGCCTTATAAATTTTGTAGAGAGAAATCTTTTTAAGCCTTTCAAAAATCATTTAAAACATTAACATAGTATGCACAGGACATCATAATGGTTACATTTAAACACAAATTACATAAGAGTACATTGGGTTTTTATACTTTCCAGAGATTATAAATTATTCATTCAGCTAAAGGGAAGAAAACAAGTATGTCAGACCAACTAACAAGGTCAAAAGCACAGGACAGTGATATGATCTCCAAATGAAAGGCACTGGAGACCATGGGACACAGGACCCAGCGTCTCTGAGTTGGGCATCTTCTTAGGAGCAAACTCTGTCTGCCCTGGCATCCACAGTTGCCAAATCCATGGCTATCAATTGTATCAAGTAGTCCGTTGAAATTAACCAATTTCAATTTCAATTTCAATTTCACAATCCAGTGATTCTCCTGCCCCACCCAACCCCTGCAAAATGACCTGCCCTTAAATTCATGAGTGCCTTTCAGGTCTTGGTTTTAAATTTCATTTTCTCTAACTCTTGTGTAAATTCCTATACTAACGCTTAAAATATTCTAATGGAATTTTGAGCTGCTTAGCTGTAATGGCATCGTCTTTCTTATCTTATTCAGAATAGTGGCTATCCAGGAGGCCTTATTTTAATATTATGCCATGGAAGCGACTTGTTCTCTTTTCTTTATTCATAAAGATTGTCTAGTTAATACATGTCAAAACCCCATATTAACAGTCCCTGCTTGAGTCTTCTCAGAATTTCTAATTTAATTTTGTGTGGCTAAAAGAGAATTGCAAAATACCCAAGCTTAGTTTCTGCTATTAATTTTCTCGCAGCCTTTCTGGGATTATTGGTCTATGGAAGCTGATTTCAGATTATCATCTCATTTTCCTGCTGTTCATTTTAGCCTTTCAGTGTATCTTTAACTCAGAAACGTCTACATTTAAAAAACTCTCATTTATAGCTCTCGCAGCTAGCACAATGCCTGGCAAATAGTATATACTCAACAATTATTGATTAATGGAATGGAGGACTAAATTGATTAATTATTATCTTTAGTAATCACTTGTACATCAGTAATCCAAATAATTTCTAAGAGAAATTTAACATATATGGAAATGTAAGCTAAGAATTAGCACACTATTTCTATAACTGCCTCTCTTATGGTCTTTGCGAAATTTTAATACTTCCTCTCAGCCGCAACATCAATCTGACAATTAGCCTCACATTCTGAGCTTCCAATTGCTGATGATTAATAGAGCAGAATTTTATCAAAATCCTGCAATGGATATTTTGTTGTGCAAGGAGAAAATGTTATCACCAAGGGGTTTTTAATTACCAAGTGGTTTGTGTCACTAACCCATGCCTGACCTTGTCCCTTCCCACCTCTTGATTAGTCTGATGATGCCAGACATGGCTCTGGGTCAAAAGCAGAAAACAGCAGATGGTGTCATACCACTTAGAGATAAAGGAAAAACAAACGAAGCTCATTTGATGGGGTAGGAGGACGGGGAGCATTGAGTAGATGGTGGTACACCAAAATCCCTGGATGTGAAGGCTGGGATCTGGATAAATTTCAGTGATTTACCTATAGACTTTGAAGAGAAACTAAAAATCTTAAAGAAACAATTGACATTTAAAAAAAAAAAAGATCATACTTACTGATGAATGATTAAGATCCTTCATGGCAAAGACTGCAGGCTGCTTACCCAATATCCTCTCTCTCTTTGTGCCTTAGAAACATAACTCAGATTTTGCTTAGGGGGAAAGTGTGCCAAGCTAAAAAGCTTTACTCCCCATCCTCCCTTGCAGTTAAGGGGCTGGTCAATGAAATTTAAATATAAGTCTTTGATTGGTGTTTCCTGCAACTCTCTTTACTGGGGTTTTTTCATGCCAATGAGGGAAGAGCCTGCTTGCCCCTTGTCTTTCCCTTTCTATTCTCCTAAAATGCAGACCTACTGGCTGGAGCTCTGGCAGATATTTTGTGACCTCGAAGATGCAAGCAACATGCTGAAGAACGCAGAATGGAAGGAAGTGCTTGGGTCCCTCATGATGTGGTGAAGCTGCCTTACCCATCCTGGACTGACAAGACTAATAATTTTTTTTTTACATCACAGAAAAAGAAGGCTTTAATTTATTTAAGCCACTATGCTAGGTTCTCAGTCACTAGTACCAACATAATTTCTAGCTGATACAGCCTAGAATTTTGTATGTTTACTACACAACAAATCAAAGATCGGTTCACTCATAAGACAAACATTTATTAAGCACCAAATGTGTGTGAGGAACTGGGAAAGCCATTATAGAGAACTCAAAAATGGATCAGACCAGGATCTGTCTTCCGAAGTCACTGTCTACTGAAGGAGGTAAGACATGTACACCTGCAATGGTAACACAAGATAGAATCACAGAACAGCTGACAATAGCTTTCAGCCTAGGAGACTTCTTGAAGAAGGTGAAGTGTGCAGATTGTGAACTGAGCAAACTTGAAAAAACAAATGCCATCGCAGTATATATAAGAGGAAAATGGCACATTTTCTTGAGAGGAGACACATATGATTGATAATTCCTCCTGTTTGTTTCCTACACAATTCATCTGTATTTAAGAGCCACCAGAGACCAAAAGTGAAAGATGCCACTAGGAGCTTTGCCAACTCTTGGCAGTGCTTGAACCAAGCACTCCATGGAAGAAATTCCTCATTTCACGTCAATGGAAGGAAACAATTAAAGTGATGTAAGAGCTGTTACCTCCACCAAACAGGAGCAGAATAATTTAGCCCTGGCACTGACAAGTGCCAGAATTCACTGCCCTGCTCCTCACTCAAATCCACCCTCGCAGGACGTAAGCAAGTATGTATTCCAGCATTCCCCAGAGTCCCTGGGTGGCTCTCCTCCATTAAATTCCTGTTTATATAATGTGAAGACTATTTCCTGTTATTATATACAAAAATAGTCTCCCAGCCTTTTCAGGTCTGAGATAGCCTCTTTCCTTTCTCCTTTTACCAGCTTTTCACTGCAACAAGTGTCATCAAACTTCCCTGATCTTTCTCTCAGCAGGTGCCTGTGTCTATGGATAGGGGAATGTGACATATCTGAAAAGGCACTTAACAGGTGTCAGAACATGTGTGCTCTAGATGGGAGTTTACTGTTATCTGTGACTTGGTTTACATCCTGGGGCTAAGATTTTTATATCTTTCACCAAAGGGAGTGTCACTAGTATATCTATAAGGCTGCTCTCACCTCTAAATATATCACTATATCTATAATTGCTTGTAAATTATCACTCACCTGACATTATGACTCTAGGCAGCTCCAATTTCCTGTAAAGACTACTTTGAGGCCAATGCCTTAGGAACTATTATGCAAGAAGATATATTTAATTTCATTGACCACATATTTTATTTCTGGAAGTTCAGTCTAGTTTTTTCAAATTAATTTTTTCTTGATACTAAGATGTTCTTGTGTTATGTGACTCCTGGTTTTATAATCTTGATATTTTACTAATATTTATTTATTATATTTTCTAAAGTTCTGAGAGTCTAATCTTGCTGACTATTGCGTCTGTTGACTTTTCATCAGGATGAATTATTTCATCATGTTATTGTAATTTAGGTTCATGAGCTCCCATTTGGTGGACGTTCCATGTGACCTGGGTACAGGTGTATTTCTCTAAAGCGGTTTTATGTTGCTTCTGCCAGGTGCCCAGCAGTAGTATCATCCTAGAGTGATTAATTCTTATGTTAATGTTTCTACCTAGAGATTACTGGCTCACATGGGTAATGTAATTTAGAATATCAGACCAACATGAGGTCCAACCCTGGATTATCAAGATTATCAATCTTCTCTGGGCACATTTTTCCCTGCATTTTATTCTTTTCTTTTTTCTTTCTTTCTTTCTTTCTTTTTTTTTTTTTTGAGATGGAGTCCCACTCTGTCACCTAGGCTGGAATGCAATGGTGCAATGTTGGCTTACCGCAACCTCCACCTCCAGGGTTCAAGTGATTCTCTTGCCTCAGCATCCTGGACAGCTGGGATTACAGGCACACACCACCATGCCTGGCTAATTTTTTTGTACTTTTATTAGAGATGAGTTTTTGTCGTGTTTGCCAGGCTGGTCTCGAACTCCTGACCTCAGGTGATCTGCCCACCTCAGCCTCCCAAAGTGCTGGGATTACACCCCTGATTTTATTCTAACTGGAGTGCAAACCAAAACACAAAAGCTTTATTTTGTCTCCCTGTGTCCGTAATTTTTTTTCTAGTCTATCATGTCCCTGTGGTATAGCTTTATCCAGGGTCTCACTTCAACCTTCCCATCTCCCTTAGGCCCAAAGCCTGTCCTGGACAGCAGGTGACCATTAAAATCCAAGCTGCCTGGCTACTGAGACCAGTACATCACTACTGCACCTAAGGCAACTACAGCATCAGCTCCCCATATCTCTGCTTGTTGATTATCTCTTTGTTTTCCACCCTTGGAATTCACCATACTTTCTTGCCAGCTGAACAATGCATTTTTAAAATGTTTGTCATATTTCATTGTTCCAAGGTCTAATCTAGCCGGATTGCAGTCCAAAGATACTTGTTTAAAAAATGAATCGCAGGCCAGGCACAGTGGCTCATGCCTGTAATCTCAGCACTTTAGGAGGCTGAGGCAGGTGGATCCCTTGAGCCCAGGAGTTTGAGACCAGCCTGGGCAACATGACAAAACCCCATCTCTACAAAAAATACAAAAATTAGCCAGGTGTGGTGGTACACCCCTGTTGTCCCAGCTACTCGGGAGGCTGAGGTGGGAGCATCACTTGAGCCCAGGAGGTCAAAGATGCAGTGAACCATGATCGTGCCACTGTATCCCACCCTGGGTGACAGAGCAAGACCTTGTCTCAAAAAAGAAAAGAAGGAAGGAAGGAAGGAGAGAGAGAGAGAAAGAGAGAGAAAGAAAGAAAGAAAATGTAATCATGCTATCTCCATCTTAAGTGATTCCACGTTTTCTGTTTTGTTCTTTCTCCCCGTAAGTTTCATAAAGGCAGGAACTGTGTCTTTCTTTGTGTTGTGGTTATTAGTTTACATAATTGCAAAGACTTTAATAGAATGCACAGAACATATATGCATAAGTCAAAGAGGAATTGTAATTCAAATACCTATGTAACCACATCCGCATGACAAAGAGGGCACCCCAAAAGCAACCTTATAAAGGTAGCCACTATTCTAACTTTTAAAATATTCATTTCCTTGCTTTTCTTTATGGTTTTAATATATATATATCTCCAAACAATGTAGTTTAGTTTTAAATAAAGTTGAACTTTAAATGGGATCAATGGGATTATATAGTAAACACCAACCTGTAACCTGCTTCTTTCACACTGAACATTGTCTGTGACATTCATCCATTTTGTTCTGTCTAGCTGTAGTTCACTGATTTTCATTTCCTTGTAGGACTGTAACAATTTAATTATCTGTTCTCTCTTCATGAACATTTGAGTTATTTTCAGAATTTGGCTTTTATGCAAATTGCTGCTATAAACGTTTTGGTTCCTGTGAATTAATGCACGTGTGCAAAAATCTCCTCTAGAAAAGATAATTAGAAGTGGAATTGCTGTGGAATTGTATGGCACATTCTCAATACTTAGCAGGGTGGATCCAATCAGAAGATAGAAACCACGCAATTATTTTAAACACAAAGGGTTTAGTTTAATATAAACTCCTACCGCAAAGGGAGAGTTTAATATAAAGAATTATTAAGTTGGGATAAAGGAGTAGCTATAGAAAATAAGAAAACTTTCATGGTGCCTTGGGGCCAAGAGAGAGTTACCCAAGGAAGAATAAACTTGCAAGGGGCTCCCTCTCCAAAACTGTGGTTCTGACTTCGTTGGAGAAGGTGTAGTTGAACCCACTGGATGGCAGAGAAATTTGATGGTTTGCAGTGGTGGAAAAAAAAAACAGGAAACAACCCTCCAAAGTGCAGGCTGGGCAGGGGAGCCGCAGCTGGTGGCCTGCGTGTGACTGTGCAACAGGCCTGAGGGCGCCTGAAACACATAGTGACCGTGTTGAGCAGACAAGGGGGCTGTGAAGTCGCTGAGGGACTTGGAACTCTGGGCATATGGAAGGGCAGAATCCACCCGACCCCTTCCCACCCGCACGGTTGACCACTGAGCCTCCGCCAGAAACTGCAGAAGCGCCCCTCCCTCCCGCAACACCTGCCTAGCGCCCTCTACTGAGAAAGCTCAACATCGTGCTCACTTTAGAGGAGAAATGCTTAAAGAAATTCCCTCATCTCAAAGCTTGTATTGAAAAGTGAATTTGAGCTGAGAAGCAATACGTTGACAACTATGCCATAATGTCATGCTGTTTTCCAAAGTTGTTTTGCCAATTTGTGCTCACACTAGCAATGCTTTTGAGTTCCCAAACTTATTTTAGATTTCGTAATTTTAGCCAGCCTGTTGGGATTGTAGGGTATCTCGCTGTTGTTTCAAGGTGCATTTCCGTGAATGCAAATGAAGATGACACCTTTCATATGTTTATCAGACATCTGGAATGCCTCTTTGTTGAGTTGTCTATTCAACTCCTATGTGCATGTTTCTTTTTTTCTTTCTTTCGTTCTTTTTTTTTTTTTTTTTTTTTGAGACAGAGTCTCGCTCTGTCACCAGGCTGAAATGCAGTGGCGCATCTCGGCTTACTGCAACCTTCGCCTCCTGGTCCAAGCGATTCTCCTGCCTCAGCCTCCGGAGTAGCTGGGACTACAGGGGCGTGACACCACGCCCGGCTAATTTTTTTGTATTTTTAGTACAGACGGGGTTTCACCGTGTTAGCCGGGCTGGTCTTGAACTCCTGAACTCGTGATCCGCTCTCCTCAGCTTCCCAAAGTGCTGGGGGCGTGAGCCACCGCACCCGGCCCCTGTGTGCATGTTTCTACTGAGTTGTCTGCCTTATTCTCAATGATAAGTAGGCATTTTAAAAACTATATAAATATATATATTCGGAGATTAATCTTTCACCAATTATATATATTGTGAATATATTCTCCCAGTCTTGTGTCTTTTGATGATAGAAGCTCTTAGTTTTAATATTGCCTTATTTATTAATCTTCTACTTTATGGCTAGATGCTTTAATGTAATATTTAAGAAATAGTTCCATATTCCCAAGTCTTAAAGATATCTGCTATATTATCCTCTAAAAGCATTACAGGTTTGCTTTTCACATATAATTTACCTATAAATGATTTTTTAGTGTAATGTAAGGTATAGGACCATTTTGGGTTTTATTCTTTTATAAGAAATCCCAATTGTCTCAGCACCTTTCATGAAAAAGCCATCGTTTCATGACTTATTGGCAATGCCAACTCTGTTGTATATCAAGTATCCATATGTGTCTAGGTGTATTTTGGGGCTCTCTCTCTGTACTACGGGTCTATTTGTCTATCCCTGAGCCAACCTTATACCTTCTTAATCATTCTAGTGATGTATTAAGTCTCAACATCGTACAGGACAAATATTTATTTCCACCTTGCTTTTCTTCCTTAAGAATGTCTCAGCTCCGGGCGCAGTGGCTCACGCCTGTAATCCCAACACTTTGGGAGGCCAAGACGGGCGGATCCCGAGGTCAGGAGATCGAGACCATCCTGGCTAACACGGTGAAACCCCGTCCCTACTAAAAACACAAAAAATTAGCCGGGCGTAGTGGCGGGCGCCTGTAGTCCCAGCTACTTGGGAGGCTGAGGCAGGAGAATGGCATGAACCCGGGAGGCAGAGCATGCAGTGAGCCAAGATCGCGCCACTGCACTCCAGCCTGGATGACAGAGCAAGACTGTGTCTTAAAAAAAAAAAAAAAAAAAGTCTCAGCTGGTCGGGCATGGTGGCTCTCGCCTGAGAACTTTGGGAGGCCGAGGCGGGCGGATCACTTGAGGTCAGGAGTTTGAGACCATCCTGGCCAACATGGTGAAACCCCGTCTCCACTAAAAATACAAAAATTAGCAGGCATGGTGGCGCATGCCTGTAGTCCCAGCTACTCGGGAGGCTGAGGCAGGAGAATTGCTTGAACCCAGGAGGCGGAGGTTGCAATGAGCCAAGATCGCACCACTGCACTCCAGCCTGGGCCACAGGGTGAGACTCTGTCTCAAAAAAAAAAAAAAAAATTATCAGCTATCAGTCCATTTTAACGTCAGAATCAGTTTGCCAAGCTCAATAACTTAAACGATTATGTGTTTGGTGTGTTTGCACTGAATCTATGGGTTGATTTGGAAAATTCTGATATGCTTACAATATTGAATCTTCTAATCCAGAAACTTGTTACAGTAGTCTCCCCTTATCCACTATTTTGCTTCCAAAGTTTCTGTTACTTTTGGTCAGTCACAGTCCCAAAATATTAAATGGAAAATTCACCAGAAATAAACAATTCATAAGTTTTAAACCGTGCACCGTTCTGACTGGGGGGGATGAAATCTCATACTGTCCTGCTCTGCATAGCCCAGAATATGAGTCATCCCTTTGCCCAGAGCACCCACGGCTATACAAGCCCCCCATCCATCAGTCACTTAGCAGCCATCTCAGTTTTCAATACCGACTGTCGCAGTATTGCAGTGCTTGTGTTGAAGGAATCCTTATCTTATTTAATAATGGCCCTAAAGTGAAAGAGTAATAATGCTGGCACATTGTCATAATTGTTTTATTTTATTTTTAGTTGTTTTAGTCTCTGCTGTGCCTAAATTACAAATTAATCCTAGGTTTGTGTGTATAGGAGAAAACAGTGTATATAGGGTTCAGTACTATCTGCAGTTTCAGGCATCCATTGGGGGTCTTGGAACGTATCCACTATGGGCAAGGGGGGACTACTATATATTTGTCCATTATAGTTTCTTTGATATCTCTCAATAAAGGTTTATTGTTTTCTCCATAACATTTTTGTTAGATTTTCTTCCTAGGTACATTATATGTTTTGACACTATTGTAAATGTATATTTTTTTTCCATTTTCCAGTGCTTTGATGCTGATGTAAAGAAAGGCAATTTTGATTTTTCATATCCAGAAAAGTTGTTCATCTCTCATTAATTCTAATAATAATATATGTAGTTTTAATTAAAATTTTCTATTACATAAGCATATTCGTCACTAATAATGGCAGTTTTGTTCCTTCCTTTCTAGTTCTTACACAATCTTTTTCTTACTTTATTGGCTGGGACCACCATCACAATATCAAATAGAGGCAATGATAGTAGGAAGCTTGTGTTGCCCTGATCTCCACCTAATATCACCATTAAGAGTGAGATGTGCTGTATGATTTTTGAAGATAACTATCAAGGAAGTTCCTTTGTATTCTCACTCTGATAAGAGGTTTTAAATCATGAATGTATGCTGAATTTTATGAAATGCTTTTTTCCATATCTATTGAGAAGATGTTATGATTTTTCTTCTCTAATGTGGTAATGTGGTAACATGGTGAATTATTTTAGTTGATTTTTTTTTTTAGAGACAGTTTCTCACTCTGTTGCCCAAGCTGGAGTGCAGTGGCACAATAATAGCTCACTGCAGCCTCGAACTCCTGGGCTCTAGTAGTCCTCTCACCTCAGTCTCCTGAGTAGCTAGGAGTATAGGCACACACACTGCATCCAGCTTTTGTTATTATTCTTATTTTTGTAAAGAGGGAATCTTGTTATGTTGCCCAAGTTGGTCTCAAACTCTTCAAGTGGTCCTCCCATCTCGGCCTCCCAAAGCATTGGAATTACAGGTGTTAGCCACCAGGCCCGGCCTATTTTAGTTTATTTTCTAACATAAAACCAATTTTGAATTCCTGGGATATTGCCAACTTGGTCATAATTTATTATCCCTTTAGATACTGCTAAATTCAGTTTGCAAATATTTGGATTACGAGTTTTGTGTCTGTGTTCGTGCTTGACATTGCCTGTAATCTTCTTTTCATGTACTGTCTTTGCCACATTTTAGTAATAAGGTTACACTAGTCTTAAGAGTCAGGAAAAATTTCCTCTTTTTCTATTTTGTGAAAGAGTTTGGCTAAGATTGAAATTATTTCTTCCATGAATGTTTGGTAGAACTGGTTGGTGAATTGAGGCCTGGAATGGTTTTAGGAGGAACATTTGCGGAACATTTCTGACTACGGATTTAGTTACTCTAATTATTATAAACAGGCAGGATGACCATATGGCTTATCCTCCAAACTGGAGCGCTTTTGAGAATTAAAGGGGTTATGAAAATAATTAATGGACATTAATCCATAATAGATATAAACTGGGACTGTCCTGGGCAAAATGGGGTGTATGGGCACCATAATTGTAAAATTTCCTATCTCTTATTATAGATTTCCTATTTCTTCCTGAATAAACTTTGGTGGGTTATATATTTATTAGAAGATTATCCATTTTGTCTAAATTTTTCCAGTTCATATTAACCTTGTATTATCTTTTAAATATCTGAAATATACCTAAGTGTGTCTCTTTTCTGTTTCTACATATTGACTATTTGTGCCTTCTAATTTTTTTTTAATACTTCTTGACAGATATTTTAATTTTGTTAAAATCAATGAAGCAGCATTTGGCTTTGTCGAATCTATTATATATTTGCTTTCTATTTCAAAGACTTCTCCTTTTATCTTCATTATTTCCTTCTTGCTCATGCATATCTAACTTCTTGAGATGAATGTTTACTTAATTAATTTTTAGATTCTCTGAATATACTTATTTTGAAATTATGTCATAAATTTTATATGCAATATTTTGCTATAATTCTGTTCAAAATATGTTCTAACATTTTTACAATTTTGTTTTGAAGCATGATTGTCTTTTAATCCCTAACATATTAATTTTTCTCATTCGAATTTTTGCTGATTTCTGGCTTGTCTTATAATCTAAGAACACACATTGTATGATTTTAAACCTTTGAAATGTATTGAGACTTGCTTTTATTTGTTCATTTGTATTTAATAATTTTTCTGTATGTTTGATATATATATATTCTGCAGTAGTTAGGTGGAGATCTCACTATGTCAATCATATTATCTTATTCAAACCTTTTGTGTCTTCACTGATTTTTTATTGTAATTTTATTTTCTTTAAAACCATATCTTTCTTAATATAGCTATACTAGTTTCCTTTGGCTTAGGCTTTTTTGGTATATCTTATATAACCTTTTACCTTTTAACTTTTCTATATCTTTATAATTCTAAAACATGTTTCTTGTACATAACATGGAGATAGAATTTGTCTTTATCAAGTCTGAAAATCTTTTAACTGGAGCGTTTAGTTTATTTACATGAAATGTAATTAACACTACATTGTTAAGGCCATGACATTGCACCATTCCTAAAGGCACAACTCACATTTTATATATATTTGAGTTTAAATCTGCAAACATATTTTGTGCTTTTTTTTTTTTTTTTTTTTTTGATACAGAGTCTTGCTCTGTCGCCCAGGCTGGAGTGCAGTGGCGCAATCTTGGCTCACTGCAGCCTCTGCCTCCTGGGATCAAACAATTCTCCTGCCTCAGCCTCCCGAGTAGCTGGGATTACAGGCACACACCACCACACCTGGCTAATTTTTTGTATTTTTAGTAGAGATGGGGTTTCACCATGTTAGCCAGGATGGTCTTGATCTCCTGACCTCATGATCCACCCATCTCAGCCTCCCAAAGTGCTGGGATTACAGGTGTGAGCCACCGCTTTCTATTTGACACACCCATTCCATGTTTTTTCTTTTCTCCTTTTTTACTTTATTTTTGATATACTGAGTATTTTAATCATTTCAATGTTTTCCCCTTTAAATAGTTCAAAAGCTATGCATTGTTCATTTCTTTTAGTAGTTGCCTTAGAAATTATAATATGCTCACTTAATATAATCAAGTCTAAAGTTAACAGATCCTTTAACTTTCTCCTCATAATAAAAGAAAGAACACTAGACCGGGTGTGGTGGCTCACACCTGTAATCCCAGCTCTTTGGGATGCCGAGGCGGGTGGATCAGCTGAGGTCAGAATTTCAAGACCAGCCTGCTCAACATGGTGAAACCCTATCTCTACTAAAAATACAAAAAAATTAGCTGGGAGGGGTGGTGGGTACCTATAATCCCAGCTACTTGGGAGGCTGAGGCAGGAGAATCACTTGACCCAGGAGGCTGAGGTTGCAATGAGCCGAGATCACGCCATTGCACTCCAGCCTGGGCAACAAGAGTGAAAACCTGTCCCCACCACAAAAAAAAAAAAAAAACTTTAATTCTTTTTACTTAATTCCCAACTTATGAACTATTATTCTATGTATTTTAATTATTCTTTTTAACCCATTAAGACATTGTTATTATTATTTTTTTATCAGTATTTGCTTAGATTCATCCACATATTTACCACTTTCTTTACTCTTCATTCCTTGTTTCTCAAACCTACCTGGTGGATCAAACATTATTCTGGATGTTTCTGTGAAGACAATTTTTAGATGTGATTAACATTTAATTGGTGGATTTTGAGTAAAGCAGACTACCATCCATAATGTGGGTGGGCCTTATCCAATCAGTTGAAGACCTTAATAGAATAAAACTACTAACGTCTTCTGAGCAAGAAAATTTCTGACACCAACCGACTGCCTTTGGACTCAAACTACAACTTTTCTCTGGGTCTCCAGCCTGCCAGCTACCCTGCATGTTTTGTATTTCGCAAGCCTCCATGATCACATGCACCAATTACTTAAAATAAACAGCTTTCTTATTCTCTCTCTCTCTCTTTCCTCTCTCTCTCTCTTTCTTCTCTCTCTCTCCCCCCTCCCCCTTTCCTCTCTCTCTCTCTTTCTCTCTCTCTCTGAACTGGGCACAAGCCCCGGAGAGCACATCTGTACAGAGAGGATAATCACATGTGCCAATTCCTTAAAATAAACAGCTCTTTCTTATTCTCTCTCTCTCTTTCCTCTCTCTCTCTCTCTCTCTTTCCTCTCTCTCTCTCTCTCTCTCTCTCTCTGAACTGGGCAGAAACCCGGAGAGCACATCTGTACAGATAGGAGCAGCAGGATGGAGGGCTTCAGAGGGCTGAGTCCAAGAAAAACTGAAATGGGTAGACTCTCTGTCTGGTTTGAGTGTGTGGAAAACTGTATTGCAGGCATTTGACATTACTCTTGCGGATGTGGGAACACTTAGTCATGAGTTTTAGGAAAACAACAAGTTGAAAACAAGGCAATTATTAACTCCAGGTAAAATAAGAAATTGTATAAGGCAGGAAAATATAATCACGGGACAATACTAGGTTCGGTACTAAACAATGTTTAAACAGTCACAACAATGAAATCTATGGATTTAACAAAAAATTGTAACGGTCTACATGGGAAGATACGTAAATCTCTTGTCTGAGGTTGCTAGCATTCTGCATCTGGGTGGCAGAAAGGAGCTTAGCATCTCATCACTCCATATACAACTTTCCTGTAACCTTTTCTTTTCAGTCTATTGTACCTAATGCCACTCTCTAGTTCTTCTCCTGAGAATATACTTCCATTTCCGCTGAAATGAGAGAGGATACCGGGGTAATAAGTGTTTCCTATTCCACATTTTAGATCAATCTCCTATTTTCAGTGCCTGCCACCTCCTTCCATTCCCATCTATCTTTTGTGGTACCTGGAGCCTCCAATTCATTCCTGAATATTTCCGTGCTTCTGCAATGCAATGAGCTTGTTTCTTCATGGCATTGCCCTGGATAGTCACTGAGGTTGGTCCCCTCCCTTCTGCTAAGTCACTTACCATATCTTCACTGTTTTCTTTTCTTTTTTTTATTTGAGACAGAGTCTCGCTCTGTCGCCCAGACTGGAGGGCAGTGGCGCGATCTCGGCTCACTGCAAGCTCCGCCTCCCGAGTTCACGCCATTCTCTCTCCTCAGCCTCCCGAGTAGCTGGGACTACAGGCGCCCGCCACCGCGTCCAGCTAATTTTGTTTTTGTATTTTAGTAGAGACGGGGTTTCACCGTGTTAGCCAGGATGGTCTCGATCTCCTGACCTCGTGATCCGCCCACCTCGGCCTCCCAAAGTGCTGGGATTACAGGCGTGAGCCACTGCGTCCGGCCAAATCTTCACTGTTTTCTAACTTCTGGAATATCTCCACGTTTCAAGGAAGATATAATTTAATTTTCCCTTTTTTTTTTCTTCTTTTGAGCTGATTTTTAAGAGGGGAAATGTTTTTTAATGTCACAATATTTAGACTGAAAGTCCATATTATTGCCAATATGTAAAATTTGGGAGATAGCACATGACAACCTGTGTTTCCATGAATTGGAAGATGTGGAAATCCTGGTCTAGCATTTCCACATGACAGCTGGCTGCAGCTGAGTGGCGGTCACTCCTTTCTAAAAGAGAACTGTAGCACCAGGCAGGGAGGTCACAGCTTCCACTATTTTCTGCTGACTAACATCTGGCCTTCTTCACTCATTGGTAGTAAGGGCCTTACCCTACTGGCATTTGAGTTTGTGAGCCCAGGCTTAAGGTATGACCACACAAGTGCAAGGCTGAAGTAGAATAGGGAAAAGATCTCTAGAAGAGATGGGACCAAGGAACTGAGAGGCAAGAGCATTGGATGGTCCACCCACATGGATGTTGAAATCATTCAAACTTATGCCAGGGGCCGGGTGCGGTGGCTCACGCCTGTAATCCCAGCACTTTGGGAGGCCGAGGCAGGTGGATCACGATGTCAGGAGATGGAGACCATCCTGGCTAACACGGTGAAACCCCGTCTCTACCAAAAATACAAAAAATTAGCCGGGCGTGGTGGTGGGCGCCTGTAATCCCAGCTACTCGGGAGGCTGAGGCAAGAGAATGGCGTGAACTCGGGAGGCGGAGCTTGCAGTGAACCGAGATCGGGCCACTGCAGTCCGGCCTGGGCGACAGACCGAGACTCCGTATCAAAAAAAAAAAAAAAAAATTATGCCAGGAATAAAAGTGGAGAGGAAGGCAGTAAACGACAATAAAGAAGAGGGGAAAGGGGTAGGTAATATCCTTTAAGGGCATAAACTTCAGGGCAGCCAGTTTTTAGTTTTTTTTGGTTGTTTGGTTTGGTTTGGGCATGAGAAAGAGCAAGGAATGGTTTAGAAGGGGCAGGACCAACAAGGAAGAAACTTACCCCAACCTCTGGCCTTTAGACATGTGGGGTGCAAGAGATAAAACACCTCCTGTCGAGGGCTGCCGAGGGCAGCATTGGGGCACTGAGGGCTGCCGAGGGCAGCTGAATTGGGGGACAGTCCAGCTTCAAGCAAAGATAGGAGCTGATGAGAATGTTCCAACAAAATGCTAAGGATGTAGAGTGGCTTGCTGTAGAAGAGAACAGAAAAGTTCAACCCAGGTAGTAAGGTAAAATATTGTTTTCAGAAGCTTTTGCTTCAGTTGTGTGTGTATGTGTGTGTGTGTGTGTGTGTCTGTATGTGTCTGTGTGTACGCCTGTATGTGTCTGTGTGTACTGTGCCACTATTTAACATGTACTTCTGGCCAGACACGGTGGCTCGCACCTGTAATCCCAGCACTTTGGGAGGCCGAGGCAGGTGCATCACTTGAGGTCAGGAGTTCGAGACCAGCCTGGCCAACATGGTGAAACCCTGTTTCTACTAATAATACAAAAATTAGCCGGGCATGGTGGTGGGCCCCTGTAATCCCAGCTACTTGGGAGGCTGAGGCAGGAGAATTGCTTGAGCCAAGGAAACAGAGGTTGCAGTGAGCCAAGATCACGCCACTGCACTCAAGCCTGGTTGACAGAGCAAGACTCCATCTAAAATAAAATAAAATAAAATATACTTCTAACTGTGCGTGGTAGTCAAAATAGGTGAAAGGATCTTGTTTTTGAGGAAGGTGGAGCAACAGGCTCAGGTGCTATAACCCTTGAGGTTGTATTCACTGGGAGGCAGGTTGGAAAAACACTACCTTGGACCTTGCATAGTGCCAATAGTAGCAGCTCCCACATTTTCCTTTGAAGCATTAACTATCATCTGAGAACTAATAGCGAATTTTTATTTCTTTGACTACATAAAATGATGTCAATTTTCCAGCTGTAATATTTATCTACATTGCATGCAAAACTCTGTTCTTTAGAAAAATGATATGCCTTATGACAAGTCATGAAGTCTTTCACTTTATATTAACATCCTGTCTCAAGTTCAACAAATATTTATTGGTTGCTTATGATACACCAGGCACTGTTCTGGGTGCAGGAGATAAAGGAATGAACAAAACTGATAAAGCCATTTTTTCTTGGTGGGAAGTTTTCCTTCTTACCAATTTAATCTCTTTGCTTGTTATACTTCTATTTGATTTTCTGTTTCTTCTTGAGTCAATTTCAGTAGGTTGGTCTTTCTAGAAAGTTTTCTAATTCACGTAGGTAGGTCCTTCCCTCCTTCCCTCCCTCCCTCCCTTCTTTCTTTTCTTTCTTTCCCTCCTTCCTTCCTTTCTCTCTTTTTTTTCTTTCTTCCTTTTTTCTTTTCTTTCTTTCTTGCTTTCTTTCTTTCTCTCTCTCTTTCTTTTTTTTTTTGACAGAGTCTTGCTCTATCACCCAGGCTAAAGTATAGTGGTGCAATCTTAACTCACTGCAACCTCCACCTCCTGGGCTTAAGTGATCTTCCCACCTCAGCCTGCCGAGTAGCTGGGACAACATAATTTAGTATACTCCTTATAATCACTTTTGTTTCTGCAAGGTTGGTAGTAATGTCCCCTCTTTCAGTCCAAATTTAGTAATTTGAGTTCTCTCTCTCACTTGGTCAGTCTAGCTGAAGGTTTGTCATCTTTATTGATATTTAATACTTCCTAAGAACCAACTTTTGGTTTTGCTGATTTTCTCTGTTTTTTTATTCATCATTTCATTTATTTCTACTCTTAATCCTTATTTCCTTCCTTTTCCTTGCTTTGAGTTTATTCTGCTCCTCTTTCTAGTTGCTCAAAGTGAAAGATTAGGTTATACATTTATTTAAGATCCATTTTACCAATCTCTGTCTTTTGATGGGAATGCTTAGTACATTTACCTTTAATGTAATTAGTGGTAAGGTAGAATTTATGTCTGCCATTTTGCTATTTGCTTTCTATATGTCTTATATCTTGTTTTGTTCTATTCTTCTGTTACTGTTTTCTTTTGTGCTATATATTCTCTACTGTATCATTTTAATTTCCTTGTTATTTCTTGTATAACATTTTGAAAAAATCATTTTCTTAATAGTCATCCCGGGGATTACAATTAGCTTCTTAACTTAAAATAACCTAAGTAGTATTAATACTAACTTAATTTCTTTTTTTTTTCCTTTTTTCAAGACAGGGTCTCCTGCTGTTGCCCAGCCTGGAGTACAATGGCACAATCATGGTTCACTGCAGCCTCCATCTCCCAGGCTCAAGAGATCCTCCTACCTCAGCCTCCCAAGTAGCTGGGACTACAGGCACGTGCCACCATGCCTGGCTAATTTTTTATTTATTTATTTATTTATTTATTTATTTATTTTTCTAGAGATGAAGTCCCACTGTGTTGCCCAGGCTGGTCTCGAATTCCTGGGCTCAAGCAATTCTCCCACCTAGGCCTCCCAAAGTGCTGGGATTATAGGCATGAGCTACCGTGCCTTGCCTTAATCTCTCTCTTTTTTTTTTTTTTTTTTTTGAGATGGAGTCTTGCTCTGTCGCCCAGGCTGGAGTGCAGTGGTGAGATCTCAGCTCACTGCAAGCTCCACCTCCCGGGTTCACACCATTCTCCTGCCTCAGCCTCCCAAGTAGCTGGGACTACAGGCACCCACCACCAGGCCTGGCTAATTTTTTGTATTTTTAGTAGAGACGCAGTTTCATTGTGTTAGCCAGGATGGTCTTGATCTCCTGACCTCATGACCCACCTGCCTTGGCCTCCCAAAGTCCTGGGATTACAAGCGTGAGCCACCGCACCCAGCCGACTTGCCTTAATTTCAATAGCATGCCAAAACTATGCTCCAGTATACATCCACTCTGTCCCTCTTATCTTTGTAATATGATTGTCAAACAAATTGTATGTTTATACATTAAAAGCCTATCGACACAGCTCATAGCCATTGTTTTATGCAGTTGTGTTTTAAATCAGAGTGTTCAGATTTTTTAATTTAAAATTTTTTAATTTTAAAAATTAAAATAATTTTTTATATTCAATTGTGTAGTTATCAGAATCACTGCTCTTATTTTCTTTATGTGGATTTAAATTTCTAATATTCTTTCATTTCAGCCTGCAAGGTTCCCTTTGGTAATAGTGCATGTCTGCTAGTGATGATTTCATTCACTTTCTGTTTACCTGGAATGCCATAATTTCTCTTTCATTTTTGAAGGATATTTTTCCTTCCACCCTTTAAATATGATGTCTTCCCACCACCTTCTGACCTTCATGATTTATGATGAGAAGTCAGCTATTAAGCTTATTGAGGATCCTTTGTGTGTGATGAGTTGTTTTTCTTTTGCTGCTTTCAAAATTTTCTCATCATCTTTGGCTTTCAACAGTTTGACTATTATGTGTCTAGGTCACTACTTCAAGTTTTTTGAGCTCCTTGGATGGCAGATTACTGTTTTTCATAAAGTCTGGGCAGGCTATTTCTTCAAATATTCTTTGTATTCCTTTCTCTCTATCCTTTCCTTCTGGGACTTTATGTGCATGTTAATATACACATAAACTCATGGTTTCCCATAAGTCTCTGAGAATTTGTTCATTTTCTTCATTCTTTTTTCTTTCTGTTTCTCAGCCTGGATAATTTCAATTGAGCTATCTCCAAGTTCACTGCCTTTTGCTTCTACCAGTTCATATATGTTGTTATTGAGCTCCTCTAGAGAATTTTTTCATCTCACTCTTTGTACTTTTCAACTCCAGAGTTTCTATTTTTTAAAACTTCTGTTTATTGATATTATCTATTTAGTAAGACATCATTCTCACATTTTCCTTTAGTTCATTAGACATGGTTTCCTTTAGTTCTGTGAACATATTCATAATGGCTGATTTAAAGTCTTTGTTCAGTAAGTCCAATGCCTGGGATTCCTCAGGAATGGTTTCTATTAACTGCTTTTTCCTGCATATAGGCCATAATTTTGTTTCTTTGGATGTTGTGAACTTTTTTGTTGAGATCTGGATGTTTTGAACAATGTAATGTGACAACTCTAGAAATCATATCCCCTCCTCTCCACTGAGGTTTGTTGCTGGTTTAGTGACTTTGCTGGACTAATCTATAAAGTCTGTATTGTTTGTTGTGTGCAGCCATTAGAGTCTCTGCTTGGATAGTTTAGTGCTTAGCTAATGATTGAATGGATATTTTCTTAAATGCTTTGAGCCAATAAATCCCCTAGCTTTTGCTGAGAGGCTGTGTGTGCTGGGGCATGCCTTGCACATTGTGGTAGGTAGTTTACGATTCTTCCTTAGCCTTTATTTTCTGCATTGTACTGAAACTCAAGGTCAGACAGAGGTGAGAGATTAGAGTCTTCTTAGGTGTTTTTTGGGTGTGTTCACAGTCCTGCATGTACATGCATGTCCTGCATGAAATTCTGGATTCCTAGGTATATGTCAGAGCTTTTCAAGGAACTATATGGACTCTTATTGCCCATTTTTTTTTAACTTTTTTGGTTAGCTTCTTGTTAGTACCAAACAGTTTCACCACCGCAGGTATCTGTGATGTTAAACAGTTGCAACTGATTGTTTTCAACAAATGCACCAGGGATAGGGCTGTTTGCACAGAGCAAGTTCTGAACCAGGTCAAATAAAGACAAACCCTGAGAATGGAACTTTTCAAGGTGCTTCCAGACAGGTCAAATAATGACAGTTTACTTAGTATGGGGCTTTTGAGAAGATCTAAACCTATTCTGCCCCATCCAGTGGCTGCTGGATGGTTTTCAAAGCTACTGTAGTTGTGAGGCTGTTGGCTTACTAGGCTACTGTAGAGCTGGAGAGAAGTAGTTGAGAATTGGGCAGATCAAAATGCCCTAAAGCTCACTGTACTCACCAAGATTCAGTAATTTTTCTTTAATAAATACTCCTTGGATTGTTGTGTTTGGTTAATTTCTGGAGTTGGTTTTAACTATTTTTGCCAGTGTACTCCCTTTTATGGAGAAGCAGATTTTCTACCACTCTAGAAGTGCTTCTCCCAGATTTATTTTTATTGCTTATTATCCTGAATAGGTCCCTCAGCTTCCAGGTGCCTAAATCTTTGAGCACAGTGTAGTATTTTCATCAAATATCTTACAATTATTATGACAAAGTAATGCAAAAGGCCAAACATATATTTGACATGGTGAGTATATAAAAACAGGCCTTGATGTTTCTTAAAAGTTCTGCTCCAAGGATGTCCTCTCCCCAGGGGAGTATACAACCGAAGTGTCAAAAACCTGCCAATTCCTCATTTTATGTGAGAGCTAAAATTTCTGGGTAAATGAAAGTGAAATATTTAGACCTGCTTTCCTACCTAAGTGACTGTGAAATCATGTTGGGAACCCAAACCCCAGGAAGATTGTGTTGTTTTAATCTTATGTGCTAATTAATTTGAAGATGAAGTATTTAAATAGAGGTGCAGGAGGGATAAACTGTGGAGGGAGGGGGTTAACACTTCTGCCTGGTGGATGCATAGGTGCTTATTATTGGTACTCTTCATATATACTATATATACACACATATATATAGTATGCATATATCCAAATAGGCATCCTTTGCTTTGCAGGTTCAGATATGACTGATGTCAGCTATTTAGTTAAATAACACCAGTATCTCAACAATATGGTTGAAATTTTAGTTACTGGATGGGGCATGGTGGCTCATGCCTATAATTGCAGCACTTTGAGAGGCTGAGGTGGGAGGATCGCTTGAGCCCAGGAGTTTGAGACTAGCCTGGGCAACATAGTGAGATCCCGTCTCTTCAAAAAATAAAAATACAAAAATTAGCCAGGCTTAGTGGTGTATGCCTGTAGTTCCAGCTACTTGGGAGGCCCAGGTGGGAAGATCGCTTGAGCCTGGGAGGTAGAGGCTCTAGTGAGCCATGATTGTGCCACTGCACTGCAGCCTGGGCAACAGCATGAGATCCTGTCTCAAAAACAAAACAAAGCAAAAACAAAAAAAACAAATTTTAGTTATCATGCTATTTTAGCTGTGAACAAACATAGTACAATCTTTGCTTCTAGCTCTTTAGTCCACAAAACCCTATGTAAACAATAGATGTCCATAACAACCAGTGACCAATCACAGCAGTTCTTTCAAAATCTGTCAGTGACGGGTCATTGCACTGTTAGTTTAGGCACTGGCAGCAAAGTGTGCAATTGTGTTGCTTCCTTTTCTCCAAGTGTTAAACTCACACAGCATTGTATAAAAATGAATAATTGAAAGGGAATTGGTCAACAAAGATGAAAGTGCAGCAAAGAAATAAAAAAATGGTAAAGATGGAATTGAAGTGAAATTCAAATTGAATGCAAATGAAGTACTATAGAAGAAATAGACAACTGTGGGAGTGCTGACTTTCCAGAGACTAGATATGCAGTCAGTGAAACTTACTCAAAGCACACTGAATGAGGAAAATGGCTGTGACTAAAAGGATGAGGATGTCCCGGAGGAAATGAGGTCCACAAAAACATTTTACATTAAAGGAACTCTCTGAGACATTGCATGGCATTGGAAGTGCAAAGGATAAAATACTTGCGTGTAATCCAAATGTGATGTTTTGCTAAAGTACAGAAAAGGTGGTATATAAGAGTTACACTAGAAGAAGACAAGCACTGTTCAAGTTATTCTTAATAAGCTTTATTTTTACAAACACAAAAAATACTTTAATTCTCAATGTTTGAATGTTTTAAACTGATTTTTTTTCATTTCCATATACAGGGTATTTGTAACCATCAGTTAAGCGAGTTTTGAATGGTTCTTTTGTTGTTGTTTGTTCTTTCCAAGACAAGGACTTGCTCTGTCACCCAGGCTGGAGTGCTGTGGTGCGACCTTGGCTCACTGCAACCTCGGCTTCCGGGGCTCAAGTGATTCTCCCCCCTCATTCTCCTGAGAAGCTGGGACTACAGGTGCACACCACCACGCCTGGCTAATTTTTTTTTTTTATTTTGTAGAGACCGGGTCTCACTGTGTTGCCCAGGGCTGGTCTCGAACTCCTGGGCTCATGCCATCTTCCCGTCTGGGCCTCCCAAAGTGCTGGGATTACAGGCGTGAGCCACCGTGCCCGGACTGCTTTGAATGTTTTGAGAAAAACTGTTTAAAGTCGTGAAACAATCTTAATTTTTCCCAGTGATTATTAAGGTAGTTTTGCATGGTTCAGTCATTTCCAGCGTCCAGAATTACCGTGCAAGCGAGGACTGCATGCGCGTGTAGTACGTATTCGCCATATGCATTATATGTCAATGTGAAGTCAACCACTTTGGGATAGAACACATCAATTGATAGTTACAAACCAACAGGCAGCGTCTCGTTTTTGTTGTTGTTGTTGTTTGTTTGTTTGTTTTAATCCGCGCTGGAAGTGTGCTGTTGGGATTCTCTTTGGGTGCTAACGGTTGAGAAGGAGCTCCTGCCAGCCGCTGAAAACACCGCGGCACGCGGGCGCAGGGCCTGGGCAGGGCGGCCGGCGCGCAGGTGGCCCGGCCTCGCCCAGCGGCTCCGGAGCGGGGGCCAAGCCAGCCCGGCCTCCCGCGAGACCCGCACCCGCCCACCGGAGCGCGCCGCCGGGCCACGGCCTGCAGGGGTGGAAGGGGCGGCGGCGGCGGGAGCTGCGGGCCACGCACGGCGGCGGCGGCGGGAGCGGCCGGGCACGCACGGCGACGGCGGCGGCGGGAGCGGGAGCCCGGGCCACGCACGGCCGCAGCTGCGGGTGCGGCGGGCGCGGGAGCGGTGGGAGCTGTGGTGGCGGCGGATGGCCCAGAGCTGATCTATGCGGCGCCTGGAGGGGCTGTGTCTGCGGCGGCGGCGGAGGCGGCGGGGCCCTGCCCGCGAGCGGAGCGGGGACAAGATGAAGTACCAGAAATACCTGACGGTGCTGCAGATGGCCATCGGCGTCACCCCCTCCAACCGCGGCAGCCTCCTGCCGCTCAAGAGGAAGCTGTGGTGAGGCGGCCGCGCGGGCGCGGAGCCCCAGCCGGGCTAGGCGCGGAGCGGGGCGGGGGCCGGAGTGGGAGAGCGAGCGGCGGCCGGGGCGGTCGGGCGGGGGGCGAGGCCGCGACTGTCGGGCCCGACGGGACGCGGGGCGCGCCGCGCGGGGCGCAGCAGCCAAGGCCGAGCCCAGGGCCGAGCGCCGCCTTGTACCGCGTGCCCGCTGACTGGTTTCGCCGAGACCCTCGCTGTGCCCGCGGCGCGTAGGGCGACGGGGAGCGGCCGGGACGCCTGGCACCCGCACCCGGGCGTCGGCCTCCCGCCTCTGTCTGTCCTTTCTGCTCCATTACGGCGGGTTCTGGCTCAGAATTTCCAGCCAGGCTCTCGCGGAGACAGCAGAAGAATTCATTGGTATCACGGTGTGCGTTTTCAGTTATTTTCCAAAAATTCGTCTGCTGCTGAGTGCATAGTAGAGGACGAGCAAGGCAAGGGGAATAAGTTGGGAAATTATTATTGCATTGTCAGGGACTGTATTCCACCTGCATGCGTTCCAGTTCCTCCGACCTGGAAACTGTTACTGAGGTAATGAGGAAAAAACATCCTTAAAGAAAAATGTCTGGACCTTACTGGTTTACGTTGCTGATTATCTACAGGATTGTATATTGCATTTTATTAATAATAATCCGTAATCCATGCGGAATCCCAGGAGCCACCTAGGTATGCCACTGGCTTGAGATTTAGGATTAAGATTCTTTTGCAAAAGAAATAACCTAGTAAAGGGAAGATGACTACAGAAAAAAGATGCCAGTTATGGCATTGGTCATTTTAATTTTAAAATTAGTGGTCAGTGTAGTTCATAAAGGTTTTATTCAATTCAATTGAGCACAGTCTAATTTAATCCTAAGGTTGTAGAGAAAGGAGATGAGGCTGCTTTTAGGTAATGAGGAAAGTAATTCCTGCTCTATAAGACAGTGTGAAAGAGTGATCCTTACCAAAAAAGTATATAGCGTGATCAGCCAAGAAAAAGATGGGTTAAGAAAAAGAATCCTAAAAGTGGAGAATTTTGAAGGTAAGACAAATATGGACAGCAAAGTTCAGAATTCAGTTGTGCCACTTACTGTGTGACCTTAAGTTCCTGGAGTGTCTGTTTCTTCCTCTGTAAAGTGAGAATCTTGTTATCTCCCTCATGGGGATATACACAGATCAACTCTGATAATGAATACAAAGGTGTCTACCACTGTGCTTGGCTTAATAATAGGTGCTTAGTAAATGTTAGTGTCTTTCTGCCCCCACCAGTTTGGTTTTTTTTTTTTAAATAAATTTATTCTGCAAAAGATACTTTAATGTGCCGGGTATAGTGGCTCACACCTGTAATCCCAGCACTATGGGAGGTCGAGGCAGGCGTATCGCCTGAGGTCTGGAGTTCAAGACCAGCCTGACCAACATGGTGAAACCCCATCTCTACTAAATAAACAAACAAATAAACCAAAAAAATACAAAATTACCCGGGCATGGTGGTGTGTGGCTGTAATCTCAGCTACTTGGGAGGCTGAGGCAGGAGAATCGCTTGAACCCGGGAGGCAGAGGTTGCAGTGAGCCAAGGTCATGCCACTGCACTCCAGCCTGGGCGAGAGTGAGACTCCTATTTCAAAAAAAAAAAAAAGATATTTTAATGTGATGAACAGCAAGTGACAACACTTAGAAGACAAGGTTAGCCACAGTTCAATTAAAACATGTCCGTGGGAGATGTTAGCAAATAAATGAAGACTGTCACTACAGTGAAGGAAGAAGGGGTAACATTTGAAGATCGCTTCTCAGATTGATGGTATGTGGGGGTATGGGAAATATCAGCACCAGCAGTCATATCTCCCATTTTGCTTTTCTCCTGAGCCCTTATCAATAACTAACACATTGTTTATTTTACTTATTTTTCATATATATTCCCCTTCTCCTCACTAAAATGTAAGTTGCATGAGGGAGGGCTTTTGTTTGTTTCATCCATTACTGTAAAACCCTGCAACGGATGTCTGGTACAAATGTACCAGAAAGCTTCTCAATAAATATTTGTTGAATAAATGGATTCTTAATAATTTGTGATTGGGAAATAATATGTTAGGAAATCTGTTTTCTTAATGTTCAGTTTAAAATTATTTATTATTTATTTATTTATTTATTTATTTTGAAACAGTTTTGCTCTTCTTGCCCAGGCTGGAGTGCAATGGCAGATCTCGGCTCATTGCAACCTCCACTCCAGGATTCAAGTGATTCTCCTGCCTCAGCCTCCTGAGTAGCTGGGATTACAGGCGCCTACCACCACACCCGGCTAATATTTTGTATTTTTAGTACAGATGGGGCATTACCATGTTGGTCAGGCTCGTCTCAAACTCCTGACGTTAGGTGATCCACCTGCCTTGGCCTTCCAAAGTGCTGGGATTACAGGTGTGAGCCACTGCGCGCGGGCCAGTTTAAAAATCAAGATGTGGGAATAATATTTGAGGAATTATTAGACATCAATATTAGCAGCATTTGGTCACAAAGTTAGGAAACTATATTTATTATTTTCCATCATTGGGGTTCTGCTTCTGAAAACACATTCTCTAAACACAGAATTTCTGAAGAGAGGACACAAGGAAATAAAATCCAGGTAACTTTTATATCCAAGCAATTCATGTTTGAGGTAGGCAGTGAGTTAGGGCCAGGGATAAAAACCATCTTACTAAGAGGCGGCCTGGAAAAGGCAAGAGGCTTTTGTTGAGCTTTTCCATGATCTTAGATAATCATTTCTTAATTTCCACTCATTGTTAACTTGCAAACATTCATCTGATTCTACAGCGGCAAAGGGAAGGGTATGCTCTATGAAGACTCTGGAGTGAGTGGCTCTTTTAAACAGAGATGTAGAATACTTCATATTCTTAAGTTGGAGAACATTGTGCCGCCAGATTTATTTTTCTCTTATACGCTTTGGATTTATTTTTTAGATAATGTTTCATTTTGCTAGTTTCATAGCAACCGCACATGGAGCATTGGAGACATAAGGCACCATCATATGTCTAGAAGATAGTAGGATGTAGGTCCTGACTCTAGAGTGGTGGGTGGAAACCAATAGCAGACATCAACAATGCTTGTAAGACTTTGGAATGCACCAGCTTGTGCCTGTTTACAAATGTGAGGGCCTGACGTGGTGGCTCATACCTGTAATCTCAGCACTGTGAGAGACCAAGATGGGTGGACCACTTGAGGTCAGGAGGTCGATACCAGCCTGGTCAATATGGTGAAACCCTGTCTCTACTAAAAATATATAAAAATTAGCCAGGCATGGTGGTGTGTGCCTGTAATTCCAGCTACTCAAGAGGCTGAGGCAGGAGAATCGCTTGAACCTAGGAGGCGGAGGTTGCAGTGAGCCGAGATTGTACCATTGCACTCCAGCCTGGGTGACAGAGCAAGACTCCATCTCAAAATAAATAAATAAATAAATAAATAAATAAATAAATAAATGTGAGGATGTATTATGAAAACTGGTCAAGGCATATGTGAAGATTTATATGAAGATATTTATATATCTGTGTTTCTCTGTCTTTACTGCAGTCTATATGGAAAGGCTTCTGCCAGTGTAAAGGGCAGGGTTGCATGCCTTATTCCCACACTTCCATCTCGCTTGGGCATTTGTGCCTGTCAGTTTTTCTTTGTGCAATATCTCCTGTCTTTCTGATTGGCTCTACAAATCTCGTAAGGAGAATTATATTTGCAGACCAACTTAGGTGGAAACTAAAGCAGACAGTCAGACCCACATCAGTGGAGCCTGTAGGAACTCTCTTTTCCTCATCCCCTTCTTCAAGAAATTTAGAAAGCAGGGGCGTTTGCAGTGTTTGGTTCTGAATCATTACTTAGGAACACAGAACAAAGCCTGGTTACCTCTACCTGAGGTAGGTATAAGTTTGCAGAGCCTGCTGGCTTCCTTTGGGGGACACCCTGGAATTGCCAGCGATGAAAAGAAGCAGTGGGGCTTTGTGTTTTCAGGGGCTGCTGTAACAGATCACATAAACTTGGTGGCTGAAAACAGCAGAAATTTATTTTCTGAGTTATGGAGGCTAGAAGTCCAAAATCAAGGTGTTGGCAGGGTCACACTCCCTCAAATGCTGTAGGGGAGGATCCTTCCTTGCCTCTTTCGAACATTCTTTGTGGCTGCATCAATCCATTCTCTGCTTCTGTCTTCACATGACCTTCTCTGTGTCTCTGTGTCTCTGTGTCTTCTCCTGTCTCTCTTTTTTTAAAAGACTAAAACTTTTAATTTTTAATTTATTTCAAATTATAAACTAGGAACTCATAAAATAAATGCTCCATTTTATAATATGATGTATACATATGCAGACAGATTCTTCTGCAGGCCATATTAGAATCTCCACTGCAACTAAAACAGCTCTCCTCTGACATCCTTGAGTCTTGCTTCCTTATTCCTCTGTCTCTTATAAGGACACTTGTCATTGGATTTAGGGCCCACCTGGATGATCCAGGATGATCTCATCTGGAGATCTTTAATTACATCAGCAAAGACTTTGTTTCTAAACATGGTAACATTCTAAGTAAGGTGACATTTATGCTGCTGTTCTGCAGGTATGAGGCACAAATAATAGTTACTCCTTTTTAATGTAAAATGTGAAAAATATTTTCATAATTTATTGCTATCAGCAGTCTTGAGTTTTGCACTAAGTGCTTTAAGAGTATTTACAGTGGGCTGGGCACAGTGGCTCACACCTGTAATCCCAACACTTTGGAAGGCTGAGGCGGGCAGATTACAAGGTCAAGAGATCGAGACCATCCTGGCCAACATGGTGAAACCCTGTCTCTACTAAAAATACAAAAATTAGCTGGGCGTGATGGCGCGTACCTGTAGTCCCAGCTGCTCGGGAGGCTGAGACAGAAGAATCGCTTGAACCCAGGAGGTGGAGGTTGCAGTGAGCCGAGATCATGCCACTGCACCCCAGCCTGGCAACAGAGCGAGACTCAGTCTCAAAAAGAAAAAAGTATTTACAGTGATCTTAGGGAGAAAAGGGGGTGTGATTTCATTTTCTTTATACTCTAAAAACATTTCCCCAGTTATTTGATTCAGTGATTATTTAAGGCCATGCACTATCAGTATATTCATTCAAGTAGTCATCTAATAATCAGATTCCAAAAACAATAAGAGTTGCTATTCATTGAGCTATTACTTGCTGCACTCTATATTAGTGCTTTCCAAGTATCTTGTCATTATTTAACTTATAGCACCCCATGAGGCTGTATTTTCTCGGTTTTACAAATTAGGTCATTGACTTGCTCAGACTCATACAATTGATCAAGGTTCAAAAGACAATTGATCAGTGAGATGACAGTCTAGAAGGAGAGAATAACTGAAAACAGATACTAAAATGACTGGTAATTGCCCGATAGAAGGTTGTTTCTCCAAGGGTGGTCCCCCGGCCCACTCATGGATCACTGAGGTCCTCCTGTTGGGACGTGAAGGGCTCCAATACCCAAGTCCTTTCATAATTTTTTCTTTTTTTGAGACGAAGTTTCACTCTTGTCACCCAGGCTGGAGTGCAATGGCGCGATCTCAGCTCACTGCAACCTCCGCCTCCCGGGTGCAAGTGATTCTTCTGCCTCAGCCTCCTAAGTAGCTGGGATTACAGGTGCCCACCACCACACCTGGCTAATTTTTTATATTTTTAGTAGAGACGGGGTTTCACCATGTTGGCCAGGCTGGTCTCAAACTCCTGACCTTCAGGTGATCCACCCACCTTGGCCTCCCAAAGTGCTGGGATAACAGGCGTGAGCCACTGTGCCCAGCCCACAATTTTTTAAATGACCTAATTATTGGCAGTTGTGCACATTATTTTTTCTAAGTTCATCAGATGACTATTTACTGTTAACCTATTACATGAGTTATTAAGCTTTCTGAAGTCCAATGCTTATAAACAAAAATTAGCATTTTACTAGCTTTTCCTGAAGTGTCCTTCAGAAGGATTTAGCATCCTTTTAAAGCCAGCTGCCCTTCTGTACTTAGCAGTGTCTCACAGCTCCTTGGCTCACACTGTTGTTTGGAATTCCCCTCAAGTGGAGGAAGGGGACAGCTTTGCTGTCACTCATTAGCCTTCTCTTGAGTTGGCTGTGGCTGTCAGTTGCTGGTATCTTAAAACAAATATCTTGTAGAAGGATTATTAGATGTTACTTTGTTGATAGATTTGTCCTTGTGTGACTGCTTTGTTTTTGCCATCTTGATTATTTTTGCCCGATTCTGTGTTATTATTGAGTTCTTTTCCACTGGAAATTAGAAATGGGTGGTGTAGATGAGCTTGGGAGTTGTTTGTCTTAGAATGGTCAGAAATATTTGTAGCCAAAGCTCCTGAGTTGGAAACAAAAGGCATGAATATCTGAGGCTTCCTGGGAACATTGGGCTTTCAAGGATGGGGAGTAGAAAAGCATTCCAGCAGAGGGAAGGGTGTGGGAGGGATGGTTGCAGAATGTCAAGAAGTTGTGCTGCACTGTGGTGCAAGTATTTTGGACTAGTGAAAATTTGTATCTCTGTCAGATTTAAATGACTTTGCTAAGGACCGAGTCCCATGTCAAAGATGTAGCAGTCCACATTTGGCCTGTAGCCAGCAGAGCGCCCAACAGAGCTTTGTAGGTGTGACATAATGGGTGGAGTTGGATTGGTGTATATCTTTCTCCTGCATGTCCTTGACCAGGGAAGATACATTCAAGGAACAAGAACTAAATGTTAACAGTTTTCTGGGTTGTTAATAATATTGGGGCAGGTGCTGGCTATCACCCAAATGAGGGTCTGTCTAGGAAGCTGTGCTGGAGCAGGCCACACTGGTCTGCAAGCCTCTGAGGGGATGCTTCCTCTCTTACCTCGGGAGCTATGATGGTGGAGGCTGCAGTGCAGACCAGACCTGTTCTAGCAGTGTCAGGTGAAGAGAAGGGAAATGGGCAGATCAAGTGGGGGACTGCCTCCAGGGGCCAGGCCTGTGGTCTGTGTTCATCCGGTAGGGGTAGGAAGTGGAACGAGAGGGTGGGCCCTGGACTTCAGCGTTTGATGCATATCAGCCATGCCCACAAGTAAAGTACACTCTCACAAGGGAAGTTACAAAGCAGGTGGAGAGAGGCAGAAGTTTTCTCCCCACCTTCCCTCTAGGGAGGATAAAATGGAATTAAGAATTAGGAAACTACTCGGGAGGCTGAGGCAGGAGAATGGCGTGAACCCGGGAAGCGGAGCTTGCAGTGAGCCGAGATTGCGCCACTGCAGTCCGCAGTCCGGCCTGGGCGACAGAGCGAGACTCCGTCTCAAAAAAAAAAAAAAAAAAAAAAAAAGAATTAGGAAAAGTAAAACCTCATTGTAAGCTAAATATTGATTTCCCTACATCAGTTCCCAACTTTATTTCCCTGTCATAAAGGGCCATTCCCCTAAATATGCGGGGAATAATCCCTGAAGTCTGAGTTACTCAGCTCAGATCTGCACCATCAGGGCTGGGGAAGAGTAGTACCAGGGGATTAAAAGAATTTATATTCCATGTCAAATGGAACTGTCCTTGGTGGACTCTTTGTATAGCTCTTCTCACCTGAGTTACAGGTACGCAGCTGTGTTCTTGTGAGTGTCCAGAAAACAATGAAACACACACGCCCCTCCCCAAGACAAATATTTTTAAAGACAGTAATAAACAAAAGAGAAGCAACATCTAAAATTCACCTATTCCTACAAGAGCACTTCTACTTACACCAGAGTTAATATTCTGCATTATTATCTAGATCAGTGTTTTTTCTTTTCTTTATTCCACACCAAACAAAGGGGGGTCATTATTGAGCCATATGCCTTTTAACAGTTTACCTCAGCTTCCCAAAGATCTGGTCAAAGCTTTAAAGTTCCTGAAGTTACTCTGTAGAAGCCTGGTTAAATTCTTAGACAAGGTACCATCTTCCTGTGGAGTCTGTGGGCAGGGTAGGTCCAGAGCTGATTTTCACCTGGTATACACCACTTTAGCGCTACTGATTATTACTTTTTTTTTTTTTTTTGAGACATGGTCTCACTCCATTGCCCAGACTGGAGTGCAGTGGTATGATCACCATTCGCTGCAACCTCGACGTCCTGGCCTTAGGTGATCTTCCCACCTCAGAGTCCCAAGTAGTTGGGACCCATAGGCATGTGCAATCCCGCCTGGCGAGTTTTTTTGTATTTTTTGTAGAGACGGGATCTCTCTATGTTGCCCAAGCTGGTCTCAAACTTCTGGGCTCAAGAGATCCTCATGTCTCGGCCTCCCAAAGTGCTGATATTACAGCATGTTTTTATTATGATCCTGGTAGGGAGGGCAGTGGATCTATTCTTCTAGTTTTGTTTATGATCATTTTATTTTTCTGTTTTACTTTGTCACTGGATTTAGTATTACATTGAGTTAACCCTGGTAAATTTCTTGACTATCTGCCATTTATAAAATTTGGTAGATATAAATTTTTATTACAGGCTCTTTTAGGCTTCTAGATTTGGCATAAAGGGAGAATAGTGATGCCTTTCTAAGTCAGATGAGAGAAAAACTTACGAAGAACACTAGACAGATTTATTTATTTATATTAAATGTTTGCATTAATTTTCTAAAATATGATCACACCTACCAGCGCTATCAAAATAAAGTGAGAGAGAAATGAGAAGTTGATTTGTATTTAGTTTTATAACTCTATTTTTCTTTCCCATATGTCCTCTTTTGAATAAAGTTCATTGTTTTCATGGAAGCTTTTACCCTGTGGAGAAGAGAACAAAGCTGTACAATGTTTCTTTTTATCCTAAGAATCATGAAAGTGGCATCAGTAAAATTTTACTTTGGGAGGCCAATTGAAAGGAAGACGCCCTAGAAATTCAATGAAAGAAGAAAATTAATTTTTAAAGCTACGACAAAATTAATAATAATCTGAGTAAACAATAAAGAATGTCATCAGTGGACCCGTAATTTTGAGGACTCTTTGAAATGTAACTAGTAGGTAGGGATAGATCTGTTGAGAGAAAACGTTACAGTTGTCCGGAGCACTGGGGTCAGAGAGGCAGGGCTGTCCTAGAGGTAGCTACTGACTTGCAAGAGAAGCTGCCTCACAGACCTGGCAGCGTATCCCATCTCTCTGCCAGAGTTCCTGAAGGCAGGCCACAGTAGTCGCAGTGGGGAAATGGATGTTTTCCAATACAAATGTAAGTAGACATTAAAAATCACCAAACAATTCAAGAAAGCCAGTACCCAGAGAATTACCAAATTAAAACACAGAACTAACTCCTGAGAAAATAGAAAAACATTAGATGGTGATTTTCAGAAGAAAAAAAGGTTATTTTTGGAAAGATGCATGAGAATATTGCATTAATTAAAAAAATACTAGATACAGGCCAGGCGTGGTAGCTCACACCTGTAATCCCAGCACTTTGGAAGGCTGATGGTGGGCAGATCACGAGGTCAGGAGATGGAGACCATCCTGGCTAACATGGTGAAACCCCGTCTCTACTAAAAATACAGAAAATTAGTCAGGTGTGGTGATGAGCGCCTGTAGTCCCAGCTGCCCGGGAGGCTGAGGCAGGAGAATGGCGTGAACCCAGGAGACGGAGCTTGCAGTGAGGTGAGATCGCGCCGCTGCACTCCAGCCTGGGAGGCACAGCGAGACTCCGACTCAAAAAAAAACAAAAAAAAAAAACTAGCTACTTTAGAAATTTAGAATTTACTGATTCATAGAAAAGACAATGGCTGAATTCACAAAACTAAAAAAGCAAGTTTGCAATCTGGAGAAGTAAGTTAAAGAATCACAAAAGAGCAAAGAGATCAAAAGTATGAACAAGAAGCCAGGAAACCTGAACACTATTTCTAAGGGAAGGTGGGGCTTTTTGTAGGGATGTGGAGTTGCTGGGAAAGAGGGGGAATGAAGACGTGCTAATGCCACTTCTTGTTTAGGAGGAGGTGAGCATACTCATGAGCCCTAGGTGTTGATAGGAAAATATGAGTTTATGTGTGTGTGTGTGTACATATACGTGTGTGATGGATACATATATAAAGATGTTAATGTACATGTGTGTATATAGCTAACTAGAGTTAGAGTTTCCCTAATAAGATGTATAACTTTCAAACTACTGAATGGAAAGGGAAAAAGGTCTTAGGGTGGTTGAGGACAAAGTAAACTCAATCATATTAATAAGGCAGAAACTTAAGAAGAAAGCATTAAACACAAAACAAGATGGCAGGAATAGATCTAAACATATGAGTAAAAACAATAAATTTGAATGGATTAAGTTTCTCTTAAAAGACATTAACCCTCAGATTGGGTAAAGAAAGAAAAAAATCCAGCTACATGCTACTTATCCAGAGTTAAAGGTACAACTTAAAAAAAAAAAAAACTAAAAAGAGAGAGAGACTTCGAACACTTGAAAATACAAACACAAGATAAATCAGGAAATGGTTAATATAAAAATGTAGATGGGAAAATTATCATCAGACAAAATGGCATTTAAGGTAAAATATTTAATTGGCATAGTCTTTTTATATGATAAAAGATTAAATCCCTAAGAAGATATGTGTCATAAACATCAAGACATCTAATAAAAAACAATTGAAATATAAAAAGCAAAAACTAAAAGACATAGATTAATTGACAAGTCCATGTTCAAGGTGGGAAATCCTACAATAGTCCTTTATACAGAATCAGCAGTTCAACAGACAAAAATATAATGAAGGACATGGAGAAGTTGAGTGATAAAAATAATAAAGTGATAAAGTTGCCCTTGTATTTAAGGACTCCCCCAAATGGGTATTCTCATATACTGTTGATGGAAGTGTAAATTTGTAAAGCTTTTTGGAAAGGTATTACCTATCAGCATGTAGGAAACTCCCATCTCTGACTCTGCCTTTCTACTTTGAGCAATCTTTCCTAACTAAATAATGCATTTGTACCCAAAGATGTTGCCAAGGATGTTCATTGCTGTATGGTTTGGTAACAAACATAGGAAAACAAACTAAATGCCCATTAGTAGGGGAATAGTTGAACAAATTATATTACATCTATGTTATGGGATACCATTTAGCCATTAAAAAGAGTGAAATAGTTCTGTATGGATTATTATGGGAAGAACGTTAAGATATATTAAGTGAAAAATGTAAGGTGCAGGACAATACACACAATTTGGTAAAAAAATTGAAAAGGAAATAAACACATCTGTATATAAGCATGAGCATTTGTCTGGGAGATTATACAATACAAACAACTGTTAATAGTGGTTGATTTTGGAAAAGGGGAGTTTGGGATGAGGGAGAAAAGGGCAGCTTTTACTTTCCATTTTTATATCTTTTTATACCCTTCAAATGTTTTAACTCTATGGATGTATTACTTTTATTCTAAACTGTAGCCATATCTAGTCTATTTTATGATATTTACTGTGTCTGTATGTATATGTATGAACATGTATTCCAGTGTGCACTTTATAGATGGCTTATACTATTTGCTACTTCTTGTTGTCTGTGTTTTCATGTTTCCATAATTATGCTGAATTAAGTGTGTGCTATCATGTTTAGATTTATGTTATTTTCATGCTTAACAAAACCATGCTGAACAGTATCTGTGATGGACACAATGATAGCTCACTTGTACTGGGTGTGCTAGGCACCGGACTGAGTGTTGAATAAATAACTGCCCAGAAGGAAGCAGATGCCCCTAAGTTACCTAGAAAACTTCAGTCTAATATTAATGGCTTCTTCAATAGTTGTAGAATTGATATTTAATGAATCTTTTTTTAAAAAAAAACCTTATAAATGAGACAGGGTCTTACTCTTATCTCTCAGGCTGGAGTGCAGTGGTGGCTCACTGTAGCCTTGACCTCCCAGGCTCAAGCAATCCTCCCACCTCAGCCTTCCAAGCAGCTGGGACCACAGACATGCACCACCAGGACAGGCTAATTTTTTTATTCGTGTGTGTATATGTAGAGGCAGGGTCTCCCTGTATTGCCCAGGCTGGGCTCGAACCCCTGGGCTCAAGTGATCCTCCTGCCTTGGCCACTGAAAGTACTGAGATTACAAGGTGTGAGCCACCACCCACAGTCTAATAAATCTTAATGTTGTACTATTTGAATCCTGTCAAGATGTCTTAACTAGCTAAGAAATAGTTAGAAAGGGTATCTGATAGAATGTAGCTCTGCTGTGGTTCTTAGCTTTTTGGCTGGAAAAAGGAGTGTGACATTTCCAAAGCTGCCTTTGAGTAAATGCTTACCTCAAACTTGAGAAATGTGTTCACCTGTAAACCTGCCTTTTTAAGAATTTTTTTCTTTCTTGCAGGGTAACGCCATCCTCTGAAAATCCTAATGGTGCTACTTCTAGTGTCAGCCAAGGAAAACCCTCTTTAAGACGAATTAAAGGGAGATTACACAGAAGCAAAAGCCTTGATAGCATGGATTTCTGTGAGCTCACTGTAAGTGGACTGATCAATGCTTTTCTCATTTTTCCAAAGAGTATGAAAGTTTTTATTTTATTATTTTCATAAAAATGCAGCAGACTTATTTTGTGGCAGGCATTTTTTAATTTTAGAAATGGTTCACCCAACAGTTTACCAACCAGAATGTTTTCTTAACTAGCATGGATATGATAACATTGGTAAAATGGTTCATAATGATGATTCTGATCCAAATATGAAGATAGAGAAATGCTTCCTGACCTCTACAAGAAAAATTGATTTAAGTTCGATAGAGTATTAATGTGAATATCTTATAAAATCACAAATCCACATGTTAATATAAGTAGAGACTTAAGTGTCTGATTAACCCCAAACACCCAGCTTCCTGGTAGTGCCAGACAATAATTACTCTGATATTATTAGTACGGATCCCAATTCAGTTAATGATGGTGCTTTCTTTCTATTCTTTTTTTTTTTTTTTTTTTTTTTTTTTTTTAAAGAGCCAGGGTCTCCTTCTGTTGCCCTGACTGGAGTGCAGTGGTGCAATCATGGCTCACTGCAGCCTTGAACACCTGGGCTCATGTGATCCTCCCACATCAGCCTCCCAAGTAGTTGGGACTATAGGCGTGTGCCACTATGCCTGGCTAGTTTTTTAATATTTTGTAGATATGGGGTCTCACTATGTTGCCCTGGCTGGTCTTGAACTCCTGGCACTTTCTTTTTATTCTAAGTGATTACATTAATGGTCATATTTTTTTCAAGGCCAAGTGACAGGTTCTTATTTCTCATATGGAAATGTGGTAAATTCATGCATGTTTTTGGAGGAACACTGGCACTTTCAGGCCCCACTTGAATAAAAAAGATACTGTAATGCCATAAAGCAAATACTAGAATTTTCTTTGCTGTAAAAAGGTTTTATTTCAATTGGTGTATCATAAGGTTCAATGGCAAATTAATGAATGTTTAGGTTATTTGGTAGACCTGATATGTTCATTTCTGTCCTTTGAGTTTTGAAAAATTTTGAATGATAAAGGTACCATCGGCCATTGTTTCAAAAAATGACATCAAAGTATGAAACTAAATTCTGTCTTTTTCATCTCTTATCTATAACTACTGAAAATAAAAGCTCAGTAAATGTGAATACTCTATTATTATTATTTTTTTTTTTCTGAGATGGAGTCTTGCTCTGTTGCCCAGGCTAGAGTGCAGTGGCACGATCTCGGCTCACTGCAACCTCTGCTTCCCGGGTTCAAGCAATTCTCCTGCCTCAGCCTCCTGAGTAGCTGGGATTACAGGCGCCCGCCACCACGCCTGGGTAATTTTTTGTATTTTTAGTAGAGACAGGGTTTCACCATCTTGGCCAGGCTGGTCTCAAACTACTGACCTTGTGATCCACCCGCCTCGGCCTCCTAAATTGCTGGGATTACAGGCGTGAGCCACCGTGCCCGGCCAATACTCTATTTTTTTTACATTTATTTTAATTTGTTTACATTTATTTTACATGTATTTTTACATTTTTACTAAAATAATTTTATTCAAGCATTTTACCTTAAAATGTTCTTGAATGCTTTTATGACACAAGACATAAATAGGTAAAATGTGACCTACCAGAAGACATTTAACCAAGAACAGAAAAAGAATAAAAAGACAGTAAATTCTTGCTGAGTAGAACTAACAGTTAAGGTGACTAAAGAAAATATAAATGTACTTCAAAATGAAGTGAATTGCTTTTCAAAAGTGAAACATTGAATTAATCAAGAAACAAATTTAAATTATTTGTTGGAATATAAAAATGGAAATTTAAATTTTATCAGCTTTTTTTCTATTGTGCAAAACATTGTCATTACTGAAGCATAATCATATAACTAATTAATTTTACATGTCATAAAATATATTTATTTGCATAAACAGAATCATTCTGGTTGGTGGAGAGGTTATAATGTTTCTAGAATGTAGCAGACAAAAAGCTTTACAGAGAAAAAGATGGCCTTCAGTTTTCCACAAATAGAAATGACAAATAGAGCCATGTTTTTATCATAATAAATATGTTTTAAAATTATGGAGAGTTTATTTTCTCCCTCATTTCATGAAAGAATTGATCTGGTTGAAGTTAGTACACACTCCAAGCAGGGAAAAAATAATGCTACCCAGGTGCAGAATTAATTTCTTTCTTTTTGATGGTTTTTCTATTTGACTCTGTCTCAAAAGTGAAATGTCTTAGTATCCCTGAAGGGAGGCATTTTAACATTGATGTTAAAAGAGAGGAAAAGTTGAGGTTCACAGAAGGCTTATTCCAGGGAGGAGCTGTATGTTCTGGTGTAATGGTTCCCTTGGCTTCATGGACGATGTTGTTTTAAATTTTGGTTTTCTACTTCTGAAGAGTGCATTGAAAAGCCATGGACTTTGGTATGCTGACATTTCATTCCTCAGCAATGGGAATGTATTAATGAAGTCTAATTTCTGCAATTCATTTGAGTTTTTTGCAACTTGTGTTCATTTTCTTACTCAGGTTTTTGAGGTCATGCGTGGTGGAGCAACAATTTACATTTCCTGTATCTTACTCTGCATGTTTTTAGATTGTTAGAAATTTTCACAATGCGCATGTTTCATTTTTAGAAAAGCAATAACTGATTTTCCAAGCAATAAAAAAAATAAATAAGAAGAGCTTAACAGCTTGGCTCCTCCCACTTTCTACCATAAGATATGGCAATTAATACTGTAATACCCAAAATATGTAGGGGCATATAGCATTTCTGGCATGGGGCTAAAAACATTTTTTTCCCTACACTTTAAAAATTCTGTCTTTTTGGCCAGGCATGGTGGCTCACGTCTGTAATCCCAGCACTTTGGGAGGCCAAGGTGGGTGGATCACCTGAGGTCAGGAGTTTGAGACCAGCCTGGCCAACATGGCACAACCCCGTCTCTATTAAAAAGACAAAAATTAGCTGGGCGTGGTGGCAGGTGCCTGTAATCACAGCTACTCGGGAGCCTGAGGCAGGAGAATGGCTTGAACTCGGGAGGTGGAGGTTGCAGTGAGCCAAGATGGTGCCACCGCACTCCAGTCTGGACGACAGAGCGAGACTCCGTTGCAAAAAAAAAAAAAAAAAAATCTGTCTTCTTTTATGAAAGAAGGAAGAGGGGGGCTACACATTTGAAAAAAACATGGATTCGAAAAGGGTTTCTTAGAAGATGAAAGGTATTCAGAATTGTTTTTCTAAGGAAGTTGACTTTGTAATATAATCATGTAGAACCAATTTAAAACCTTAGCCACAGAAGTCTGAAGGGAAGGTATTTGGTAAAGGATCTGTAATGACTTCTAATTACATAGGAATAGAAATCTTTATTTCCTTTAGGAAGTACCTTAGCCACCATAGATACCACTTTGTAAATGTTCTTACAGTTCAAACAACTCTGAAAACTTTACACACTATTTTACAAATTTATTTAAAAATTCTGATTAAATGTATGACTCCCTATGACTGCCAAAGTAAATACAGAACCTTGAAATAGGAAAGCTTAGACTTAGTTAATAATCTCCTGGCATATATACATATCAAATTTGTATAACTAACAGAATAATATTTCTATTTTTATTTTTATATTTTACTTTTAATTTTTCCAAATTTGTCTAAGGAAAAATACAACTTTTATTGCTTTTAGAAAAACATAGCAAGTGGAGCAAGAGATCCACTTGCTGTAGTTTCCTGGTCCCAGTTTCTGGCTGAGAGGCCTCAGGTTCCAGCTGAGCCTGTTGGCTTTGGTCCCGGGCATCATCAGAATGATGCCATTTCACTCCTGGGGAGAAGTGATTGTTTCAGCTTTCTCTGTGGGGATTAAATGGGATGGGCATTCTAGTTCATTTTGTAACCCTGCAGGATAATTGATTGGCATCCTAGTTTACTGACAGGGATTGGAATCCATCCAGTCTCCCTGGTTCCTTGAGGCAGTGTCCCAGAGATGCTTGGTAAAATTCTCTTAGGCATAGCCTGGACTCAACAATTCTGTTCTGTGTATGTGTTTTGCCTAGAAAACCTGAGCCCTTCTTCAATGTTGTAATGAGTAAAATGGTACATAAACCAGATGGCAGGTTCTTTTTTTTCCCCCTGGGGGTGATAGACATATAACAATCAATATGAAAAAGAAAAGTGACCTTTTGTCTTTAGATTTAGTGAATGATGTTTACATTCCTAGCTGTTCCATTTCACTCTGGTGTTGGATTCTAAGTGTATAGTCAAAGAAGTTTAAGTGATAATTTAAAAATTTAACAAATTGCTTGAAATTTTGCAGCTTCTTTTATTAAACCTCCTTCCTAAAATAGGGGAATGGAGCCAGTTGGGTGAAGTTCATTCTGTTTGGGAGGAAGGTATTCTAGAACATAAACTTAGGCAGTTTATTTCCTGCTTTGTGGGTGTAAATCTAGATTGCTGCTTATCTCTCTGCCAACAGAAAAATACTACAAAAAGTTTTGTGCAGTGAATAGAAACAATGATCCAATTAACAGTTTATGGTGATGTTCCCTTAACCTTGAGTGACAGGGGATTCAGTCATCACTGATAATCATTAGGCAAAAGGGATACATGTTTCAAAAACTTTAGAGGAGTTTTTGTCATTAGAGGGGGAAATATGTGAGAAGATATTATTTGGAATGTTACATTTGAGTACATTTTTGGGTTAATAAATCACATGTCACTGCTCCTTGAATAATTGTTTTGTTTTTTTAATAGCAGTGATTTTTTTTCGATTTGAAAAGACACTTCTTTCTCCTGATATAAAAAAGCATCTGGCCAGGCACGGAGGTTCATGCCTGTAATCCCAGCACTTTGGGAGGCCGAGGCGGGTGGATCTTCTGAGGTCAGGAGTTCGAGACCAGCCTGGTCAACCTGGTAAAACCCTGTCTCTACTAAAAATCCAAAAATTAGCTGGGCATGGTAGCGGGCACCTATAATCCCAGCTACTTGGGAGGCTGAGGCAGAAGAATCACTCGAACCCAGGAGGCAGAGGTTGCAGTGAGCCGAAATCATGCCATTGCACTCCAGCCTGGGTGACAGAGCAAGACTCCATCTCAAAAAAAAAGGAAAAGAAAAAAAGAGTATCCATGCAGACTAACAGGAAATATCTGTAACCCTGTGAAGATATCGAAGATGAAAAATTTCTCCTCCTCCCTCAACCCCTCATGTAATTGATGTAATTGATGCATGTAATTGATCAATTTAACTTATTTAACAAATGATTCTATGTGTGGCACTCACTAAATGCCACGCACTGTTCTAGGCACTTTAATTACATTAGCTATTTCCTCCTCATAACAACTTTGTCAAATAGATACAGCTATTACCATCAGCCTCATTTTACAGATAAGGATATGGGGTTACAGAATGTAACCTCGAGACTTCCTACTATGAGACTGGTGGGACCCTGAGAGGCCTCAGGGACCTGTTTTGACACAAAACTGCCTTTTGACTTTAAACACATCCTAAGTTTTTCTCCACCATGGGCGCCTGGCTGGTGAGAAGGGAGCTGGGCATGAAATGGTGAGAACACGGTAGAAAGAAAGTCCATGGAGGGACATGGACACCACTTCTGGGCTTCCCAGTTCTGTGGAAGGGACTGGCCCCTTCCCCCGTTCTCACTCCCACTCTTATCACCAGTTCTCCCATCACCAGTACGAGAGCCTGGAAGAAACTGCAGGGAGCATCGTGGGCTCCTCTGCTCTGGGCACACGGTGATGATTGAGTGGTTATGGTGGTAGAAGTAGTGGTAGTGGTGGAGGTGGAGGTCATGGTGGAGGTGGAGTTGGTGGTGGAAGAGGAGGTGGTGGTGATGATGGTGTACTTATGGTGGTAGAAGTGGTGGTGGTTATGGTGGTGGAGGTAGAGGTGGTGGTAGTAGTGGTAATGGAGGTGGTGGTGGTGGCACAGGAAGTGGTGGTGAAGGAGGTGGTGGTGGTGGAGGTAGCGGTGGTGAAGGTGGAAGTGGAGGTGGTGGTCATAGAGGTGGTAGTGAAGGAGGTGGTGGTGGTGGAGGTAGCGGTGGTAAAGGTGGAGATGGAAGTGGTGGTGGTGGTGGAGGTGGAGGTAGTGGTTGTGGTGGTGGTGGAGGTGGTGGTTGTGGTGGTGGTGGAGGTGGTGGTTGTGGAGGTGGTGGTGGTGGAGGTGGTGGTGAAGATGGTGGTGGTGGAGGTGGTGGTGGTGGAGGTGGTGGTGGTGGAGGTGGTGGTGAAGGTGGAGGTGGAGGTGGTGGTTGTGGAGGTGGTGGTGGTGGAGGTGGTGGTGAAGATGGTTGTGGTGGAGGTGGTGGTGGTGGTTGTGGAGGTGGTGGTGGTGGTGAAGGTGGAGGTGGAGGTGGTGGTTGTGGAGGTGGAGGTGGTGGTTGTGGAGGTGGAGGTGGTGGTTGTGGAGGTGGTGGTTGTGGAGGTGGTGGTGGTGGAGGTAGCAGTGGTGAAGATGGTTGTGGTGGAGGTGGTGGTGGTGGAGGTGGTGGAGGTAGTGGTGGTGAAAGTGGAGGTGGTGGTGGTGGAGGTGATGGCGGTGGAGGTGATGGAGGTGGTGGTGGTGGAGGTGGTGGTGAAGGTGGAGGTGGTGGTTGTGGAGGTGGAGGTGGTGGTGGTGGAGGTGGTGGAGGTGGAGGTGGTGGTGGTGAAGGTGGAGGTGGTGGTTGTGGAGGTGGAGGTGGTGGTTGTGGAAGTGGAGGTGGTGGTTGTGGAGGTGGTGGTGGTGGAGGTGGTGGTGGTGGAGGTGGAGGTGGTGGTTGTGGAGGTGGAGGTGGTGGTTGTGGAGGTGGTGGTGGTGGAAGTGGTGGTGAAGGTGGAGGTGGAGGTGGTGGTTGTGGAGGTAGAGGTGGTGGTTGTGGAGGTGGTGGTGGTGGAGGTAGCAGTGGTGAAGATGGTTGTGGTGGAGGTGGTGGTGGTGGAGGTGGTGGAGGTAGTGGTGGTGAAAGTGGAGGTGGTGGTGGTGGAGGTGATGGCGGTGGAGGTGATGGAGGTGGTGGTGGTGGAGGTGGTGGTGAAGGTGGAGGTAGTGGTGGTGAAAGTGGAGGTGGTGGTGGTGGAGGTGCTGGTGGTGGAGGTGATGGAGGTGGTGGTGGTGGAGGTAGTAGTGGAGGTGGTGAAGGTGGAGGTGGAGGTGGTGGTTGTAGAGGTGGAAGTGGTGGAGGTGGTGGTGAAGGAGTAGGTTGTGGTGGTAGAGGTGGTGGTGGAGGTGGCGGAGGTGATGGTGGTGGGTGTTTGTGAGGGTAGAAGTGGTGGAGGTGGTGGTGAAGGAGTAGGTTGTGATGGTAGAGGTGGTGGAGGGGGTGGTGGTGGTGGAGTTGGAAGAGGAGGAGGTGGTGGTGGAGGTGTTATTAGTAGTAGATGTGGAGGTAGAGAGTGATTGAGCCTTCTTCTCTTCTTACAGTGGGCTGAGTCTTTCACGTTCTGAGGTCGTTGAAATGTTCCTGTTTGCAAATAACAGAACACTAACTCAAACTGGTCTAAATAATAAAGATATTAAGTTATATACTAGAAGTTCTGCAGTAGGATGTTCTTCAGGGCTAATTGAATCCTGTGGGTCTGGTTCCATTTTCCTGGGATACTTTGCATCTCCCCTCCTCTGCGTAGGCTTCCTCGGTAGGCTTGTGCCATGCCATGGGCAGCAGTTCAGGCCTCACGTCCACAAGGATAAAGGCCAGGGGCAGTGTCTCTTTCTGTGGCTCTCTTTCAAGCATAGAAAACTTCCCCTAAAGTTCTCTTTCCTACTTCTCATTTCTGTCTCACTGGACCTTATGCTGGACCAGGCTCTGGCCTGGTGAATGTCATGTATTGATTTTCTTAGCTGGGTTCTTTGACCAAAGGAAAAGTCTGAGACTCCATAAATAATGGCCATAAGAATATAAAAGATAAAAGACATGGTATTAATAAGGTAAGACTGTTTAGGACAGGAGCAAATAAATAATCCTCAAATATCACTCAGTGCCTTTGGTTGATTGAATGATTGTCTTTTTTTTTTTTTTTTTGTGATGGAGTGTTGCTCTGTTGCCAGGCTGGAGTGTGATGGCACGATCTCGCCTCACTGCAACCTCCGCCTGCTGGGTTCAAGCGATTCTCCTGCCTCAGCAGGAGTGACTGGGACTACAGGCGGGCACCACCATGCCCAGCTAATTCTTGTCTTTTTAGTAGAGATGGGGTTTTACCATGTTGTCCAGGATGGTCTTGATCTCTTGACCTCGTGATCCGCCCACCTTGGCCTCCCAAAGTGCTGGGATTACAGGTGTGAGCCACCGTGCCCACCCAAATGATTGTCATTTAAAGTAAAGTAACAGGAGCATTTTTCTCTTGTAGCAAGGAGTGTGGGGGAAGGCAGCCCAGGGTTGGCACAGCTGTGCTGTGATGTTCCCAGAGACCAGCCTTCCGCACTGTTCCAGGCTGCCCTCGTTTTATAGGCCTCAGCCCTCATTCGTCCAGTCTCTAGGTGGCTGCTGTGACTCTGCCCTCACATGCTGTATTTCTAACAAAAATAATGGGGCAGAGTAAAGGGTCAGAAAACTTTCTCCTAGTGAAGCTTTGCCCTTTAGTTTCAGGGGAGATGCCCTCCCCAGGGACATCTCTCTACATCTCCTTGGCAAGAATTGCATCACATTGCCATTTTCTGTTCTAAGGGAGGGTGGAAAATGGGGAGTTTTGGTGGCACAGGCTCCTAGGGATGAAAATGGGTTCTGCTAGTAAGGAAGAAGGAGGAAACGGGTACTTTGTAGGTAACTAGCAGGGTCTGCTCCGCCAGACCTCCCAGCAAGTCTTTAACTCACAGACCAGAAAATTAATGCCACAGTAGAAGCCAACTCATAAATAGGTTAAATTATAGTTGCTGTCATGGCATTTTCAGAGATACGTATCTGAGGTGTCTGCATAATTCAAAATTCCTATGATTCTGAGACTATTTTTCCCATAGGACTCTCAATAAGCTACAAGTATGGTGGCTTATTTCTGTTTTCAGATAAATCGGTTTGCCATGGACCAGTAATAGACACACAGGTTAATTCACTCAGCCTGCCAGTTTAAAATTATGTAATTCTAGGTGCTTAGTTTTAATTTGGGACATTTGCATAATTTCAGGTGTGTTCATGAAGTGAGACTTTATTAATATTTTATGTTGCATGATTTAGATTTATACAACTAAAATTTGCATAAAATAATGACCACATTGTGTTCAGTTTACGAAGGCAGGAAAGTGAGTAATATATTTTAGAACAACAAAAAAATGCAGCCAAATGGTTAAAATACAAAAAGATTTAGTGCCTGCAGTAGCATTTTTAGTTAGACTTATGAAAACTTGTCTATCTAGGACAAATTGCTCCCCGAATTATCCCTCATTCAGGAAGTCTTGTTTTACTGTGCAACCTTACAGGATCCCTTATGTTAGAATTTGTGTGTTCATATTGCTTCCCCAATTTCTGACAGCTTATGTGCCATAAAATTAGATTGCTTTATAATACCTGGCATAATGTTAAGGGTTTGGTGCAGCTCAGTATAAATATTTGTCAAATGAATGAATAGATATGATTAAGTGAATAAATGGCCTTGCTGGCAGTTAGGCCATGAAAGGGGCACTGAAAATGGAAACAGAAATCGGCCTTTCCCTGTCCTTCATGGCCTTGACAAATTTAAAGAATTTTCAGCCTGGGTCCATCGAGTGTTTCTTCATGAGCAGATTCAGGCCATGCATCCTGGGAAGAAATACCACGGAAATGATGCTGTGCTTCTCAGAGCCTCGCATCAGGGCGCATGCCCTGAGGTTAACCTTGCTGGCCTGGGCATGTTGCGTCTGCCAGATTCTCTCACACTTAATTCACCATGTGGTCCTCTTGGTAATTCATTAGTATTTTGTGGTGAGATGTTTCAAGATTACACCAGTGTCTCTCATCAGACTTTCATCCACTAGCCCTGGCCTCCACGGATGACTCCTGCCCAAATCAGCCACGTCTATGCTGATTGCCAAATAGTGATTTCATATTCCTTTCATTCATTCTGCATTTATTAGTTGGCATTCCACTGTAGTAAAAAGCTTTCTCTTGTCTATTAATTTGCATTGTCATTCATTTCTTTGTAACAGTGTCAACTCGTGGAGACCTGTGATTTAGACAGTGGGAGCTCCTTCAGCCTGGCTCTCCTGATGTTGTGACATGTCCCTTTCAATCTTTGAACACTTCCTTGTTTTCTGCATATTGTGTTCCAGGTTTAGTTTATACTTTTGTTGCCCCAGTCCTGGAATAAGCCTTTTCTTCAAGGAGGCTCTGGTTCCCTTTGATGGAGTATTTAGAAACCGTGATGTAGGGGGTTCAGTGTGCTTATTTCTTTGATGTACTGTACATTTCTTCCAGGCCCTCTCAGCAGACAGCAGAAAAGATACAGTGAATATAAATGAACATGCAAGCACATATACATTATCATCTGTAACCTGTGTCCTTCTGTGTGTGTGCGTGTGTGTGTGTGTGTGTGTGTGTTTAATAGCCTTAAGTTCTCACTGGTACTCCTATTTCCGTTCCTTGCCTCATAGTTCTTTCTAGCTTTCCTCCCTTTCTGTGTTCCAGTAGTGAGAAACCTAGCTTTCCCTGTCCTCATCCCTTCATTTGTTGCTGTCAAACTTACTCTTGGCTCAGTGTAAGTAGTCTCCCAAGCACACTGATCCTCCTCTGCCCACCAGTGCCCAGTATCCTGGGCATTGGGTTTCGTGCTGCCATGGGCCTCCATGTGGCTTTGGGGGAATTCTTGGCAAGTGAGGTTTTAGTGAGAGAGAGTAGAGGAGCTCTTATCTCAAATGGAATGGTTTGAAGTAATGAAGTTTGTAGGGCAGTTTCAGCTTCTCGATAAGTACTTGTTGAAATCTCACCAACTGACTTGGCTATGTCTTTCTCTTTGGAAATTAGTGAAAAGAATATCAGCTGGTGATTCTTAGAATAAAAGTTCTTACTTTTTCCAGATTCTCCTAGCTAACATAATTCCTACTTAGGCACATACTTGTGCTACACGTTGTCTACACATGCACTGAACATTTGGCTCCAGTGTTAGGGCCTAGACCTTTTGGTCTTGGGGACATTTTGACCTGGCCCTTGTCTCCGTGACCATATACTTGAAACACCAGAGGGGAGTTACTCACCAGTGAGGAAGGTTAGTATGAGATCCCAAGTGATCACAAGTGTACAAGTATGTGGGAGGGTTGGATTTTTATTAAAGTAGACCAGTCCTGTAGAATATTTCATAATGACAATTCCTGGTAGAAATAGTCAACATAAAACAAGACAGACACTGGGTTAAGTGGCATAGTCAAACCTCATACAGTTGAAAAGCTGACAGAAGAAGTAAAATTAAAATTGACATTTGCTGATATTTAATACAGTAAAATTTGTTTTTGAATTCAGATCAACAAAAGAATGAAATATTCATGACAGATTTAAAATCTTCAGACTTTGATCCAGGTTATTGGACTTTATAAAATAAACAAAAAGCAGTTGCCAGTAGAGAGAATTCATAATGACAGAAGCTATAATTGGTAAATATTTGAAGTAGGTAAAATCCGATTGATTTAAAATTTACTTAGAAAAGCCTTATCTCAGTGAAAATAATTGCAGGAAAAGATCAGTTGAAGAAGGAAAAAATTAGCTGTTTCGTGTACTTTAGAGAAAATTGAACAAGGGATTATATTGGCTTTATGAAATTAAAATATTTTGTCAATAAGATGTTGCCAGTGTTGGTGTAATTCCAATTCAGATATCTGTATTTATAAACATAGGGTCATAAATTCCTTGGTGCCCCCGTCCCCGTCCCCCCACCAACAAAAGCTGGTCACAGTATTCACTAGGTCAAAATTGTGATACTAAAAAGTCAAGGCCGGGCGCGGTGGCTCACGCCTGTAATCCCAGCACTTTGGGAGGCCAAGGCGGGTGGATCACGAGGTCAGGAGGTCGAGACCATCCTGGGTAACATGGTGAAACCCCGTCTCTACTAAAAATACAAAAAAAAATTAGCCGGGTGTGGTGGCGGGCGCCTGTAATCCCAGCTAGTCGGGAGGCAGAGGCAGGAGAGTGGCATGAACCCGGGAGGCGGAGCTTGCAGTGAGCCAAGATTGCACCACTGCACTCCAGCCTAGGCAACTGAGCAAGACTCTGTCTCAAAAATAAATAAAATAAATAAATAAATAAATAAATAAATTTAAAGTCAAGTACCTGTTTTCTAACGATTTTTAATTTTTACATACAAAATATTTCCTTTAAGTACCTTAACAGGTAGAAAATTTTTGTTTAGTCTTATTTAGTTTTGTGTGTGTGTTTTGTTTTAGATGGAGTCTCGCTCCGTCACCTAGGCTGGAGTGCAGTGGCACAATCTTGGCTCACTGCAACCTCTGCCTGCTGGGTTCAAGCAATTCTCCTCCCTCAGCCTCCTGAGTAGCTAGGACTACAGGCGCGCGCCACCATACCCAGTAATTTTTGTATTTTTAGTAGAGACGGGGTTTCACCATTTTGGCCAGGCTGGTCTCAAACTCCTGACCTCAGATGATCTGCCCACCTTGGCCTCCCAAAGTGCTAGGATTACAGGCATAAGCCACCATGCTTGGCCTGAAAATATTGCCTTTTTTTTTTTTTTTTTTTTTTTTTGAGATGGAGTCTCACTGTTGTCAGCCTGGGCTGGAATGCAGTGGCACAATCTCAGCTCACTGCAACATCCACCTCCCAGTTCCAGCAA